>NC_000011.10:42787272-43090303 GCF_000001405.40 Homo sapiens | reverse complement strand
TTGTTGGGCAGCAAACCATTCCAAAACTTAGAGACCTAAAATAGCATCATTTTATATAGCTCATTATAATCTTGTGTCCCAGCTGGGACGTTTTTCTGCTTTGGGCATAGCAGCTGATCTCTACTGTGTCCTGTCACGCATCTGTGGTCTGGGGTCACTGGGAACTGGATGGTCTAGGATGGCCTCAATTACATGTGTGAACACTGACTGGGCATTGGCAGGAGTGCCCTGGTTCTTCTCTATCAGCCTCTCATCTTTCAGCTGCTACTCTGGGCTTGTTCCCTTAGATCTCAGGGTTCTAAGCATAGCAAGAAGGCAAGATCCAATGCACCATCACTCTTCTTTTCTTTTCTTTTCTTTTCTTTTCTTTTCTTTTCTTTTCTTTTCTTTTCCTTTTCTTTCTTTCTTCCTTCCTTTCTTCTTTCTTTTTTGATGGAGTCTTGCTCTGTCGCCCAGGCTGGAGTGAAGTGGCACGATCTCAACTCACTGCTTGCCCCCTTCCTCCCTCCCTGTTAGCCAAAGAAAGTCATGTGGCCAACCCAGATTCCAAGGTGGAGAATTAGATTCCACCTCTCAATAATAGAAGAGGCATTTTCATCCAGTTTTGCAGTCACCACCCTTATTCTCTGCCAGGTCACTCAGTCTGGTGAGAAGGAGAGATACGTAGACAGATAAATGACAAGACATTCTGAAAACTGCTTACAAATATGGAGGCTGCCTGTTTCACCAGCCTACAAAATGCTTTGGGCAGCACAGAGCTTGGCAGTTTCATGTGCATGAGATTTTCTTGGAAAAGGAGCAGCGCAGTCCATGGAACTGCCTGGACACTGGGCAGTTTTAGTAGTGAGAAGCCCTCATGTCCGTGATAACCTAGCCCTTGAAAACCTTCATTATTTTCTGAGTAAGACTTTGCATCATCCCTGCATCGTTGCCCCTCACCCTGCCCCCGAGGAGCCTGGCACAGTCTAGAAGTCCAGCTGGACATCTGTTCTAGGGAATACAAAATTAACTTTATGGCCAGAAAGTGCCAAGCATAACTCAATGTAGTTTCATCTACTTTGGGTATTTAACAGCCCTAGATTAAGCACAGCTAGTTTTGTCACATTGGGAAAAACGTCTGTTACATAGTTATGCTCTTTTCGAGGCTATTTATTCCAGCTTTTAATGGTGTGTCTTAGGTGCTTCTGTAAGTAAGCAAGGTTGCATGTGTGGGACACCTCATGGGGAGCTCCTTGAGGCTTTAGGCTGTGATGGAGCCCTGGCTGTTCTCCAGTGGGATCCAGTTCCACTCATCACTTTCCTTCCACTGCAAATGGAAACAGAATAATGTGGTTAATTGTGCACACTCTGAGCAAGATTGGGTTCAAATCCTGGCTCAACTACTTACTCACTCTGTGATTGGGGTGAGTTATGTACATTTTTTTGTGTTTCCATTTCTTAATCAGTAAAATGAAGATAACAATAGCAACAATTCATAAGGTTATTGTGAGGATAAAATAAGTTAACATGTATAAAGTGCTTAGACTAGTGCACATACACAGTAAGCCTTAATAAATATAGCTGTCATTATTAATAACAACAAATACTCTTATTAGTATTGTTATTCAGCAATGATTCGAACACCTTGTGGAATAACAGCATTAACTCAGAAAGCTTATTAAAAATAACATTGTGTGTTATACTCCTGGAGATTCTGATTATGAGATGCTCAGGAATTCATACATTTTATCAAGGGTCATTTTAAAGCAGCCAGTGCCCAGACCAGCATGTTTGCCTTATAAAACTTGGCACATTTCCTTCGACACTTAACACCTGGGGCTATTGAGATCGCTTAGAAACGGTCTCTTGGGGGAGACATATTTGTAAAAACATCTTTTCATTCCCCTGAAGACCCTACATGCAAAATACACTCACCCATTCTCCAAGAGAAAATTCAGGACACTGTCCTTGCCCTCAAGCTGTTTAGTATTTTTCCTAGAAGGAGGCTCTAATGAGGAACTGATGTTCCTAATTACTGACAATAATAGCTTACATTACTGAGTACATGCTGAGTGTCAAGAACTATGTGAGATTATTTGGGTTAGCACTTTTAATCCTTCCAGTAATCCGATGAAATAGGCACTCTGTTATGAGGAAACTGCAGCTTACTGAACTGAATATCATTGCCAAGATCACCCAGTTAATTGATAGTTAAGCCAGCTACATAAATGTTGTTTCAGGACTTAAACCTAGGCTTTCAGCCTTCCAGGCCTATGTCTTGTACTATCAATCTAAACTGCTGTTTTGACAGAGAATGCTAGTTGTATCTTGTTTCTGTCCTTAATAAATTTCCCTAATAACAGAACCTCAAGATTTAGCTGGGCACATTGCCACCCAAAATAAAACAATATTTTCCATCCTTTCTTCAGGTAAATGTCCACATAGCTAAGTTCTGACTAAAGGAATATGAATGAAAGTGACATATATAAATCCAGATCATCCCTTGAAGGGAAAGAGCATGCCCCACCCCCTTCCCCTTTAACTCTTGTGCTGGAATAAGACCATCATTGTGTGCCATCTTGAAACTTAAAGATGATGGTGTTATCCTAGGAAATGTGGAGGAAAAACACAGAAAGAACTTGAGCCCTTGACATTGACAGATATTATGAACTGCTTATGTAAATGTAGGTTATAAAATGAGAAATAAATAAATAAATTTGAGACCAAATTTTGGGTCTTGAAGTAAAATTGTCCCTGTTTGCCAATGACATAATCTTACATACAGAAACCTTAGAAGTTCCACTAAAAACTCATACCTGATAAACAAATTCGGCAAAGTTGTGGGATACAAAATCAACATACAAAAATTAGTTGTGTTGTGTTTATATATGCCAACAACAAACTAAGAGAAAAAAAAGTCAAGAAAACAATCCCATTTATAATATAGTTGTAAAAAATTTTAAAATACCTAGGAATTAATTAACCAAATAGATAAAGGTCTCTGCAAGAAAAACTATTAAACACTGATGAAAAAATTGAAGAGGATACACACACACAGACAAACAAGAAGACATTCTATGTTCATGGATTAGAATAACTAATATTGTGAAAATTACCATATTACCGAAAGTGATCTACAGATTCATTGCAATCCCTATCAACATACTGATATGGTTGGGATTTGTGTTCCTGTCCAACTCTCACGTTGAATTGTAATCTCCAGTGTTAGAGAAGGAGCTTGGTGGGAGGTGATTGTATAATGGGGTGGATGTCCCCCTTACTGTTCTCATGATAGTGAGTGAGTTCCCAGGAGATCTGGTTGTTTAAAAGTGTGTAGCACTTCCCCCTCCACTCTCTTCCTCCTGCTCCAGCCATATAGGATGTGCCTCCTTCCCCTTTGCCTTCCGTCATGATAGTAAGTTTCCTGGGGCTTCCCCAGCCATGCTTCCTGTGCAGCCTGTGGAACCGTGAGTGAATTAAACCTCTTTTCTTTATAAATTGCCCAGTCTCGGGTAGTTCTTTATAGCAATGTGAAAATGGACTAATACAGAAAACTGGTACCAATAGTGCGGTATTGCTGTAAAGATACATGAAAATGTGGAAGTGACTTTGGAACTGGGTAATGGGAAGAGGTTGGAAGAGAGTGGAGGGCTGAAAAGAAGACAGGAAGATGAGAGAAAGTTTGGAACTTCCTAGAGACTTGTTAATTTGTTGTGACCAAAATGCTGATAGTGCTATGAACAATGATGTCTAGGCTAAGGTGGTCTGAGATGGAGATAAGGAACTTATTGGGAACTGAAGCAAAGGCCACTATTGTTATGTATTAGCAAAGAGGTTGGAGGCATTGTACCCCTGTCCTAGAGCTCTGTGGAACTTTGAAATTGAGAGAAATGATTTAGGGTATCTGGAGGAAGAAATTTCTAAGCAGCAAAGCATTCAAGATGTGGTCTGGCTGCTTCTAAGAGCATATGCTCATATACTTGAGCAAGGAGATGATCTGAAACTGAAATTTATATTTAAAAGGGAAGCAGAATGTAAAAGTTTGGAAAATTTACAGCCTGGCCATGTGTTAGAAAAGATAAACCCATTTTCTGGGGAGGAATTCAAGCCAGCTACAGAAATTTGCATGTGTAAAAAGGAGCCAAATGTTGATAGCCAAGTTAATAGGGAAAATGCCTCAAAGGCATTTCAGAGACTTTCTTGGCAGCCCCTCCCATCACAGGCCTGGAGGTCTAGGAGGGAAGAATGATTTTGTGGGCCAGGACCAGGGCCCTGTTGCTCTGTGCAGCCTCAGGATATGGTACCCTGCATCATTTCTGCTCCAGCTCCAGCTATGGCTAAAACAGGCCAAAGTACAGCTTGGGCATTGCTTGAAAAGGTGCAAGCTATAAGCCTTGGCAACTTCCACATGATGTTAAGCCTGCAGATGTGCAGAAGGCAAAAGTTGAGGCTTGGGAGCCTCTGCCTAGATTTCAGAGGATGTATGGAAATGCCTGGATGTCCAGGCAGAAGTCTGCTGCAGGGCAGAGCCCTCATGGGGAACCTCTACTAGGGCAGTGTGGAAGAGACATGTGGGGGTGGAGCCCCCAAACAAAGTCCCCACTGGAGCACTGTCCAGAAGAAGGCTACCATCCTCCAGTCCCCAAATTGGTAGATCCACTGACAGCTTGCACTGTGCACCTGGAAAACCCTCAGGCACTCAATGCTAGCTTGTGCAAGCAGCAAAGGAGGCTGTACTCTGCAGAGCCACATGGGTGGAGATTCCCAAGCCCTTGGGAGCCCACCCCTTGCATCAGTGTGGCCTGGATGTGAGACATGGAATCAAAGGAAATTATTTTGAAGTTTTAACAACTGCCCTGCAGGATTTTGGAGTTTCATGGGGCCTGTAGCCCCTTTGTTTTAGCAGATTTCTCCCTTTTGAAATGGGTGTATTTACCCAATGCCTGTGACCCCATTGTATCTTGGAAATAACTAACTTGGTTTTGATTTTACAAGCTCATAGATAGAAGAGACTTGCCTTGTCTCAGATGAGAATTTGGATGTGAACTTTTGAGTTAATGCTGAAATGAGTTAAGACTTGGGGGACTGTTGAGAAGGGATGATTGTATTTTGCAATGTGAGAAGGACATGAGATTTGGGAGGGGCCACAGGCATAAGGATATGGTTTGGATTTGTGTTCCTGCCCTACTCTCATGTCAAAATGTAGTTGTCAAAATGTAGTAATCCCCAATGTTGGAGGAGGGGCCTGGTGGGAGGTGATTGGATCATGGGGGCAGACTTCTCACTTCTTGTTCTTGTGACAGTGAGTGAATTCTCAGGAGGTCTGGTGGTTTGAAGGTGTGTAGCACTTCCCCCTTCACTCTCTTCCTCCTGGTCCAGCCATGTAGGATGTGTCTCCTTCCCCCTTGCCTTCCACTATGATTGTAAGTTCCCTGAGGCTTCACCATCCTGTGGAACTGTGAGCCAATTAAACCTCTTTTCTTTATAAATTACCCAGTCTCAGGTAGTTCTTTATAGCAATGTGAGAACAGACTAATATATATACCAATGACATTCTTCACAAAAATATAGTAAACAGTCCTAAAATTTCTATGGAACCACAAAAGACCCTGAATAGTCAAAGTAATTCTGAGCAAAAGGAATAAAGCTGGAGGCATCACACTACTGCATTTCAAAATATACTACACAGCCATAGTAAATACAACAGCATGGTACTGGCATAAAAACAGACACATAGAGTAATGGAATATAATAAGAGAACCCAGAAGTAAATCTACATGTTCACAGCCAACAGCTTTTCAGCAAAGGTACCAAGGACATTTACTGGGGAAGGGACATCCTCTAATAAATGGTACTAGGAAAACTGAATAACCAGCCGCAGTAAAATGAAACTAGACCCCTACTTCTCACCATACTCAAAAATCAAATCGAGATGGTTTAAAGACTTAATGTAAGAAAACAAACTATGAAACTACTAGAAGAAAACAGGGGTAGAGCTTCAGGCTCTTCATCTGGGCAAAGACCAGTCTTTATGGAGAAGACCTCAAAAGCACAGGTGACAGAAGCAAAAATAGACAAATGGGATTATATGAAACTAAAAAGTTCTGCACAGCAAAGGAAACAATCAACAGTGAGAATACAACCTGCAGAATGGGAGAAAATGTTTGCAAACTACTCATCTGACAAGGGATTAATATCCAGAATATATGAGGAATTCATACCACTCAACAGAAATGAAGAAAATACAGTTGGCCCTTTAACAACACAGGTTTGAACTGCATGGGTCCACTTATATGTAGATTTTTCTTACACCTCTTGTCACCGCTGAGACAGTAAGACCATTCCTGACTCTTCCTCCTCCTCCTCCTCCTCTACCTCCTCCTCCTTCTCTTACTCCTCCTCTGACTACTCAATGTGAAGATGATGAGTATAAAGACCTTTATGATGATCCAATTCTACTTAGTGAATAGTACATATATTTTCTCTTTCTTACAATTTTCTTTATAACATTTTCTTTTATTGAGCTTACTTTATTTTAAGAATACAGCATATATTACATATAACAGATAAAATAGGTGTTAATCGACTGCTTATGTTATTGGTAAGGCTTCCAGTCAATAGTAGGTTACTAGGAGTTAAGTTTTTGGATAACTAAAAGTTATACTCAAATTTTCAGCTGTGTGGGGCTCAGCACACTTAATGCCCATGTTGTTCAACGGTCAATGTAATCCACTTAAAAAGTGGGCAAATGAACTCAGTATACATGTCTCAAAAGAAGACATATAAATGGCCATCAGGTATATGAAAAAAGTGCTCAACCTCACTAGGCTACTAACCATGTTGCTGGGCCCCCAGACTCCTAAAATCTCTACATTTTGTCTGGCTTCAAGGTGAAAAGGGAAGTTCTGGCAGTGTTACACAAACTATTAATAAATTCTTGGCTCTCAGGTGCTGGTTATCTACTCTCCAATAACAGTATCCTGTTTCTATATATAATAGATTCTGAGATGTTACAAGATGTACATTTGAAATTGATAAAAGTTTCTTTCAACATTTATACAGTCTATTGGTTACTTTTTAGCTAAAGCACAATTTTGGACTGACTCTGGGTTGGTTTGGGTTCTTGAGATACAAGGAACTGAGAGCCACAACTCATTGTATTTGAATAAAAATATTAGTTGATTTACATTTAATCAGAATCAACCATAATAATAACAGCAATAGTAATGACAGCTAAATATATAAAGCGCTCAGTATGTGCCAGTCACAATGTCAGGTGTTTACATATATTATGTCATTTAATCCTCACTATAACCCTACAAGGTAGGTAATACTACTATCTCATTTTCCAGGTAAGAAAACTGAAGCCTTTATGATTGGGTTTAACAAGCTTCCCAGTTGTCATAATACAGTCATCCTTCAGTATCTGTGGGAAATTGGTTCCAGGACCCCTCCAGATACCAAAATCCATGGATGCCTAAGTACCTTATATTAAATCTCATAGACTATGTGTATAAACTATGCACATTCTCCTGTGTTCTTTAAATCATCTCTGGATTACTTATAATACCTAATACAATGCTTAACATTACTTCATTCATGTGGACTCAATGTGGTACTCAGCATGTGGCCAATTTAAGTTTTGCTTTTTGGAAGTTTGTGGTATTTCTTTGAATATTTTCAATCCATAACTAGTTGAATTCATGGATGTGAAACCCACATATATGGAGGGCTGACTGTGTTGAGTTTCCATTCAATTTACTGAAGGCAGAAGAATCTTGAATGATAGCAATGGCAAAAGCTACTATGCGTAGTGTATTTCCTATGCTATACATGTATGAAGTGCTTTACATATTGTTTTATTTAATAATCCTTACAACAATCCTATGAAATAAATGTTATTTATTTATTTATTCTATAGAGATGAGGTCCCATTATATAGCCCAGGCTGGTCTCGAACTCCTGGACTCAGCCTCCCAAAGTGTTGGGATTATAGGCAGGAGCCACCATGCCTGGCCTGAAATAAATCTTTTTTTTTTTGAGACGGAGTCTCGCTCTGTTGCTCAGGCTGGAGTGCAGTGGTGTGATTTCTGCTCACTGCAAGCTCTGCTTCCTGGGTTCATGCCATTCTCCTGCCTCAGCCTCCCAAGTAGCTGGGGCCACAGGCGCCTGCCACCACGCCCGGCTAATTTTTTGTATTTTTAGTAGAGACGGGGTTTCACTGTGTTAGCCAGGATGGTCTCGATCTCCTGACCTCGTGATCCTCCCACCTTGGCCTGAAATAAATCTTAATACCATTTCCAGATGAAAGAAATTGGGGCCCAGAGAGGTCAAATAACTTGGTCATTAGCATATAGCTTAGAAGAGCCATGGCTAATATTCAAATTTAAGTCTTTCTGACTTCAAGTCCAAGACTCATTAAACTAGCCATGCCACGCTGAACTTATACCATGAAGATGCTTCCAATTACAGCATGCAGTTCTTTATAATATGGAATACTGATAGTGGATTTTCTTTAGGGTTTTATGATCCAGCAATATTTTCTTAAAAATGAAATTCACTGGAGCTAAAGATTCTTTTTATATATCCATTGTATCTTTTGATTGCCACAGTATGAAAGGTCATACTTAGCTAAACATGGGGAAATATTAGATATGACCTAATTTGCTTAATAATTCCATTTAGTGCTCAGAAGGCACAAAACACACACATACAGAATCCAGCAAGAAAGAATAAAGAATCCTCAAAAGGGACAAATGAAGACAGTCAAATGTGGAATTTTACAAATGTGATAAACACTTATTAGAAAAATGAAACTTAGACAGATGTGCCCTTAGACTAATGGAACAAAACTCCTTGAAAACCTCAGTGGTAGGCATGACTGTAAAAGAACACCAAAGGAGTAAAAGTAATATACAAAGGGGACTAAACAAAATGTTTTGTATGTAAAATCCACTGCATTCCTTAAATACTTAAGAGCCTTATGATCTAAATGTGAAAATATCTTCAGGTAAGTTGATAAAAGTTCCTTGAAAAATGCAGAAGAAAACGAGACCTAAAAATAGGAACTTTCTTAAAATGGGCTGAAACTATCATATCAATTTTGAAAAGCTTGTCTGATACTAAGAATTTTAGGCTGATGTGCTATATGAGGATTGGCTTCAGGTGAATTTATCAGCTTCCTTCTTGCTTTTCAATCTCTTAAATTTGTACCCTTGTCCCCATTCACATTGCCACTGCCTGTGTTAAAAACACTCGTTATTCTTAGAGCTATAGCCTACATGTGGCTTCTTCATCTCTTATCTATCGTCCTCAACATAAAGAGAGATTTTTAACAACATGAAGGATAGGTACAGTACTACCTTCCTTCAACTCTTGGAGTGGTTTCCCATTACCTTCATGATAAAGTCAGCCTCGTTAGCTCAGCAAATGTCAGAATCAAAATGGAGTCGCTTGTGTTAAAAACAAAATAAAACAAAACAAAAAAACCAAACCCTGACAAATACAGCCAGGGAAGGCTATGAAGAGAGGGTTCTCACACTTGTATGACTAATAGCAAAACTGTAACAAAAGACTGCAAAAATCACAACGTTGCATAAAGGCCACTGCAACCTTACACAAAAAATACTTGTGCAAGGACATCTGCCCAGCAACTGTTTGTCCAACCTCAGACTGGTGTCACCCTTGTTATTGATCCTTTTAGCCAAGGATAATCATTTCAAAAAAATTATGCAGTCTTCTTTATTTTTTCCTTAAAACTCTTTGTCTTCCATCTACCTCCCTGAATACACACTTAGTTTACTATGGCAACTGTATTCCAATTGCAATGTGCTGTTTCTGAAGTTTCTGAATAAACATCACTTTCTTTTAAAGAACCTCTCCCTGCTTATTATTTACATTGATATATAATTTCCCTTCTCCTGGCCTGCCTTTTCCCTACAGGCAACTTCAGTCTACTGTTACGGACTTCTACTTTCACTGCAAAGATACACAGTCAGCCTTCCATAGCTGTGGGTTCCGCATCCATGGATTCAACCAGTTACAGATTGAAAATATTAGAGAAAAACAATAAAAATACAACAATAAAAAGAGAATACAAATAAAACAACATAGTATAACAACTATTTACATTGCATTTACATTCTATTAGGTATTATAGGTAATCTAGCGATGATCTAAACTATATGGGAGAATGTGCATAGATGATATGCACATTCCATGCCATTTTATAAGTAACTTGAACACTCATGAATTTTCTTATTGGGGTGGGTGATCCTGGAACCAATTTCCCATGGATATTGAGGGATGACTGTACCACATACTCTTGAGGGGGAGGTAAAAAGAGCAGATCCTGAAACCAATTTCCCATGGATATTGAGGGATGACTGTACCACATACTCTAGACGGGGAGGTTAAAAGAGCAGATCCTGAATAAATTACAGCAATGTATTGTAAATGTATCACTAGGCTCTAAGGGTTAAAAGACAAAAGTGAACTAAAATCTGACTAGTGTACCGTTCCTGAAATAATTATTAATGTCATCTGTGTTTTATTCTCTAATGTGATCTAGTTTGGACAATAAACTAAATGATCATTTTATTAATAGGCTATAGTGTCAACAGCTGTTTTATAACCAGACAACAATGATCACCAGCTTGCCAGCTTCTGATTGCTACCCAGCCAGCTCTAAATTTATAGTTTTATTATTCCAATACTCTACTTCGGATACAAAATTTTATGTCAATTAGGAAACAGATCAGGACTCATGCAGGCTTAAATAATAATGATACTTCGTTGATAGGCACAGCTGGAAGTCCTAGACACTTTTGGTTGATCCAGGAATTTAATGCTGTCTTTAGGACCACTTTCTTTCTTTCTCTTTTTTCATTCTGCCCTATATTATATCAGCTTTATCCCAAACTGAGCCTCCCACTTGATAGCAAAAAGGCTGCAGCAATTCTAGGCTTTGCATTTATCAGCACACAAGGCCTCCATTCCAGCATTCCAAGCAAGCATCCTGAAATTTCACCTTAATAGACTCATTTAGGTCACATGCCCTCCCTAATCCAATATTCTGGCTAAGATAATAGGATGTGCTGATTGGCATGAGTAAATTGGGGTTTAGTCTTGGAGCTGGAGTGAGGTCAGCCTTCCCAAGGTACGTGGGCTGTAAGGAGATTTAATCTGGAAAAAGGAAGAAAAAGAATAGATGTTGGGTAGAGAACTAGCAAGTTTGCAGTCCACAATAGAAGCCTTGATGTGCATAGCAATCAAACCCAATGTAAAACTTGAGAGGGGATTATACTAAAGAACTTTTAATTTGCAGCTATTTGGTCCAAAGAGAGGAGTTTGGGAGCCAATGTGGTGGGAAAATGTAAAGAGCTTTTATTCTGTTCATAAAGCCAAACCAATCTGAGTCTTGAACCAGGTGATGAACCTCTTAATTGGATTTGAACCTTTGCCAAGATAATTACTCTTTGACTGCTATTTTTCCTTATCTGAAGCTTGGGATAATTTCCCTATCTTATACAGTTTTGTGAGAAATATGTGATTACACACACAGAGTGCCCAGCATAGTCCCTGGCACAGAGTAGAGAATAAATCTAAATTCTGTTTTAGTTTCTCATCACTAAATTGACTCTGAAATCATCAGCATGAAGACTTTTCCTTTAGTGGTCATTTAGTCCACTTGTCAAGCTATGGCAGCTCCTTTGAGCCTCCTTATAGAATGGGGGAGCTGCACTGCGAAGTAACTTGGTATCTTACTCTCAGCCTCCCCTCTTTGAATAGTGGGAAAAAATCTGATTCATTTAAATTTCCAACAAGTGTAGAATTATTTTTACAGCAATAATAAACAAACACTGAGTTGCCCCCCAAATCCTGCTGACCTAGATTCATTTTCCTCTCACCCCAGGAAGCTTCAACCACTGAATTTGGCCCAAGTGTTGATCCTTTCCTGATGCCTCAGGACACTACAGCTATTTATTCATTTCTCACCAAGACCAGAAGCTATTTTGCTCCAGGGGAGACCATTAGCTCATTTGCATTAAGGATCCAGACTTTAAGCCAAGAATTACAAGGTCATAAGGCCGGGGAGCACCAGCAAGATATTTGATTTATTTTTGATTCTTGCTTTCAACACCTGGGCTTGACAACGTTTACATTCCTTGCTACCCTTTATCCCCAGCCTAACATCATCTGATTAGTCAGCCTAGATATGCAGGAAATAGCAGCATAAACAATGCTTCAGTGAACCCCTCCAAGCAGATAAGACTATGAACAATTCATCAGCTTGCAGTGGCTCTCTTTTCCCTGGTGGTCCCACCAAGGGTTTTAAGTGACTAAGCTCAGGGGAAGCCCTTTCCCCGGGATAATTTGTCTTCCTTCAGCTCCACCGAATTAGCACTTTTATTTCATTGTACCCTTGGGTTACAGTGGTTATTAAGTTATAAACTAAGCAAATTATTACTGAAGGTCAGCAGCAGATTATTCTGAAACCCCCAACACTATAGAAATGGGGCTCAAATCATTAGGGAAGTTTAGTCTTTGGCTTCATGATTGGGGAGATATTCATTATTTTTTTAATTTTCAAAAAAAATTATATTTCTGATCATAAGGATTATTAAAATGGATGTTCACATATCAAACAATACAGAGAATTATAATGAAGAAAAGCAACAATAATTTTAAACCCCAACATCTAGAGACAATCCGTGATAACATTTTGCTGTCTATGCTACAGCCCTCTTTCTCCCTCTCTCTTTTATTTTGCATAAATGGAATTATATTAGAAATGTAAGCTAACAATCACAGGGTATATCTTCTCTGCCCATATAATCCATATCATCATTTTCATGACTATGCAGCATTGTGTTGCATTTGTATGCCAGATTTATTTATCCAATCTTCTGCTGATGATCACTCAGTTATTTCCAAATTGTCCCTATTAGCAGTACCACTGCAGTGGATGACCTTAAACACTTTTGTGTACCTATCAGCTTATTTCTTTAGGATACATTTCTAAAAGTAGAATTGCTAGGCACATCACAAATCTTTGATACTCAAATGTATCACTGATTCTCAAACAATATCACAATTTACTTATTGGCTAATGATACCTGAAAGTAAGCCAGAAAGTCTTTTAAAAGAAATCCATTGGGCTGGGCACGGTGGGTGGCTCACGCCTATAATCCCAGCACTTTGGGAGGCCAAGGCTGGCAGATCACCTGAGGTCAGGAGCTCGAGACCAGCCTGATCAATATGGTGAAACCCTGTCTCTACTAAAAATACAGAAAGATTAGCTGGGTGTCATGGCGTGTGCCTGTAGTCCCAGCTACTCGGGAGGCTGAGACAGGAGAATTGTTTGAACCCGGGAGGCTGAGGTCGCACACCACTGCATTCCAGCCTGGACAACAAAGCAAGACTCAATCATAAAACGAAGAAACAAAAAAGAAATCCATTGAGGGGATGGGCTTAAAAACAAGGTCTTAAAAACAAGCAAACTAGTATGGGCTACTGGCACCCTATTCCAAAAATCAACCTTAAAGAAGCTATAGAATTGAGAATCCAGGGTGCTAGGAATGAACACAAGAAGCCCTTGAAGGCTATTTTGGATGGTGAATGTTGAAGGTGAGTGGCTGTGGCTAGAGGAAATCTTTAGGGACATTTAGCTCTTGCCTCTTTCTCCCGCTGCCTTAGGACAATCAGTGCCTAATTGTTCTAGTGCTAGGCTACTGGTGTTAGTGACCACCTTGCTGAGGTTGATGGCAAGAGGTATGGACTGACTATTCCTAGGCATTCACTCCTGCACTTCTCCTAGATCCACGGACTAGTATATTGCAAACTAGGGATATGCCTCCTCCCCACACTGCTTCTTCCTAAAGAAGGGTTTAAAAGTGAAAGCCTGGCAAGAGGAGTTGCCTGGGTAGGTGTTGCCAAAAAGGAGTGATGGCTCTGTGGATGTCAAGATTCTCTGTCCTGGGACTCACTCTTGTCTCTCCTTATTCTTTATGCTATGGACAAAGATAGGGCCTGATCTTTGAACCTTTTTCAGTACAATGGCAAGACAAGCGGGTTGAACTCCTAGGGGAAGCTGAGCTGATAAGCTGAAAATAACCAGACACTAGAGAAGTACAATTTCCTCAAAAGAGAGATGATACAAAACTGGTTAACATTTCCCATCTGGAGCAAAAGGGTTAGAACAGATGAAAAGATAATTTAACATAAACATGATAGATATACTTAAGAAAATAAGGGAAGATATTAGCAATCAGAAAACAGAACAAAGTAAAAATATTAGATTTAAAAAGTAGTTAAAAAAGGGAAAATGCCACTTCCTTTTATAGCAGAACATGGATATAAATCTATTCTGAAGATTTTAAGGAGTAGGAAGGGGATGAACCCCAGGGAAGAAAATCCAAGGACCACAGAACCACTTCCTTTTACTGGCTCCTTGCCAGACAATTTATACACCATTCCCCATTAGAAGTATTTTTAAGTGAGTCAAATTTTCACTAACTCTTAAATATATCTTTGACTAAATTTGGAGACAAGTTGGTTTGTCTTATTCTCTCCCCTCTGCTGAATTTATTATTAATACTGTATAATTTCACCTTGATTAGTGAAATGGTTTGGCTGTGTCCCCACCCAAATCTCATCTTGAATTCCCACCTGTTGTGGGAGGGAGCCAGTGGGAGGTAATTAAATCATAGGGGCAGGTCTTTCCCATGCTGTTCTTGTGATAATGAATACGTCTCATGAGATCTGATAGTTTTATAAAGGGGAGTTTCCTTGCAGAAGTTCTCTTCTCTTGTCTGCTGCCACATGAGACATGCCTTTCACCTTCTGCCATGACTGTGAGGCCTCCCTAGCTACATGCAACTGTAAGTCCACTAAACCTCTTTCTTTTGTAAATTGCCCAGTCTCAGGTATATCTTTATCAGCCATGTGAAAACAGACTATTCAGATATACTTTACACCTTGTAATTGTTTTATATATGTTTTATCTTAGTTAACTTATTGCATTGGTAAACAAGATAATGTCTATCTTATCTATTACAGGTGCTGTTATTTATTCCATCCAGCCACACAACATCTATTTGGTGAGTGCCTGTTACAGAAGGAACTGGTAAAGATGAAAAAGAAATAAAACATGTCTTCTGCCCTTAGGGAATTATAATCTAGTGAAGGAGTTAGACACACAGTGAATATGTCATGGTGATGTGGCAGTCAAGGTCACACTGTTGGCTATTGGCAAAGTTGACTTGTAAAAAAAAAGTAATTCAAAAGCTGTTGGAACTTTAAGTTACTTTGAGCCTTAAAGGAATGTGATTATGGGACCTGAGTCACATGACAGGCACCTGTAACCTAGGCAGCTGTTATCTTTGTTCTCTGATTACAGATTAGGCTTTTTTTTTTTTAACCTACATTGTTTTGTAAAATGTAAAAGACTAAAGGGCACAAGGGAAGACCTAGACCCATTCTCTTTTCACTGTTGATATTCATTATAGATTAACTTTCCTCTTAATTCTCCTACACAAAGACCTCATGACTATCACATTGTCTGGGATAAACGTTGAATATAGTTTCTTTAATTGGAAAATGAAAAGGAAACAAGCTGTACCTAATCTAATTGCTGTAACTCATAAACCAGCCTTCTATGGAAAATGTTGTAATCCTGTTACATTTGTTTTTTGCCTGTATAAGCAAGACCTTAACTTTTCAGCATTGGAGCACTGATCCAATTCCTTTGGAATCTGTATTACCTGGATGGCTATTCTCAGCTTTGCAGTTGAACGAACTCTTTTAAGCTGGATTCTGATGTTTTTGATTTCAGGTTGACAGACTCAAATATGGGATATTTTGACCATTAAATTTTGTTTTTTTCCCGGGTGTACAGTGCGTCATATGTGTGTTTCATGAAAGATATATATATTTATGTATTTTCCATAATGTGTAACTCAAGAGCAAAAGCTTAAATATGTTTATTGCTTATCTAACCAACTGTAGCCTCCATAAAAGCTCTTCAAGTCTTATGTTAGCAGTCTTTCAAAGTTCTGTGCACATGCAGAGGGTTATTCTGCTGCAGGAGTTTCAAAACCAATGGAGTGATCTTCAAATTCCTTGAACAGATTCAGTGCTCTAAAATGTCCATGTATAGTAACAATATATTGAGTTCAAGATCATATGCAATTTAGCTGCAAAATCATAATAAAGTCTTAATATATTCATAGGGTATGTGTGGTAGCTGAATTTCTGCAGATTGACAGTTGCTACTCTTTGAAACCTGGGAGTTGGAGGGGGATTACCTCCGGTTGAGAAAGATACTTTCCTACTTTGAGATTTGGGGAAAATTAGGGATTATTCGTCTCTGCTGTTTTCTTGTTGGTTCATCTTTATTTGAATTCCCCAAAGTAATTAGCTTTATAGGATATTGCTAGGCCCTTCTTCCACATTTTCCCAGCATATCCATGAATATCTGAAACAAAAGACAGTCTTATCTTGTTGCCATATTAAGTTCAATTATTATATGGCACTATGTAATACATATATTTTGTAACATGTCAGATTATATCTTTTTGCAAACCTTTCACACATACTGTGGTTGGAGTTGTCTTTTTCCCATTTATTTCATGTCCAGCTCATCATCCCATCCTTCAGATATCAGTTTAGATGCTACCTCACACCTCAACATTGTTCTCAATCTTGATGCTTATTCATTCATCCTTTTAAAAAATACATGTGTGGATACCTCAACTGCTACATATCAGGTACAGTTAACTGCTAAGTGGTAGGATACAGTGAAAGGAAAAAGCAGAAGAGATTCTTGCCCTCTTGGAGCTTGCAGTGAGGAGAGGGAGGAAGACCTTAAGCAAGTGATCACACAAAGTAATGTAAATTGCCATTGTGACAATTGCAACTGTGCAAAAGGAGGAGGTGTCCCGTATTATGATAACTTATTAGTCTAACTTCATCAGATTGAATAGGTACGACTTCCCTGAAAAGATGGGGCCAGCATCCTGTTTTTTAACTTCATGGCTGTTAGAGGTTGAATTGTTCCCTCCCACCTCGAATTCATATGCTGAAGTTCTAACGTGCAGTACCTTAGTTGTATTTGGAGATAGGGCCTTTAAAGAGGTAATTACGGTAAAATAAGGTCATATGGGTGGACCCTAATCCAGTGTGACTGCTGCCCTTATCAGAAGAGAAGATCAGGAAACAGAAAACACATAGATAAAGGGAGAGCCATGTGAGGACGCAGTGAGAAGGTGGCATCTGCAAACCAAGGAGAGAGGTCTCAGGAAATACCAAATCTGCTGACACTTTGATCTTGGACTTCTGGTCTGCAGAATTGTGAGAAAATAAATTGTTGTTTAAGCCACCCAGTCTGTGACATTTTATTATGGCAGCCCTGGAAAACCAATACAGTGGCACTCAGACCTTTTAAATTATTTTATTTTTTTTGTTGTTTGACTTGTTTGTCTGTTTCCTCTATAGCTTAGAGAACTGAATCTGTTTTCTTTGTTGTATTTCATCATGTAGCACAGTGCCAAACATAATATTTGCTCAATAAATATTCGTTGGATGTTGACAAAAAGCACTCAGTATGTCCATCTCATATATCATTGGGAATTCCTGGTTGAATTCAAAATCGGGTTTTGAATGCCCACTTCCTTCCACAAGCCACATGGAAACTGTGTTCTGCTTGTGAAATCTTGGGGTATGTGCTTCTCTTGGTTATGTTGCCTGAATTTCCTCAAACTCAAATGAAAATACTCACCTCACACTTTTTCTTGGAGAGGAAACATCTGAATGAATCTCCCTCAGGGTGGGTTATTTATTCCTTCTCCGGTTTTTGCACACAGCACATTCTGCATTTTTTGATTCAACATATTTTTGGATCCATCTACCTTTCTGATAGATCCCAGTAGAGCTGCTGTTTCTTCACTTCTGCCAGCTCCATTCCCCTATCAGTGCTGTGGTCTGCTCTACTTGCTTCCCTCCCCAGGAGTCCACAGGCCACACGCAGTGCCTCCAGTTGTCACATCTGCTTTCCCCTTGGGGTTCTTTATCTGAGGGCTGCTAGCAGTTTTCACATAGAAAAAGGAAACATTTCCTTTCTCAGTAGGATGCCATTTCTCCCCCTTTCTCCTTCTGAGTATCTTGGACTGGTTAAAAATGAGAGTCTTGAAATCTGCTACTTATTAGGATCGTGAATTTGGGAAATTTCTGTAATCTCTTTAATCTTAAGTTTGCTTCTCTTCATAAGGAAGTGATAATTTTATGAATTAAAAGAGATGGAAAATGCCCAGTAAATTTAACAAATGATGATGGTAATTATATCTTGTTCTTTTAAAATATTTTTTATCATGGAAAATTTCCAACATCTCTAGTCTATATAAAGAAGTAATATAATGAAGCCCCATGTAACTCTCAGTCATATGGCTAGTCTTGCTTTGCATATACCCTCAGATGATGACATACTTAACTATCAATAGAAAATTGTTTTCAGCCTCCTTTGAAAGCCCTCTTTTCCTCCAATTAATCTGCCAAAGCCTTTTTCTATGGCTCTCTGAAACATTTGGATTTGAGATTTTTGACTTACTTACTTTAACCTTGCACTTGAAATGTAAACACAATAAAACTTGACTCATTGGGATTAATTGGAAGAAAGAGGTTGGAATGTAATTTAGTAAAATCATGTCAGTGTGAGTTCTCTGAGTCCAAGCCTGCAGGTATACATCTGGATGGCCTGAGGCAACTGAAGAACCACAAAAGAAGTGAAAATGGCCAGTTCCTGCCTTAACTGATGACATTACCTTGTGAAATTCCTTCTCCCAGTCAATGAGTCTCAGAAGCTCCCCCACCAAGCACCTTGTGACCCCTGCCCTTGTCCGCCAGAGAACAACCCCCTTTGACTGTAATTTTCCACTACCTATCCAAATACTATAAAACTGCCTCACCCATGTCTTCCTTTGCTGACTCCTTTTTTGGACTCAGTCTGCCTGCACTCAGGTGATTAAATAGCTTTATTGCTCACATAAAGCCTGTTTGGTGGTCTTTTCACACGGACTTGTGTGACAGTCAGCCATTTAAAGGAATTGTACTTTTATTATTTTTAAAGTCTTATAGTAATTCAAATTAAACCAACTATTGGGAAGCTGAGATCTTTTGGGATCCATTTTGATGACTATAAGGATATTTACATAAATACCTTAATTGTTTATAAACATATATGTGTGAAAAGCTTGTTTTTCTTAAATGAGGTGTTTAAATATTTTGCTTGAAATTTATGTTGTAAACAAATGTTCCCATCTTAAATTTTCAGAAATATAGAACCAATGGGGTGAATCAAGATAAAATTGCAATTCATTCACTTAACAGTTATAAAAAGTCATGATAATTTCTACCATTTAATTAGCATCAGCATGTTTTAGAACTTAACATAATCTTATTTCATTAAAATATTCACAATCATTGTTGCCATTATCTTGATTTTACAAATGAGGTAGAGGTTAAGTAATTTGCCCATGTTTATACAACTAATAAGAGGAAGAACTGAAATTTGAACTAGTTCTCCTTAACTTCAAAGTCCACATCCTTTCTCTGTGCTTTGCTTCAACCTTATAGTAAAGACAAACTCACAGGTGGCTATTATCAAACATAGTGAGAGCTCTGGGAGAGATAAGTACAAAGCTTTATGGTATCATATAGGAAGGCAGAGCAGGGTACCACTAACTGAGCACAAGGATGCGGGTGAAGGCTTCACAGAGAGAAGCAAATGGGCCTTGAAGGATGCTTAGAAAAAAATTAAAACAGTCTGTTCAGTGAAAAGTAAGCAAGTGTTTTTGTGGGGTCAGAGATGTTCTTCAAAAAAGTACGTAGGGTAGAGTCGATAGAAGCCTGGACCCTGGGTTAAAAACCCAGCTCTGTCACACACAAGCTTGTGAAGTCCTTTAACTTCTATCAACTTAAGTTTTTTCATGTGTAAGATGAAAATATCTCATAGGCATTACAAGGATTAAGTTAAGGGAGATGATGTATTTAAAGCATTTAGCACACTGCCTGGCACATTTTGCTTATTATTTCTCACTATGGAAAAAAAATTACAGCACTTTTTCATCAATGATCGGATAAAAGATTTTCTTAAGAATTGGTTGTGTTCCTTTGGGTATATATCCAGTAATGGGATTGCTGGGTCAAATGGTATTTCTGGTTCTAGGTTTTTGAGGAATCACCACACTCTCTTCCACAATGGTTGAACTAATTTACATTCCCATCAACAGTGTAAAAGCATTCCTATTTCCCTGTAGCCTCACCAGCATCTGTTGTTTCTTGACTTTGTAATAATTGCCATTCTGACTGGTGTAGGATGGTATCTCATTGTGGTTTTGATTTGCATTTCTCTAATGATCAGTGATGTTGAGCTTTTTTTCATATGTTTGTTGGCTGCATAAATGTCTTCTTTTGAGAAGTGTCTGTTCATGTCCTTTGCCCACTTTTTAATGGGCTTGTTTTTTTTTCTTGTAAAATTGTTTAAGTTCCTTGTAGACTCTGGATATTAAGATCTTAATGCCAGATCTTTTGCCAGTAAACAGGTTGCCTGTTTACTCTGAAGATAGTTTCTTTTGCTGTGCAGAAGCTCTTTAGTTTAATTAGATACGATTTGTCAATTTTGGTATTGCTTTTGATGTTTTTGTTTTGAAATCTTTGCCTGTGCTTGTATCCTGAATAGGCATGCCTATGGTATTGTGTAGATTTTCTTCTAGGGTTTTTGTAGTTTTGGGCTTTACATTTACGTCTTTAAATCCATCTTGAGTTAATACGTATATAAGGTATAAGGAAAGGGCCCAGTTTCAATTTTCTGCACATGGTTAGCCAGTTCTCCTAGCACCATTTATTAAATAGGAAGTAATTTCCCCATTGCTTGTTTTTGTCAGGTTTATTGAAGATCAGATGGCGGTAGATGTGCAGTTTTATTTCTGAGTTCTCTATTCTGTTCCATTGGTCTGTGTGTCTGTTTTTGTACTAGTATCATGCTGCTTTGGTTACTGTAGCCTTGTAGTATAGTTTGAAGTTGGGTAGCATGATGCCTCCAGCTTTGTTCTTTTTGCTTAGGATTGCCTTGGCTATTCAAGCTGCCTTTTGGTTCTATATGAATTTTAAAATAGTTTGTTTTCTAATTCTGTGAAGAATGTCAATGGTAGTTTAATAGGAATAGCACTGAATCTATAAATTACTTTGGGCAGTATGGCTATTTTCACGACATTGATTCTTCTTGTCCAAGAACATGGAATGCTTTTCCATTTGCCTATGTCTTGTCTGATTGATTTCCTTGAGCAGTGGTTTGTAGTTCTCCTTCAAGAGCCCTTCACTTCCCTTGTTAGCTCTATTCCTAGGTATTTTATTCTCTTTGTAGCTATTGTAAATTGGAGTTCACTCATGATTTGGTTCTCCACTTGTCTGTTGTTGATGTATAGAAATGCTTGTGATTTTTGTAATTGATTTTGTATCCTGAGACTCTGATGAAGTTGCTTGTCAGCTTAAGAAGCTTTTGGGCTGAGATGATAGGGTTTTCTAGAATAGGATCATGTCATCTGCAAATAGAGACAATTTGACAGCCTCTCTTCCTATTTGAATACCCTTTACTTCTTTCTCTTGCCTGATTGCCCTGGCCAGAACTTCCAATACTATGTTGAATAGAAGTGGTGAGATAGGGCATCCTTGTCTTGTGCTGGTTTTCAAGGGGAATGCTTCCAGGTTTTGCCCATTCAGTATGATATTGGCTGGGTTTGTCATAAATGACTCTTATTATAAAATACTCTACTCAACATGCATTATACAATATACCTTTGTAGCAAATCTGAACATGTACCCTCTGATTTTAAAATAAAAGTTTAAAAAGTAAAATGAAAGTTAAAAGTAAAATTAAAGTTAAAAACGATGTTAATATTTACCTATTGAATTTATTCTTTAGGTGTATCATACTCAAAACCCATTTTAAATGTAAGGTGGTAGTGGAGGTTCAAGGAACTTCCTTAAGTTCATGTGGAAGACTAAATTCTTCGGAATGGGCATGAAAATTTGAAAACGAAGATTGAGAGTACTCAAACCTCCTATAATTAATAAAGTACTGCAAAGTGACCAAAAAAAAAAAAAAGAAAAAGAATTGGTCATGATCTTAAAACACAACCTGTTTACTATACTTCTGTCTGTTTCATCCATCTTTAAAATGTTGTTGGTTTTCCCATCCAGACCTTTGTTGAGGGCAGAGTCCCAATGGACATGTGATATTTTCTTTTTTTTTTTTTTTCCTTTTAGAATTCCTCCAGACCACTGCCTTTTTGCTGTCTCAGAGAAGAAGCTTTTCATTCTTGACTTCCCTAGTCCCCTGGCCCTCCCACCCTAAGCTATTCTTGGTATGCTTCTGTGGTTCAAGCTTGGTCTCCCTCTGAGTTGATGTTTGGCATTTCCTCTCTGTGCCTGTGCACTAGACACCTGGCTGTGCATGCGTGCTTCCACCACAGCCACCCTATTAGGAGTAGGGATCAGACAACCTCAAAGCAATGCTGGGAGAGAATACTGGCCTTAGGTTTTCTCTGAGGACTTGTTCATTATATTCTCTTTTCTTGCCTATTTTTTTCAAACTTTCTCTCTACATCCTTCTCCACAGCCCAGAAACATAATCTAGTCAGGTTTTAAAAAATTGTCCATTGACCCTCCCTGCACACACGTCTAGGTACCTTTAATAAACTCTCTTTTCTTTCACATAAAACATCTACGAAGCCATGGTCTAGAATTGCTGGCCAACTTACCATTCACTTGTTAATCTTTGTAATGAATTTTATTCTTTACATCTGCTGGAATACTCCATCACCACCTCCTCCCTTCTTCACTCTCCTTGACACCTATGTATCATGTATTTAGCTTTCAAGATTCTATCAAGTACCATCCTCTTTATGAATTATTTCCTAAACTTACACAGATGGAATTGTGAAATATTCTTACCAGAACTTGGATCAACGATAGCACACAAATTTCAACTTGAATGCTACCTTTAATCAATTGTTTGTGGCTCAGTGTTTTAATGTGTTGAGAAGGATTCTGAGGTCACATCTGGGACCTCTTGGGAGGAATATTACGATTAATTAGTAAAATCTTTTCTGGAATAGGAGGTGGAAGGATAGTATGTGAGCCACATGCTAACCATTTCTGTTTTTCATAAAGAGGCCTCTGTCATAGCAACTATGTAACAGTTGTACTCATTTGTTATTTATTTATTTAACTGACAAATAATAATTATATGCATTTATTGTGTGCGATGTGGGGTTTTGATCATTGTAGAAAGATTACATGAAACTAGTTAACATATCCTTCACCTCACCAACCTATCATTTGCATGTTTATCTTATTATACAGATGTGAGTCCCAGAGTAGGCCTCTGGTTTTTCCACCTCAGCAACATGCATAACCTTTTAGCTTTTCATAACCCTTCAACTTTTGCTGAGTTAATGAATGTGTTCTTGCCTCTGATATTCTTGAGGTAAGTTACTCTTTCTCTGTCTTTAGTTTGCACAATCCCAAGTTTTGATGCCTCCTAGAGAAGTGGTTGTCAAACCATTTTTACTGCAGGAACCGTACCCAAATGAAATCTCATGCAGGTTTTTGTAAAACACAAAAAGAGTTCTTGTTTTGGCTGAAAGAGTTAAAAGATGGTCCTAAGTCTTGCTATCTTTGGGCTCCTCAAACCTGTGGCCCCCTGAACTGCCTGGCATCAGAGCAGTGGTTCTGAAAGAGTGGTCTGTGGACCCAGCAACATCAGCATCAGCATCACCTGATGCTGGTGAAACTTGCTGGAAATGCAGTCTCCTCTCTACCCTAGATGTACTAATTCAGAATTTCTGGGAGTTGGGACCAGGGACCTGTGTTTCAATAACCTTTCAGGTGATTCTCAGCCACTCTGAAGTTTGAGAACCACGGAAGGAAAGCTCCTGGGGGCTTCCTTCAGACATCAATGTGCAAAGGAAGGCCCTCTGGCTCCCTATGAAATGCTATTTTTCATTGGTCCATTGTGAAAATAGTCTCGAAACAGCAAGTGCCAACCAGTGCTATTAAACCATAGGTCTTGGATATGCCCAATGGCTATTCACCCCTGTTTAAGAATTGGCCAAGCAGAACTGCAAGGCGCAGACTCAGTGCTACAGTCAAGGTGAGTTGTGAGAGGAACCTCTGGAGCTGCAGCTGCGAAGCCGGAAGCGGAACTTCTGCCCCCCAGCGCCACTGCCATGGACCGTTGCCTGTCACCTCCTGATTTTCACTTCAGTGATTCTTACAGCAACAGAAGGTGGAGGCTGTGTTTATATTGGAGGGAGGAGGCTGTGTTTATATTGAAGGAAATGGAAGTTACCATCGCGGTTTCATTAAAACGGAATTGTTTTCCTTTTAGTCTTTCTGACTGGCTATGAACTCTTTTCCTACGTCCACTTAAAAGACCATGGGAGAGCTCTGACTGGCACATTATCAGAAGAGCAGAAAATGCAACAGATTGAAGCCCCCAAATCCTCCTGCTTCAAGGCTCCCCACAAAGCAGATGATTGCTTGAAAGATTTCCCTGAGATTTTAGCTTAGATACCTCGAGAGCATTTCTGCTTCCTGAAGTATGAGAGGTAGGATGTTAGCAAGAAGGAGGAGGAAAAATGGAGACAAAGTCACAAGGAAGATAATATTTTGAGAGAGGTCCTTAGCTGGTGGGAGCAGTAATTGAGGACTAGCAGAAGCCTCTCCAGAAAAGCAGAGGCCCCAGCAAGTTGGCATCAGTGGAAGCCAAAATGTAGAAAGAATAAGCTCCTCCAAATGAGTGCCAGAAACCTGTGATAAGTGCCTTCCATTGCGTGGAAAGTGTAGGATAATTGTCTGTGTGGCCTTGGATGGACCCAGTTCTCCTGCCTTTTTTTGCTTGTAGTGTTTGAAAGTAACTCTAGAAGCCTGAGATAGGGAGGAACTGCCCAAAAAACCCTAGGCCTTGTTCCTGTCCCTCCTAGGGAATGTATCATCTTGAGTTAGGGAGAAACTGCCCAGGTAAGCCCTAGCTTTGTTCTTCCTCCCCCTGGAAGCAGGATATCCTTTAGAGCTTTGCCCAGTGAGTCCTTTTGGCCGTGAGATATCTAACCAGGGTGGGCTGCTTTTCCAGGTGCCTTGGCTGTGTTGCAAGTGGGGCATGTGCAGTTGAGACTCCACCTGCCCTGAGCAGCTTTCTTGAGCCACAGGGACCTGCTTACATGGATTTTAAGTTTCTTTTGTTCCTTGCTGCTTATCTATAAGTAACAAATCTGCTTCATGTAACATGTTGCATGTAAGTATGTTCTGTCTCCCAGGACTCACACAAATTGGCAGCCAATGCATAGTGACAACTGCTCCAAAGAAATGATACAGGAAGCTTGCTTGAGGCCACAATAAGCTCAAGCCAGTAGGATATAGGAAGTTTACTTGGGGTTATCATGAGTCCAAACCAGTATCCAAATCATTCAATGAGGTGTATGGTCTTGGCCTAACTTGATTGATTCCCTGGACACCAGGTAGATTATGGGTCTACAAAAAAATATGAAGGAGCCAAGTAATGGGTGTCAATTTAAAGTTTCAAAAAAATGTGGAGATAAATCTCTTTGCGATCACTCTCCATATATTGGATAGACTTCTTTCTGAGATAGCTTCTTTTTGGTAAAAGCTAAAGATAATGGAATTTGGCTAATGCCTGCATTCAGAACTTCCTCCAAGATTCCCTACTTGTAAACTTTGTCACAGGTGAGGTCTAATCAGATGTTGGTGTGGTGTCAGAAGTGACAACAACTCCATTGGAGTTGAGTTCAGAGAACCTTCTTGTCTCACTGGAGATAAATTTCAAAAGGCAGTGATGGAAGTGATAATGCATGTACATTTGTACATTTTCTGCCTGGGAAGAATGATAGGCTAGTGCCCAATTCATTTGTACTACCAGTGGCTTCTTTACTCCTGTCAATGTCTTCATTCTTGGAGCCAGAACTGATAGTTACTATGAGTATCTGCGAAAGCAGTAGATCCAAGTAAGAAGAAAAAATTTCAGTTGTTAGAAGACTATGTTGAAATCACAGAAGGAATACAAAACCACTTGCTTCAGCAGTCTGAGCCCAACAAATTGACTTTCATGGGGGAAGCTGTCAATGGCAAATTTGGAACCAAGGTAGATTGCTTAGTGTGTTTTTTGCCTGAGACTCTGGCTTGGGTGTTCCCTATGGATGGCCCAATGACCATGTGGAATTAAAGCTTTTAGGAAGATGTGTTACCAGTGGTATTATTACTTTAAGACTGGACTGAGCCTAAAAGTTTTATTTCAATGTTAACTCCAAAGATAGCCATAGGGATGTAGGAGTCTGGCTTGAAGACAGTCTCAGTCTGCTATGCCCAGAAACAATGGAATGCCTGTTATATCTGTACCAGTTCAACTGGGACAGAAATTGCCGAGATAGGGGATAGGAGATCCTGCAGTGCTTCAACAAGTATACCTCCATCCGTTCAGATGACTGCCCTTCCATTGATAATCTTCATAATCCAAATCAAGAGACCAGATGGAAAATTTCTTTGGGGGAGAAACTCTGAAGTATGTTTATCTTCTCTTTTCTAATGACATGGATCTCTTTAACCTTGAAAAATATGTGTATTTAATAAAGATCATCATTCATGCCCATCTGGACTTTAACTTAAAAAGATTGGAAAAAGAATGTAAATAGCACTGTGACGATTCCCAATCATTCAGCTTTCCTAGATCGGACTTTGTATATAATAGACTTTTTATTTTCTGAAGGTCATAGATTGGCAAGCCAACTGATTATGGATACAATTAGTCTTCCTTTGACTTTTGGCTATTGTTAGCCGAGAAGTTCCAAGTCTGGACCACAAATGGCAAGTCCAGTGGGACAGGTGGGGTCCAGGACACCTTGGAAGGCCAGGTGCCTACAGCTTTTTCAGGGCAGGTGCTGGTTGGCTTTGAATCCATCCTCATACATGTTTAAGGTGGTAATTCAGGCTGGCTTTGGGACTTGTTTCTGTGTCTATGCTTTCTAAATTAGGACCACTGTGAGGAAGAAGAGGGAATAAAGTCAGCAAATTTTTGATTCATGGGGAAAAAAACAAATTAAAAAAATCTACCAACAGCACAGAATCCTGCCAAAGAGCCTGATTTGTGTTTTCAATTAGCTCCTTTGGGAAGTGGCTGCATTGCTGTTGGAAGAAGAGAGAGGCTTATAGCTGGTGACAGAGTTGTGGGACTCTGGCAATGGAAACTAATGGAGAAGACAGGGATAGACTAAATATGCCCTGTAGAGGGACATGGCTCCTGATGAGCTTGGTCAGCTTGTGATTTAAAAAGATTTTAAGGAAAAAATAATAGGTTGCAATTCTGGTGACACTTGCTAGTGTCATTCTCACTATTAATTGAGTTACCATACTGTGCCCAATAAAATTTTAACAGAGCGAAGCATGGCAGATTTGTAGACCCAGCAGGTTGCTTATCAGGGCTGCAAAGCCTGGCTTTTGAGATGAGCATGGAATGATGGGCTATCAACTTTATGTTTACCCTCCAGCTGGGCTCTTTCAGCTGTTTGGAAGAGCTAAGCCAGGTACCTATAGACAATAAGTAAAAGGAACAACCTTCAATCCTATGCAGATTAATAGTGAAAAAGAGGTTTAATAATGATTTTTTTTGGAGTAGAGAGGTACTCTCTTAGAACAGTAGAGAAGCCTTGTGAGACAATAAATAAGAGCTCAGATTCTGCAGTTGGTGAGACAAGGTGTGACAATTTAAATTATTGTTCCACAAATATTTTTCTCTCATTCCACTTTATGGTAGTATACTTCCTTTCCACACTGATATTGGGCTTTACCATGTGACCTACTTCGGGATGTTAGCTGAAGTAATGGGAGCAGCAGCTTGAAATATGCTTGGGTAGTTGGGCCTGTTCCTGTGTGCATTGATTATGTTCCACAGGAAGGCCATGCCCTGGGTAACTTGAGATTTAGAGTAATACGTGTGAGGCAGATCTGCAATCTGCAACCTGAAACAAAGCCACCCAGCCTAGAATAGCCTAGATCAGATAAATCACAATTGGCCTGCAGATGCCTGAGCATGCCACTAAATGCTGTTGTAATTCACTGAGTATGGGGTGGTTTGTTACGTAGCTAGCATACATAGTTCTATACAAATGATTCCTTGGTTGCTGTGATGGTTAATATTGAGTGTCAACTTGAATGGATTGAAGGATGCAATGTATTGCTATTGGGTGTGTCTGTGAGGGTGTTGCCAAAGGAGATTAATATTTGAGTCAGTGGACTAGGAAAGGCAGACTCAACCTCAATCTGGGTGGGCACCATCTAATCAGCTGCCAGTGCAGCCAGAATAAAAGCAGGCAGAAGAGCATGGAAAGACTAGACTGGCTTAGTCTGGCCTCCATCTTTCTCCCATGCTGAACGCTTCCTGCCATCAAACATCAGACTCCAAGTTCTTCAGCTTTGGGACTTGGACTGGCTTCTTTGCTCCTCAGCTTGCAGATGGCCTATTGTGGGACCTCATCTTGTGATCATGTGAGTCAATACTCCTTAATAAACTCCCCTTTATTTATACATCTGTCCTTCTAGTTCTGTCCCTCTAGGGAATCCTGACTAATACAGTTGCCTTCTAGTTGTATAATTCTGGCAACATACCACTGTATTTAGGACTTAACTGCCTTATCTAAAAATGGGCATTATAATAACTGTGACACAGATAAATATTAAATGAACTAATACATATAAGTGTGTTTCCTTATACCTTGTACTCAATAAGCATTAATTATAGTTTAAAGCTTGCTACGGTTTCAATATTTTTGTCCCTCCAAAACTCATGTTGAAACTTAATCACCAATATTGATAGTATCAAGAGGTGGGGCCTTTAGGAGGTGATTGAATCATGAAGGCAGACCCCTCATGAATGGAATTAATGGCCTTATAAAACAGGAGTGAGGGAGCTGTTTGTCCTTTTTGCCCCTTCCACCATGTGAGGATGCAGCAAGAAGGCATCAACCCTCACTAGATGTGGAATCTGCTGGTCCTTTGATCTTGGACTGCTCAGCCTCCAGAACTGTGATAAATAAATTTCTATTATTTATAAGTTACCCAGTCTAAGGTATTGTTTTCATTGCAGTAGAAATGGACTAAAGGCTACAAATATGGCAATGAGAGCTACGATTTATTGAGAACTTACTACTCTGTGCCTAAGGCTAATACAGATATTTTGCTTATGTTATCTTGATTGATATCACAACTCCAATAAGTTGTTATTAATATAATATTATACAGAATATTATATGTTCATACATATTTCACAAATGAATATGCTTTACAAATGAATGCTCAGAGAGGATAAGTAACATGCACAGAGTTGCACAGATAGTAAGTGGAAGAGCTGGAGTATTTTTCTAGTCTGTTTTATCCTCTGGTTTATGTTCTTTCCAGTATGCTAGACTGTTTCACCAACCTTTATGACTGCAACTAATGTTAGTATAGTGTGCTGAGGTTAGTTAAATACTTGCACATTATCATATTTGATCCTTTCAGTAACAAAGATGGACATGCAGTAGTGTGCTCCACTAGAGATTTTGTTTTTTTTTCTTTTCTCTGGATTCCAAGAAAATCATCTTGGAATCACAGAAAGAAAATTCCCCTTCATTCAGAAGGATAGATGTGGTCACCTTAAAATCACCTGAAATATTAGCTTCAGTGGCCCTAGACACATTTAACCTCCTAAGGGATATTCTTAAGGGAACATCCCTTAGAAGGTTAAATGTGTCTAGGGCCACTGAAGCTAGCTTTTCTTAGAATGGTGGGATTTGTCCTTCTCAAGTCCTTGTGTGGCTACTCCTAGAAGAGTAGAAAACTCCCCCTACCCACCATATTCTGCAGGAAGAGGCAGTAATCAGACTTTTTTTTTCCATCAGTGGAAATGTGGCCCAGTTACCTAGTCTGGAAAGAAAGTGGTGGATGATTCTGGGTGTAAGAGGAGGAGGACAAAAAACCAAGAGTGATCATGTTCCTGGAAAGTGGCTGTCATAGAGAACTGCAAGTGTAGGTCACTAGATCTATAACTGGTAGAAGTCCAACTTTGGGGCATTGTTGGCTGTGCCTGGCTCTAAAGGACTGGGACTCACCTCTCTCAAATAATCACTGCAGCTGTTCTGGGATCTGGAGCAGTGAAATATCACAGAAGCAGATCCACAGCAACTTTGGTAAAGAACCAGATCCAACAGAGAAATGAGAGCGGACCCACTGGCAGCTCAGACACCATTTTTCCTACTCCACGGTAAGAAAGGCCCTTTTTATGGGTCTCAAATTCCCTTGAGTTTCTTGGATAATTTATGGGAATAAGAATACTCAAGAGCTTGGATAATTTTTACTACTAATAAAGCTACTAAAAGTGATATGACTGTATTTGTATCTCCAATATGTGTAGCTATATGTACCTGTTATTTACAGCTGCAGAATGCAAAGCTTGGAGACATGCCATGGATTTATATTTAGAAGTGATGGCTCCAGAACTGAGAATCTAGTGTTTGATTGTGCTTCTCACAGCAACTGCCTGGTTCCCTTAATCTACTCAATGGAGTAGTTCAGTAGATGGAGTTGTCAACCTGAGTACGAGAGGAACGCTGGTAAAAGCAGCAGCTCAGGAGTCATTGGTAGCATCTAGATTCTCTGGACTACCTTTTAGCTCTTAGCTAGGGTCTGCCATCATGTTGACTGGGAGTAGATAGGCTACAGGGCAATAGGAAGAAGAGAGCAGCTGTGAGATATGCCAGAAAATTATGCCTCCTTGAGACATACGGGGAGGATTCTGGATGGATTTCACTTTTGTCTCATCTAAGTAACAGGAGAACTGAATCCTTGAACAATTGTCATGCTATTAATCTGCACCTATAATGATATTAAGGAAGACAACAGATGAGAGCACTGCCTCTCCTGGGGATATTTATAATTCAATATAAATATAGCATGTTAAGCTAAAGAGAGTAGTGAAAGTAAAATTTTAGGCCATTGGGAGTGTTTACTTCATCTATACTGAAGAAGACTGTATTTATCAATACCCTAACTAACGGGCACATGCTTTAAATCTGGGAATTAATTTAATTGAAGCATCTTAAAAAGACGTAAGCTTCAATTATATGTAGTTATACATTTAATGAATGGCCTTTACTTAAAAGAATACATTACACAGAATCAGCAGCGTTCCAAAAATCTTGGCTACATGGTTTCCTGCTGTTTTTTTACAGTTTACTTATATATATCTTTTCTCATATATTCTATATACTAATGCTAAATGCTGAATGTGTTCTGGCTGAGAACATTCAAAACCATTCATTAACTCAACACATATTTATTGTATACCCACTGTGCTCCAGGCACAATTCAATGTGCTGGGAATTCAGTGATGAAATATTTGGCTTGAGCCAGGCAATTATCATTAAGACACTGAGATGGACACTGTTAGTTACTTAGCCAGCTCAATTTTCTCTATATCCATTCTATCCTAATGGAAACTATCCTTTCCCCATAGAGCCATATGCCTCATAGCTGACACTACCCTCAAGGATGGGCCTAACTATCTAAGGATAATATCCTTTCTTTTGCCAGTGATTGGTTCAAAACGGTCATGTGTCTAATTCTATCCAATGGGATAGAGGTGGCCCTTGGGTAGGTGTGGCTGGGTGCTAATCCCAGAGAAACAACCAGAATTTCATCTTCTCCCAGGTTGGCTGTTGGTAGAGGAGCACCTCCAGCTGCACTGCTGGGGGCAATGGGGCTTTTTGCCAATGGCTCGTGCTTCAGCCCTGGAGGCAGCAGCCAGCCACAGGTATGGCTGGGAGGGGAATGGGTCTGCAGAGATGTGGAGATACAGGGGCTGTTGAGCTCCTGGGCAGGTTGCAGGCTTGTGGGGGCTCAGCTGTCAATATGCTGCCTTGTTGCAGCTGCTTAGGACCTGGGGGAGGTGTGAGACCCAGCTGAGCTCACTCTCTAGAGCAATGCCTTCGTGCAGTCTCCAGGAAGCTTCCTCTCTATGTTAGTCTGGTGTCTACAATGCTCTAGGGACTTTCCTTTGGCTAGGCTGTAAGATTCTGTAGTGAGAATGTGGACCACTTGGGGTCAGCCACTTACCCTTACCCTATATTGGGCAGCCTCTCCAGGTTCCCAGTCTATCCTAGCTGAGCAGACCTCCTTGATTCCCTCTTTTTCCTTGTTTTAGAGGGCTGTATGTGAAGGGGTATATGTTTGCATGGGCATATCTGGTTCTGAATTTCTGCTGTTTTAGCTTATGGATTATTTTGTACCCTTCATGTTGTCTCTCTTTTGCCCTGTATTGACCCAGAAAGGTCTGTTAGTTTTTTTATATTCTACATAATACTCCTTACATCAAGCAATGTATATGTTTAACAGACTTATACATTGAGGAAGCATGGGAGATTTAACAAAACAACTTCAAGAAGAATTGGGTACTCTGTTTATAATACATTTGATTTTTCTCTTCATAGGGTTTTTTTTTTCCTCCCTCACTGGCCACTGTACTTCACTTGGTCTTCAAGTTCACATGATTTCACTAGCTCCCCTCTACCTTATCCATCCCTTCTTTTACCTCTTAATTCTCTCAAGAACAAAAGACAAATGCCTCTTATTACCTTATGGTTTTCTCTTTGTTCCCTTAGCTCTTGCTCACACCCACAATCCCAAGACTTTACCTTCAATCCTAAAGATTTTGCAAGGTATTTTTTCTGACAAGGTCAGTTCTTTTCCTAAGAGAAATTCTGCTATCAGATTTTAAGTCAATTCATCCATACATAAATGGTACATGCATTTTCCTTATTGAGAAGTGACTGTGTGCCAGAGACTGTTCTAGGTGCCGGGTACATACCAATGAATGAAATGAAGTTTATATTTTTATGGAGAAAAATAAACAAAAGGATCTTTTTATATAAGATGGTGAAATTATCACAAAGGAAAAAATAAAACATGGTAAGAGAACAAGGAGTCTTAAGTGGGAGTAGTTGCTTCCTATAGAGGGTTATATATAAAATGACATGTCACAATGAAGTGCAAAGACCCTGAGATCAAAGCCGTTAGCTGTTTCAAGGAGGAGCAGAGTACAATATGGCTGTAGCAAAGTGAATCGGTAGGGGTGGAATTGGGGGTGGAATGGAGGGTGACTGGCTGTAGTTCATATCGTGGAGTGCCTTATGGGTCTTCAGGGTCAAGGAATTTTAGTCTTATTCTGAGTGAAATAGGAAGCCACTGGATGGTTTGCAACAGAGCAGTGAGCTCATCTGAGTCACGTTTCTAAAGGATGTCTCTGATTACTGTCTGAAGAATAGATGCTAAAGGTTCAAGGGCAGAACCAGGAAGATAAATTGGGAGGCAGTTACAGTAATCCAGGTGAGAGTTGAAGGTGACTTGGCCTAGGGATGTTTTGATGGTGATAATGGTAAGAGGTGGTTGGATTCTATATACACAGTATTTTAAAGGTAAAACTGGCAGAATTTGCTGACTGGTTACTTGAGGTTACCTAAGAGAGAAACAGTAAAGATGATTCAAACTTTTGGGATTAGTGCCTTGAAGGATGGAGTTGCTGTTAGTTAAATGAGAAGGGCTATGGAAGGAACATGCTTGGATGAAGATAAGAAGCTTAGGTTTAAGCATATTTAGCTGATAGATATTGATATGTTGGTGTCAGTCAGGGACTGGAATATTCTAGGTTCAAGTTTAGCAAGGAGGTCTTTGCTAGAGATGTAAATGTGGGAGCTGTCTGAAACTGATGCCTTCTAAGACCATGAGATTAAGTGACATCATCCAGGGAATAGCCATACTTAGAGAAGAGGTCTGAGACCTGCAGAACTATGATTTAGAAAGGTAGGAGAGATAAGGAGGAGCCAGCAAAGGAGTGGCTGCTTATGTCCATTACATATTTACTTTTGAAAAGTATTTATGCATATGCAATATGCATATATTATTCAATCTATAAATGATTCCTGGTATGTATATGAACATTTTACAATATTTTGCAATAACTACAGACACATACTGGCACTCAATAAATATTATTTGAATGAATGAGAAAATTAAAGAATGAACGATTCATTTCATCATCTTTCCCCACATTGTCTAAGGCCCACACTTGGTCTTTTTAGCATATGATTTTGAGGTGTTTATTGCCTCTTTGTCTGTGCACTAGAAGGTACTTCAGATTACTTGAGGATAAATCTGTTCCAGTAGTTGTGTGTGTCTTTATCTTGCTCTTCTATGGACGTGGGGTGATCTGTTCAGGCAGAACTCTGTGCGTCAAGAACATACTTAGAACAAATGATATTGCCACTGTGGGAAAATGTGGAAACAAATTATTCAAACCGTAAGTAGAGAAGGAATTTGTTTTTGGAGTGGGGAATAGATTGAGCTCTATTACTGAGCCCTGTAGCTGGCCCAAGACAGGACAAAGAGACAAAACATATTCTCTCCTCACCCTCTGAGAAATGGCTTTCATTCTGCCAGTCCAGCAGCAGAGGGAGAGATTCTGAACACCTCCCCAGGGGCTTTCCATTGGGAATGCACAATTGGCCATGCTGATTCCTTGTTTTTTTTTCTGAGTAATGTTCTCTTGATGTTGAAATTCATCTGTATTTCATCTGTGTCATCTTATGGATTTCAATTTAGAAGCAAATGGAAAATACAATAGGATTCTTATTATATAGTTTTAAATATCACTGAGCAACCTCCTACTCTCTGCCTGGCCCTACTCTGAGTCTCTTTGGAAGGCAAGATTTTATTTCTCTGTGGGTGTTGGAAACTCATGGGAACAAAAGCCAAGGAGCTCCCACCTGCAGTCCATGGTGAATCAGTAGAGGGGAGCCATTCTGTTTTCTTACCCCGTATTTGTAACTCTTCTCACAGAAGACAGAACATATGCCAGCATGTCCACTCTCTCTGAAGGACTGGAGAGGAATCTTGATTTCATTTTATTTACTTCTTTACTTGACTCTCTCATTGGGAAGGCAAATGGCAAATAAGATTGCTCCAAATTACCAGTGGGGCCTCCAAGAGTTTCCTAAACTAGACTTTGTCCTGTTGCTGTTTCTTGGGAACATTGCTCTTAAGGGGTTGAACTAGAAGTCTTCTCTTTGTGGTCTACATGTGGTAAGAGACTGCTTCTACTTAGGCCTTGATGTTCTATGTTTTAGGCTCTCTGTGTGTAATTGGGTGGATAAGTTCAGAGCAGAGCAGAGGTAGAAACGGGAATCCCTGCCTTGATTTCCAGTGTACGGGTACAAGTAATAAAGCAGACACTAATGTGATGCTGATTTTGTCCCTCGTGCTGGTCTCAGTTGGCTAGTACTTGGAGAGGTAGTGATTTGGTTCTTTGGGTCTCAAATACTGGGTAGTAAGCCACAGGGCCTCACCCCTTGGTTATAGTGGATTCAACAAGGAGTGGGAAAATCTTGGGTTGAGGGGATCTAGAGGATAGCCAATGATTTATGATATGCGTAGAATGACTTAAAAATGAAGGGACTCACTGGGGTTTCCTCTCTGAAAATTTGAAAGAGTACTGGGAGAGACTTACCAGTGGCATTTGTACTTAAACATCACATAATATTTGGGTTGGGATAGCCCCATGATGAAAGGAGCTTGAGCCCCTGAATGACCCGTTTCTCTACAGCTAAACCATATTAGACTATATGAGAAATTGCCTATTATCATGTTAAACCACTGACATTTTAGAGTTGTTTGTTATAGGATTTAATCTGCCCTGACTGATATTTAAGTGTTACAGAGGTGATTGTAATAAGTAAAGCATTTCCCTACTGACTGGCCTTCATAATAAACTCACATGGGAATGTCAGCAGGGTAAAATAGGTGCTGGCAGACAAGATTATAGTTAATGGGCCTTTTTATCTCCTACAACGAACACCTTACATCCCTTATGGGGAAGATTGCTGAAAGCAGTTTCTTGGACATAAGGGAATGCTTTAGAATTATAGCAAAGGGCTAATGAGTAACCGTGTATGTGTGTGTGTGTGTCTTTATTTGTGTGTCTGTGTGTGTCAAGCACTGAAACAAGCCTTTTCAACCATTATAATTCTTAAATTTACTCTCTTTCTCCTTCTCCCCTTCCCCTCTTCCCCCATTCCCTTATCCCTTCTTCTCCTTCTCTCCCCTCCCTCCTTCCCTCCCTCCCTCCCTCCCTCCCTTCCTTCCTTCCTTCCTTCCTTCCTTCCTTCCTTCCTTCCTTCCTTCCTTCCTTCCTATTTATTGGTGCTTAATCTGTGCTGTGCAGTAGAATCTACAGGCTTAGGAGCCTTTCTGGTTTTTACCAGTAATTAGAATCCACTGGAGTCATGGGATAAATAAGAGACTTTTGGCAGATAGATTGTTAGGAGATCTTATTGATACAATTTCCTAATTGAAGCTTGATTCAGAGAACAAGGCTTTCATGAGATTATATAAGCTTTAAAATTACAATAACTTCTCATTCTCCCATCACAACACCATACCCATCCATGTCCATATGTCAAGATGTGGGTGGAAGGAACATTATTTCTATCTTGTGAGAACATCTTCTCTGTTTGTGATATCCAAACAGGCTATGATCATGCTCCCACAGTTTTCTTTGCTCCCTCTAACTCGCTATGTCATAATGAGTCTTAATCATCTATATTTTATAGAGATAAGTTCATTTTTATAAGAGATACTGAGTACTGTATCTACATGTACTGTATAGATAGTTAAAAAATAAACATTTGGAGCAGGGTAGTAACATGGCATGATGCCTTCATTTTACAAATAAGGATGGGAGTCCTAGGTAAGATGGAGTGGTATACCAGGATATATAGTGAGCAAGTTGCTCTTCTGGGTCTAGAACTCTGATCTTTTGAACAAGGTAGCAGTGGACTTTCACTATCACATTCTTCATTTATAAAACAAAGATAGCAGATATTCATTTCTTTGTTCAAAAATATTTTACTTTTCCAATATGTCTAAAGTACATACACAGACCCTGAATGGTTACATGGAACAGAGTTCCCCTCTGCCAATTAGGACCATTAATTTTGAACTCATGCTTGATCAAGAAATAAACTTATTTTATGTGAAATCGCTTTGATTTCAGGGTTAGTATAATAAAGCAGCTGGTGTTACCTTTAATGAAAAAGGTAGACAGGCCGATCTCTTTCTGACTGCCCATAGTAATTTATCCAAGGGGTGGTCACATGTTTTAAGCATGATTAGTCAGAGCACTTCAATGAAACTGAGTATGTGACACTAACAGATACATGCTATTTTAATTTTGGGAGATTATAAGTTATAAAGGTCATACAAGCTGGAATTACTGTGGCCATTCTTATCTTCTTATGAAGAGGTTGTACCTGAGAATGGAGGAAAGCAGAGCTGAGTGATGGCAAAAGTGGGTCATAAGGACATTATTTGAATGCCTAGAATTGTCTATATCTGAATTCCTAGGAATTGCAGCTATGTGAGTCAATTTGTTTTGTTTAAGCTAGTTTGAGTTAAGTTTCTGTCACTTTCAGCTGAAAAAGCCCCGGTTAGTCTAACTAGAAGCTAAAGTGAGAGTCTAATATAACTGAAGTGCTTTATGAAGTCTAAGCGTTCTTTGATTTTTACCTTATGAGCATTTGTATTTAATTAGCTGCAATGTGAAAAGGTAGGCACCTGCTCATGAGAAACCTTGATTTGGTGACCTCTGGATTGATTTCATCAATCTCTTTCAATTTCTAAATCCTTGAAGGGCCTGCTTTAGGTAACTCAATATTGTGTCTTGATCATTCGAGGAGAACAAAACATTTCTATACTTCCTTAAAATGATCTGAGGCATATTACCACTTTGCCTTTCCTTTAAGCTTGCCTTCTCTCCTAGTCAAGCCCTTGAAGCGGCAATAATTTAAACTAAATGTCGATAAACACATTTTCCCTCAACTTATGTTTCTAGTTTCCAGAATCCACTTCTGTATGGTCTGTTGACAGGTAGCAGGCATGATTCCAGCATGGAATATATTGTAGTGTTATTGATTTTTCTGTAATAATAGTAATAGAAATTTATTAAACTATCACTCTATGGGACCTATGCTTTTCTTGCAAAGATTACTTTCCCTTAAGGGGTACTCCCAGGATTCTTGTGACTCTCTATGCTAATGAAAGTCTAACTTCCTTAGCTTGTTTGAAGTTTAAAATTTTCTACAATCTAACCTACATCTTTTATTCCAACTTTATTTCTGTCTCTTTTTGTCCTGTTGAATTGCTGGTGTTTCTGGAACATACATCTTGCTTTCCTATTTCTTTGCTTTTATTTGTGGTGTTTCTTTTGCCTACAATGCCCTTTCTCTGGTCTTTCTTTATATGTTCATAATTATGTGTCCTTTTAGGCCAAGTTGGAAGGCCACGTTCTCCACAAGGCCTTACTTGATAATCTTGATTGGAACGAATCCCTCCTTGATTGAAACTTGGCAGCACTTTTTATATGTTCCCTTTTTATAAACCACAACACTCACCACAACAATCACACAACTCTAACCTTCACAACCCCTTGTTCAACCATGTCAATCCATTATTTTCCAGTAATGACAATCGTTAACACCCTCCCCTCTCCCTGCTCAGTAACAAAGCTCTCAAGTGCCAGAGCCAGGATTCGACTTCAAGCTGACTCCAAAACTGGAAGTTTTAACCATTGTCCTTTACTGCTTTTTCCTGTGGCACATAATTTGTTATTGATGAATATGTTGTATTTTAAGATTGGATTATAAACTCCCAAAAGGCAGAATCTTCAGTCAATTCATCTGCATGGCCTTGTAAGTGCCCACATGGAGGGCTAGGCAAATGGTAGATGCTTAATAACTATTTGGGTGGATAAATGAATGAATGAATGGAGATGTATTTCAGCAATGATACTTTTTGTGGGAATTGAAAAATTATCTTTGTTTTCAGAATGCTAGAAGCAGGAGAAGAGTCTCTTTTCTAATTATATGTGATACGAATATAATAATTAAATGATCTTTAACTGGTGGTTGGAGAGGAACACTCAGAAGTATAATGGGTGTAAGAGGAAAGAAAGTGTGAGAATAATACTTGAAACAGAATGATAGCCTCAATATGTAGTTAGTTATTATGCGGTAATTTGAATTAATGTATTAGAAGAGCACATGGTGATACAATAGACTTCCCTGGACAAATATCTTGTTGTCCTGGCTCAGGATAAAATATTTTTCACTTTTTCCTCAATGTTCTGGACGCAGAACAGATCATTAATTCTCAACCTAATTTTCTGGCATTACAACAACATTGACTGATCTTCACGCAAACAATTTCCAATGGGAATATCAAAATTCTACCTTTCTCCTACTCAGCTAAATATGTCAGAAAGCTGGCAGTAAAACAGTGATAATATTCTAATTTTTATAATCATGTTCAAATTTACGAAAAAAAGCATTAGGAGATTTTAGCATTTCAACCATTATTGATAACAAATGGATTGTGACCCTCTGTTCACAATGAATGAGGGACACACTGCATTTCAAAACTTCTGCTTTAGCAGATGGTGACATCAAGTGTTTGTCAGTGACACCGGGAATCATGATAAGTAGCATCAAAGGGTTTGGAAAATTAGAGAGAAAAATCTTCATTTGAAAAAGAAAAGTTGTCCCCTTTGCATATTGTTTTAGAGTTTCTTTGGAACTGGGAAAGAACCCAGGAATCAGCTCACTCAACTGCCTCATTTTTTTAGGAAGCAAACCAAGGTAGATAAAAGTCACTTGTTTTCATTCTCCATGATCACATTATGAGTGGCTGATATGTTCCTCCCTTAGGAGATGAAGGTCTTTTCGGTGAGCTTCTGCCATAAGCATTTTAAAGCCCTACTAGGGTCTTCTTTGTTTCAGGAAGATGCTTGGCAGAGTTGGTGGTGCTGCCAGGAAGTAGGGTGCATTTCTGTTGGTTGAGACTAAACCTTAGGGTAAGATTTTGGAAGGTATTTTCCATCAGTGGTAAAATGCTGATCAAGGGAGAGCATTACCAAGCTAAAGACCTGAAGGCATTGGATCTAATCAGCATGTCATCTAGCCCAGAATTTTGCCCTAACGTAGATGTCACGGTTTGGCTAGTAAGGACTAAATACTAGTTTCCCATTAAGGATGACATGAAATAGAATGTAAACATTGTAAGGGCAAGGGATGGACTTTATAATTCTTGAGTTTCACATTACTAACTAGCACAGTTATATACAATGGAGCTAACATTTGTTAAAATTCCACCATAAGATAAGCCCTTTGTGGGTCATGATTTCATGTAATTATCTCAACAACCCAACGAAGCAAGTGCAACTTTTATCTGCATTTTGAAGATGAAGAAGTTGAGGCTCCATAGCAATTTCCCAAATTCCCACATCTAGTAAGGACATTGGATGAGAGTAAGGGGCTGTGGAGAAGAGAAAAAAGGGTAAAGAAGAAGGAACCCAGCATCTCTGGAAGTGCTGGGTGATCTCAGGCATCTGTAAGAAGGCATTGCTGCTAGATTTTAAAGTTAAATGGACCTAGGTTAGAATCACTCACTACCTGTGTGACCTTTCTGAGAACATATGTCAAATGCTTGTTACAGTGCTTGACACATGTTAAACAATTAATAAATGTTAGCGATAGTAATAATTGTAATTACTAAGTGGAAGAGCTACGATGTGATCTTGGGACTGTTGTTCTCCCTAATAACTTATCATGACCCTATTCTCTGTGATTGTATCTACAGCTGTAACTCTGGCAGTAGCAGAGCCTCTAGGGCTCAGAGTTTGATTTGCATCTCTGCAGACGGTATCTATTTAGTTTTGTGATAGGTGAATCTTAATGATTCCAGTAAATGCTATATTTTAGAAACTGGATCTTTGGCTAGCAGTCAGAAACTTGAAAGGGATCTTATTCACCTTTCTGCATCCATAATGGTAGAAACTTGCCAGTCACCATTAAGACATCTTAATGAGTGAGTTGGGAGGATCTCAACCCGATTCTCACTTGTCGGGTTGCTTTTTTTGTTCCCTGTCAAGAAGTTTGAAATTCCATGGTTATTTATCTGCGTGGGTAGTAAAACTTTGGTACTCTCCCATATAGTCTTTTGGGCTTTTAAGATGAACATCAATCAGATTTATAGGCCATAAAGACTCATGCGTTCATTCTTCCATAAGGCAAAGCTAAATTGATATTGGCTGTCTAGGCCTAGGTTTGGTAGCTTGGAGAATAATACTCTTCAGTTATATTCTGTGTTTGAGTCTATCTAAAACATTTCTTGAACTTGGAGAGGATGAAGGACTTTAAGATATTCAGTTTAATTCTGATTATTGATTATTGGAATATTTGGTGGAGAGAGTAAGCAAGAGAAAATATGGTGTAGTGACAGAGAGGAAAGCTTTTGGAGTCAGACAGACCTAGGTTCTAATGCAGGCTCTGCCACTTAGGAGCTGGGCCACTTTGGGAAAGTAAGATAACCCATGGGAACCTCAGTTTTCTCACCTGTAAATGGAAATAAAAATGGCACTTATATCCTATGATTAGCACGAGGATTCAATGAATAATTTCTTGTAAAGTGCTTATATGATGCCTGTCAGAAGATAGATTCTGTATAATTAGAAGCTATTGTTATTATTATGGATCGAAAGAGTTCACTATATACCAGTTAGAATTCAGTACCAGTAACTCCTTTAAAATGAACAAAGTAACATCTACAATGGTAGATACTGGGCTTTCAAGCAAGTGATAAGTTAGTTTTGTTATAATCTACCTTTTGCTCCTTGTGTGAGCTTTTGATCTTGTGTTTCCATAGGTAGTATGACCAACTGTCTTGGTTTGTCTGGGACTGAGGGTTTTCCTGGGATGTGGGACTTCAAATACTAAAACAGGTAAAGACCTGAGCTGATCACTGTATCATAGGTTCTGTTTATCAGCTTTGCTGGATTTTGGACTTGGTCATCTTGCTTTTTTTATACCTTGGTTCTATTCTCTAACTGCATAACTTCCTTAGACTTAAATAAGAAAGGCAGCACAACTGCTTGCTTCTTATTCTTTTTATTTACCAGTTTTTAAAAATAATGAATTGGAATTGGTTCTCTAACATTCTCCAAAGGTAACCCATGAAACTTTTGGTGTACAATTATGCTCTCATACATTTAAATGTATATCATGTATTTAAAATAATTAAAGTTATTATCTTTGTTGATACTCTATTGGTCTTATCTATAGCAGTGGAAGCTTATTCAATTTCATTCCTTTGTCTTTTAAAATCACTCTTTTATTTTAACAGTTTCCAATGACAAGATGGAAATTTTATGCCCCAGATCTGGATACAACCTTTTCTTCAAAGATTCCTTTCTTTTTGGGATCCCTAGTTTTCTGGAGATCACAGTGTGGACACTAGGAGTAATCATTACTACCAGTTGGATTATTGCTTCTAGGCCTTTACAGAGGCCTAGGGAATATATATTTTTAGTTTTTAGAGGAAAAAACATTTCATAGGCTTATACTGATTTTTTTCCATCCAAATTTAGGATTATAAGATTTTTACTTGATTTCATCAATCTTACATCTGTATACTTTCATCTATGATGAAAATCCTGGTGCTTAAAGACATCAATATGGTAACTAGCTTGCTTTATCCCACACTACACACAAAACAGTCTCAGAATAACAGTACCAACACTACCACTAATAATATGATAATGTACATGTTTTACATTATAAAATTTAAAATTTACAATGTAAATTCCACTAGGAATGCATAGACAACTTACTATGATTTAAAGTCACTTGAAATGATTCTTCTTTGGTGGTTATACTACTAACTGTATATACAGTTAGGTTCATTTATTTAATTTTTAGTTTTAGAAAATGCTTGTTTAATTTTTTAATAATTGTATAAAATTTTGACACTGTTACAGAGCCTCATATACAATACAAGGCATATTTCAAGAATTACAACTTCAAATTCTGTCTCTTCCAACCTATTACTTCTCTCCTCTATAAGTAATCTTTTAAAAAATGTGTTGCTTTTTTATTTTTAATACATATATATATATAAGCACACACACGTATTATATAAAGTGTTTCATTACATAATTTATTTCACTTACTCTCTTTTTTGTTATATTTTTCTTTATTTTGGGAGGTTTGCATTTTTGTTCTAATGGCAATTTCTATATTAATACTTTTCTAAAATACTCTTAGTCCCCTTTTTCTTGATCTATCTTTTATTGGTGGACAACTATGAGAGATATTAAAATTAGCTAAGTAAACTTTCCTTTCCACTCCCCCTTTATATCAAGCACTGATTTGAAGAAGTGTTCTACATTCCTGATTAATATCTATAAGACAATCAGTGAGCTTAATCTACTTTTTTTTTTTTTCGAGATGGAGTCTTGTTCTGTTGCCTAGGTTGGAGTGCAGTGGTGCGATCTTGGCTGCAAGCTCTGCCTCCCGGGTTCACACCATTTTCCTTCCTCAGCCTCCTGAGTAGCTGGTACTACAGGCACCCGCCACCACGCCCGGCTAATTTTTTGTATTTTTAGTAGAGATGGGATTTCACTGTGTTAGCCAGGATGGTCTCGATCTCCTGACCTGGTGATCTGCCTGCCTTGGCCTCCGAAAGTGCTGGGATTACAGGCATGAGCCACTGCTCCTGGCCTTAATCTATTTTTAAAATATTGTCTTCATTCTATGTCAGGTTTTGACTTTACCTACATTGTTAAGAGCATGCATTCGTTATACTGTCTCATCATTTAATCTTAGTTTTACATGTAAATATATACTTGTGCTTACCTTTAGGCCTTATGACCATTTCGTCCTAATCATTCAGATGCCCAAATCTTGGTTCATAAAAGATTCCTTAGGAAAGACTCATAGGAACAGTATTCCCTTAATTATTAAGTGTTCATATAATTCTTTCTGTACTTGTATGCTTAAATTGTTTTACTGCACATAAAATCAATTTTTGATCCAATATTTTACCTTGAGACTCTTCAGTATGTCTTGTAATCTAGTAGCATGTTATATTGGGAAATCTGATATTTTCCTGATTCTCACTCCTCTGGAGGTGACACATTTCTCTCTGGAGACTTGCAGGGTCATCTCTTCATACCTAAGATTCTGAAATTTCACACTAGTGGGCCATGATGGAAATGTTTTTTTATTTACTATGTTGGAAGTGTCCCCTTTCAATATGGAAACTCATCTTTGTAAGGATGCGTGTGTGTCTGTGTGTGTGTGTACATTGGGGGCACTGACTTTTCCAAATGCTGACATTTAGCAGGTCTTCCTGTTTTTAGACCTGTGACTCTCTGATAATATTAGTTGTATCTGGTTACTCTCAACCTTGAGCCTCTCTGGAGTTTAGTGAAAATTCAGCTCTTTTAACAACTACTTTTCCTTCTGCATACATGTAAGCTGTGATTTTGTCCTCTCTCTCTCTTCTGTCTCTTACTCTTTCTGCTTCCAGAAATTTATTGCAATATTATCTTCACTGCCATTACTTTCTTATTTTCTTTATCATTATGAGTTTATATTTTCTGATTCCTTTACTATCATTTTGAGAATCTTGAAAGAGACCAGAGGTAAAGGTATGTGGTTTACATGGTCAATCCTTCATCTTTAGTTGTAAACCCTAGGATTTTTTGGATTTATCTTGAAACCCTCAAGGAGGACAAATTCTTTGGTGATTGATGTTTACAGGTAAGAAAGCATTTGAACTGGTATTAGCTTTAACCTGGAAGAAAAAGAAACAGAATGCAACTTTTAATCAGTTGTTTAAAGAGAGAAAAAAAATGTACATGTGAGTTGGATTTTGGGAAGAGGGTTTTTAGACAGGTCTAAAAACAGGTCTAAAAATTATACTCATACTGCTGTTTGGTGACTGCCTCCCAGGTGACATTAACTCTCCACAGTACCATTAGCAGGAGTTTCAAGCCAGTGTCTGAAAACTGAGTATGTTTCTTAATTTGTACTTAGTGTATTTGTTGTTTATGTCAGACATATAGCAATTGATGGTTCCATTGTAGAATATTGATTGCATTTAATGAGTATGAATGAATAGGCTGTGGCTCTGTGGGACACTGAATGAAGTGTAATTTAGTTCAGTCTTGTTCTATTGTGTTCCTGCTAATTTTCCACTCTCACATCTTGCTATTTTGGGAAGTAGATTTCCTAAAATGCAGGATAACAGACTCTTCTTCCCCTAGGCTTTCTTTGCCTCCCACCCACCCCCCGCCAACCCGCACCCCAGAAAACCTGTGTGAAGGCTTGGGTTGGAGGAAGAGTAGGAAGAAGAGAAATGGAGTCATAACAGGAGCCTGTTTTCGTTGAATGAGAATTTTGATGTTTGGCCTTTTGTTAGCTCTTAGGAACTCCACATTGGAGAGCAGTGACTTTTCACTAAGTACAACTAGGAATTCTAACAGCATGAGAGTATGTTTATTTTGGATGTAGATGGTAGAGAATTGGGTGCATAGTCATAAGTAAGAGTGATTTAAGGTTGGTAAGACATCTAATAGGGTTTACTTTGTTCCCACATGACAATTAGAATCAGCCAGAGAGGTTTTGCTTATTGTTTTCAAATTGTTATTGGTCTAAGCAACGGTGGGATGTGCTTGGTAGAGAGAATCACGGCTTTTAATGAAGCTGATTCTTCAATGGGTTAGCTTCTGATGAAGATTTTAAAGATAAATTATAGTTTTAGGTCTTTGAGGAATCACCATACTGTCTTCCATAATGGCTAAACTAATTCATACTCCCACCAACAGTGTGTAAGTGCTCCTTTTTCTCCGCAACCTCACCACTGTCTGTTATTTTTTGACTGTTAATAATAGCCATTCTAGCTGGAGTTAGATGACAACTCATTGCGGTTTTTATTTGCGTTTCTCTAATGATTAGTGATGCAAATACCTAAAGACAGAAATACTGTTTGACCCAGCAATCCCATTACTGGGTATATATCCAAGGGAATATAAATTGTTCTGTTATAAAGACAAATGCATGCATATATTTATTGCAGCACTATTCACAATAGTAAAGACATGGAATCATCCTAAATGCCCATCAATGATAGACTGGATAAAGAAAATATGGTATATATACACCATGGAACATATGCAGCCATAAAAAAGAATGAGACCATGTCCTTTGCGAGGACATAGATGGAGCTGGAGGCCATTAACTTTAGCAAATGAACACAGGTACAGAAAACCAAATACTGCATGTTCTTATTTATAAGTGGGAGATCAATGATGAAAGCACATGAACATATACAGGGGAACAATGCACACTGGGGCCTTTTGGAGGGTGGAGGGTGGGAGGAGGGAGAGAATCAGAAAAAATAAGTAGTGCGTACTAAGCTCAATATCTGGGTGATGAAATAATCTGTATCACAAACCCCTATGACACAGATTTACCTATGTAACATACCTGCACATATATGCCTGAACTATAAATAAAAGTTAAAAAAGAAAACCCTGACAAATGTATAAACTCTTATAAATCGAAGTTTCAGAAAAAATAAAAAATAGTTTTAAAGGACTTATATGTATCAGGAAATGTCCTAAACTTAAATGCATTAACTAATTGAATCCCTATGAGGGAGTTACCATTATTATCAGTTCAATTGTACACAGGAGGAAACTGAGACACTGAAAGTTTAAGTAACTTGTCCAATATCTTATGAAGCTGGATTTAGAAACAAGGAGATCTGTCTCAGAGCCCATGCTCCTCAGCATCATGTTATATCACTGCTCTAGTATTTACACAGTAATTGCCTTAATAAAATGTTAGGTAAATATCCAGCAATTCCATCCTATGATGTCTTTATGTTGCTCCGGTGATGAGCAGAGAGTCTGGTTTGAAAAATTTCCCTTTCTTTGTTTTATAAGGGAGGAAGATAAAATGGCAGTGTGCCCATATGTATTTGAAAAGTTAAATATACACAGGTATTTATATGTGTGCAAGTATTACTAACTGGTTATTAGAAGTAACGGGTACTCAATGCATACTTTTAGGCGTTGAAACGACCACATGACACTGGAAATGAGCAGACTGTAGGAGAGAGCTGGAAATGGCGCTATGGGGAGACAATATGGTGCAGCAGAAGCTATACCCAAGGGGAGTTGACTAACTGTGTGCCTTTCAATAAATAACATCCTCCTTTCAGCCCTTGGTCTTCTCACTTATATAATGAGGGGATTGAATTTGATTATCTACAACAGTTGTCTTAACACTGTTCTGTGGATCTCTAGGGTTCTAGGATGTTTCTTAGTGGCCAGAACAGATGGCCATGAGGTTGAACAGAAAGAACTATTTTACCTTCCCCCGACTCAGGAATCACTCAGAACAGTTACACCTTTATTAAATTTACAAATTGAGATTATGTGCTGAATTCTCCAGGACAAAAGGGTTCTGTTGCTAAAAAGTTTAAAAACCACTAAATCATAATTATCATAATTTATACATTCATTTCTAGTTTTAAAATGGCATATAGATTCATGTTAATTACACTGTGGTTGACAAAACTCATGTGGGCCCCCGGTTGCCCTTTCTGCCACAAATACACTTGTAGTATGATTTTCCTTTGTCTGTTGGGCATGGTTGATTTTAACCATTGCTCAAAATGGTAAAGACATCATAATTACAAAGATAATTGTTATCCTTGTAAATCTATCAGGTTATTTAACATTTAAAACCTGACCAGATATTTCAGGATTATTCATCTCTCTTTTAGGATGAGGGAACTAAAAAATAGGGAAAACTACTTCCCACATTTATATTTCTAATGAATTGTGGAGCTTAAACATGAACAAAACCAGGATCCTGCATTTGTTTATATTGAGTCTTTGAAATTGCCATAGTTCATGCTCAACAAAATTTGTATTTCTATACTACTTCTGGTTTTGCTAAAATTCAAATGCCTGCCAATTAGTGATAAATGTGGCATTTTAACTTTACTTCTTAATATGTTCGTCCTTTCATTTCATCCACCTGAACCATAACACTACTTGGAGTTTTCTAAAACCCGCTGATATGGTTTGGCTATGTCCCCACCCAAATCTCGACTTGAATTGTATCTCTTGGAATTCGCACATGTTGTGGAAGGGACCTGGGGGAGGTGATCGAATCATGGGGGCCAGTCTTTCCTGTGCTATTCTCGTGACAGTGAATAAATCTCACGAGATCTGATGGTTTTATCAGGGGTTTCTGCTTTTGCTTCTTCCTCATTTTCTCTTGCTGCCACCATGTAAGAAGTGCCTTTCACCTCTGCCATGATTCTGAGGTCTCCACAGGCATGTGGAACTATAAGTCCAGTTAAGCCTCTTTTTCTTCCCAATCTCAGGTATGTCTTTATCAGCAGCAGGAAAATGGACTAATACAGTAAATTGGTACCAGTAGAGTAGGTGTTGCTGAAAGGATACCCGAAAATGTAGATGTGACTTTGGAACTGGGTAACAGGCAGAAGTTGGAACAGTTTGGAGGGCTCAGAAGACAGGAAAATGTGGGAAAGTTTGGAACTTCCTAGAGACTTGTTGAATGGCTTTTCCCAAAATACTGATAGCTCTAAGTACAATAAAATCCAGGCTAAGGTGATCTCAGGTGGAGATGAGGAACTTGTTGAGAACTGGAGCAAAAGTGACTCTTGCTATGTGTTAGCAAAGAGACTGGTGACATTTTGCCCCTGCCCTAGAGATTTGTGGAACTTTGAACTTGAGAGAGAGGGTTTAGAGTATCTTGCAGAAGAAATTTCTAAGCAGCAAAGCATTCAAGATGTGACTTGGGTGCTACTAAAGGCATTCAGTTTAATAAGGGACTCAGAGCATAAAAGTTTGGAAAACTTGCAGCCTGACTATGCAATAGAAAAAAAAAAACACTTTCTGAGGAGAAATTCAAGCCAGCTTCAGAAACTTGCATAAGTAGGAAGGAGCCTAATGTTAATCCCCAAGACCATGAGGAAGATGTCTCCAGGCCTTGTCAGAGACCTTCACGGCAACCCCTTCCATCCCAGGCTTGGAGGCTCAGGAGGAAAAAGTGTTTTTGTGGGCAGAGCCCAGGGTCCCTGTGCTGTTTCTAGCCTAGGTAGGGACTTAGTGCCCTGTGTCCCAGCCATTCCAGCAGTGGCTGAAAGGGGCCAACATACAGCTCAGGCTGTGGGTTCAGAGGTTGGAAGCCCCAAGCCTTAGGAGCTTCCATGTGGTGTTGAGCCTGTGGGAGCACAGAAGTCAAAAATTGAGGTTTGGGAACCTCCACCTAGATTTCAGAAGATGTATGGAGATGCCTGGATGCCCAAGCAAGTTTGCTGCAGGGGCAGGGCCCTCACGGAGAACCTCTGCTAGAGTGGTGCGGAAGGGAAATGTGGGGTCAGAGCCCCCACAAAGAGTCCCTACTGGGGCACTGCCTACTGGAGCTGTGAGAAGAGGGCCTCTGTCCTCCAGACTCCAGAATGGTAGATCCACCAACAGCTTGCACCGTGCGCCTGGAAAAGCCACAGACACTCAAAGCTAGCTCATGAAAGCAGCCAGAAGGGAGGCTGTACCCTGCAAAGCCACAGGGGCAGGGCTTTCCATGACCATGGGAACATACCTCTTGCATTGGTGTGATCTCGATGTGAGACCTGGAGTCAAAGGAGATCATTTTGGAGCTTTAAAATTTGACTGCCTCGCTGGATTTTGGTGTTATTCTCGTGATAGTAAATAAGTCTCAGGAGATCTGATGGGTTTGTCAGGGGTTTCAGCTTTTTCTTCTATCTCATTTTCTCTTGCTGCCACCATGTAAGAAGTGCCTTTTGCCTTCTGCCGTGATTCTGAGGTCTCCCCAGCCATGTGGAACTGTTAGTCCAATTAAACCTCTTTTCTTCCCAGTCCCAGGTATGCCTTTATCAGTAGCGTGAATATGGACTAATACACCTGCCATGCTGTTTCACTTTTCTGTATTATCATACATAATGTGCTTTTCTGAATACTCTCTCCCTTCCACCTCTTCTCTGAATACTCTTTCTACCACCTCATCTTCTTGGGAAACTCCTATTCATCCTTCAAAGACCTGTGATACCATCTTGTCCTCGAAGGGGTTATCACTGAACTTGTATACTTAAAAATCTTTGTAATTAATTGGCTGTCTGTCTTTGCCATGGTACTGTGGCTGCCTAAAGGGCTTGAGCTATAATCTATATTCTTAGGTTTTGGCATTCAGCATGTGATGAATGAAATTCTATTGCTGACTACTTTTTACTGACTATAAAATCCTGTTGTGATATCACATAATCTCATAGTTTTAAATACCATGTATATACTGGCAACATTCAAATTTATTTTTCATCACTTTTAAACTACAGATTCATATATTCATCTGTTTACTTCACATGTGTGCTTGAGATGCCAGGAAGACATTTTAAAGCTAATATGTCCCAAACTGAACATCGGATCCACTCTTTGCTAGAGTGATCAACTGTCCCAGTTTGCCTGGGGCTGGGGAGTTCTGAAGGCCATGGGACTTTCAGTGGTAAACCCAGGAAAGACTTGTGTAAAACTGGGTAGTTGGTCACCATAACACACACACACACACACACACACACACACACACACACACACACACACTCTTTCTTTCTCTCTGTCTCACCATACAAGTGGCACCACTTTCAGTCTTTCTTATCTTTATTCTAGTCAATCAACTCTATCCCTGCAGTTAATTGGGCCAAAACTTTGGAGTCAATCTTGACTCCTCTTTCTCTCACACTCCTCATCCAATCTTTCAGTAAATCTTTTTGGTTCTACCTGCAAAATCTAGAATCTAACCTGTTTACCTCATTTAAAATTTCAATTAGCAAACCATCTCCACCCACCCACCCCCAATCTCCCTTACTTGGCTCTTTTTTTGGTCCGTTTTGAGGTAATTACTACATGGTTTACCTGTTTATTATTGATAGTTTATCTCCTCAGGCAGTTTTTTGGGCCTGTTTTCTTCTCTGATATGTCTCATGTATCTAGAACATTGTCTAGTACATATTGGATGCCCAATGCATAATTTTTGAATGAATAGTTTACCCACAAGTTGTAAAGTCAGAATTGAGGTTAATTTTCTCCCTACTGTTAATTGAGCACTTATTTTCCAGCCATTTTTTTTAGATGCTTTATACACTGTATATCATTTAATCCTTGTGCTCAGAGGTTCATCTCACTTCACGGAGGCTAATTGACAGAGGTAGTGAGCAGTGAATCAGGCTTTGAACTTGTCTGTATGGCTTCAGAACATGAGTATTCAACCATGGTCATGTTGGCTAACACCTAATCCAGCTTACTCTGACTGGACAATTCAAATCATAGTGTCTTATGTTATTGCTCAAAGCAGCATGCTCTAATTAGAAAGGAGACGGTATCACTACAGGATCAGTTTTTGTGTGGAAGCATGTTGGATGGGAACCAATTAAAATGCCATAGAGCAAATGGAATGTTTATTTGGAGTAAGTTTCCAACTTACTAAGTAGCCCTACTAATGAAAAAAATTACACTGAACAATTTTCACAATAGTTTAAAACCCATTGAGCACAACAAGACAAGCATTTAGCTGTCTAGGGGGATAGCTTGAGCAGCGTGGTGGAAAGGGAAACTACTTACAAATATGACCATTTAAAATTTTTAGCTTGTCTCGCCTTCTCTTTTCCTATCGAGTAATTAAAGTTCTTGACTTGTTTGAAAATGGCTCAGATTTAATTTCATTTTGTTAAGCACCTCAATTTTTCAGCTCAGGAAAAAAAAGGCTATTAGCAATTTGCATTATCCATTACAACCTCCTTTATAGTATGAAATTTATATGGGAAATGCTAATTGGACGTTCATCATCGTAAAGATAATGATTTCTGTGCTTTTGGTAGTGATAATTAAGATGAAAGATGAAAATGATATGGGGTGAAAGTCAGATTTTTTTTCATTTTCCACTGGATGGAGACTGGGGAAGGCATTCTGTTCTTGCCTTCAGACGAGTGACAGTGAAGGGCAGAATCAGGGGGTTGAAGTAGGGTATGTCGATTGGAAATACCTTGATGTTCTGGAACTCTTCATTTACCTAATCCTGGGTGATTAATCCAGTTTCAGATGAGGAAGTGGGAAAGGGTATGTCTCTCATAGACAGATGTATCTGAAAAGACCTTTCCATTCCAGTCTGTTGCTTTATGGATAAGATGTGCTTTCTCATCAATCCTTGTTCCTTCCTCTGTGATGAGAATAGATGGCTGAAATTGACTGAATTATTAAGAGTAATAGGCATGACTCCAGTAAGTTTTCCTACTGAGCATTGTTGCGTCTCTTAACTTGCTGATATAGTCAAGTTTAACTTTTTGGAATTTACTCCTGATGAACAAGGTGTAGCTAGGGTGAAAAAGGAACCTTTTTTTAATTTACCCATCACATTCCTAAAATGGTTTAAATTTAAGCAGAAGTCGCTGACTTTTCTACATGTAAAGAATAGAATGGAGTTTAATTTACTGGAACTTGAGGAAGATTACACAAGCATCTTTTAAAATAGTTTTATTCATATGTTTATCAACTAAATTGGCAAATATTTATTGACCATCTACTATAACCTAGACATTGATCTTTGATTCTGGATAATTCTCCCCACTCAAGAAGCTAAAATTGGTCAAAATTCATTTTAAAGATGTATAACTAGGTGTTGGTTTTATACCTACTGATATCACTTTGAACTGTATTTCGGGAAAAAAATGGAGAACAAACTTTGTATTTTTACTAATTGTAAGATAAACATTAATAACCTTGCTTTAGGCTTCCTGTCTCCACTGTACAGTTTGTTTTGGGATTATTTATATATTCATTCATTTATTTTTCTGCAGCTATGTGATTACCTGCTATGTATTCCAGGAATTGAGCTATGAAATTGATTTATGCTTAAAATTTAGTGAGAAACACAACTCTTTGAACTCCCAAATATTTTCTTGATCTACTAGAGTCATTTTAAGTTGATACCATTTTGATATATAGGATTTTTTTTTAAAAAAATGGCATAGGCTACTCGGGCATAAGCACCTTTGCCACAGGTTTAGAAAAGTCTTGCCTGAAAAAGGGAGTTTGGGAAGCTGGTAGTGGTTAGATTTTAGAACTTTTTTGCATTGGATAAGATGCTGCTTATGAGACACTGCATTCGGTGAGACCAGTGGTTTATTTGGCCTTGGATTTAGCTCTGATATGACAATCAAGAAATTAGAGTCACGGGAATTCTTGTCGTTTGCCTCCAAGCAGATTTCTAAAGGTCTTATTTATTGAAAGTATTTGTTGTTTCAGGCACAGTACTAAGTGCTTTATCTACATCAGTAGCCTCCTAACCACTCTCATTGCCTTCTTTCTTGCCCTTACATCCATTTTTCACACAGCAGCCAGAGAAATCCTCCTAAAACATTAATCAGATCGCACTCTTCCCCTCTTCCCAAGCCTTGTTGTACTTAAGATGAAAATCCAAGTACATCTTGGCCCGCTTTCTGGCTCCATCTCCCACCACGTTCCCCTTGTTTATGGTGCCCCAGCAACATCAGCCTCACACCGGCTGGGTATGTTCCTGTCTCAGGGTGTTTGCATTTAATGTTTTTTTTTGTTTGTTTGTTTTTCCTGAAGCAGTATTTCCCCAGATCTTTGCAAGGGTTATTTCTTCACTTCATTCATGTCTGTGCTTAAATGTCACTTTCTTAAAGAATCCTTCCTGGCAACTCTGTCTAATAGTACTCCCTGTCAGCTATTCTAAAACCAACTCTATGTATTGACATCAATCACTCTCTAACATTCTATGACACATTCATTAGTTTGTATATTTATTGTCCATCTCTACTAGAATGTAAGCTCCTAAAGGAACGAGACTTTTTTTTTTTTTTTTCCAGTGCTCTATTCCTAGCACCTCCTACCTGGCCCATAGTAGGCATTCAACAAATACTGTAGGTATTATTCCTGCCCACTGCATGAAAGGAGCACCCACGGCTCCTTTAAAATTATTTAACTGAAGTTAATTAATTTGTTGCCATGTGAAAAATCCTGAGTTCAAACTCCAGTCGGCTGCAAAGTTGAAACTCTTATTCTTTGTGCTGATCACTTCTTGTAATGCCTCTTAAGGGCCAGGGCTGGGTTTTATACTTTCTTATATTGGTAAGTGCAGGTTATTTGTTGAATGTATTGATAACAATGGCATACATTTATTGCGCATTTATTATTTGTCAGATAATCTAGGAACTTAATACGCATTATATCATTTAATTAATTAGAAGATGACACTATTGTTATCTCTAATTTGCAGATGATGAAACTGAGGCACAGAGAGGCCGAATAAGCTAAGAAAGTCTAAAGTTACAAATCTATAAGGGATGGGGCTAGAATTCAGTCTGACTTGAGGCTACATGCTCCTACACACTAAGTTCAGTGTTCCTTAACCTTTCTGTTATTATTACACTCTTAAAGAGCTTTAAAGATATTTTCTTTCTTAATTGTCTCCCTCTCCAGGAAATTTTAATGCCACAGATATATTATATGCCATATCTGTTTATGTACCTTATGTCTATCTGTGTTTTATATATTCAAAGAGTAAGATTTTTTTGCCTTTCCCCAAGAAAAATTGTAACGCATGGCATAGGCCGATTAGCTTCTTCCTGCCTTTCCTGATACCCCCAGCAGAGGCCTAGGCATGGAGTTCTGTGATTAATTTTAAGCATCACATGGTTATCGGTGCATTTGTGTTTCCTCTTAATATATTATGAATTCCTTGACGGACAGGAGCCATGTGTGGTTCAGGCTTACATTCACAGAGCTGAGCACAAAGTAGGCACTGTTAATGATTGTTGAATGGTGCCATTCACTCTGCCTTAGCAACATGCTATGGGTGTGTCCAGTAGGCATTTGTGTAAGCTACAGGAGCAGAGCTGGCCTCTCACAGCTCACATCCGTGCTGCTCACTCTATTCTGACCATGGGCATCAGCATCAGCCCCTTGTTTCCTCCTGGATCATCTGGGGACAGCAATGATGTCAGTGCTCAGATTCTAGAGTTTGTAGCAGGTTTCCTGGCAACAGAGGTGAGGTCAGCAGTTCTTGGAACACAATAGGCCTTTAAATATTCCGGAGCACCTGAAAGATGCATTCACAGAAGGTTCCTGTCATGAGGAAATGAATGAAATCCTACCTGCCTCTCCCCGTGGTGTCCAACATTTGTGCTAAGATGAAGGAAAAGGCAAAGAGTTGTTATGAGGAAATAAATTTCTCCTTTCATCTTTGCCTGCTCCACCTCTAGGCAACACTGAACCCAATATGTGTTTCTTTTAGCAGGCTATTTGCAGATTCTCCCTGAAGCAGAAGCAGCTCCAGCTTCTGGTGTTGTTCCAGCACTGACTTGGATGTCAGTTCTTCCTGTGTGTGCTGATGTCTTGTCTTTGCTGCTTCTGTTCCACTTCCCACTCTTCCATATCTTGCTCTCTGCCTGGGCAGGTGAACCTGCATGGACCACATCAATAGTCTCCCTTGCCCTCTGGCTTCTAGTTGGGTTCTGCCAATGAGGAGCCCTAGAAATATACTGGAGGGTGTTGGGGAGACAAATTGGGCATTTATTTCCGTTGCTCGCTCCCTCTGTGCCAGGTCACCATGGGCTGACCACATTTCTTGACTGGGTCACAGCTCTCCACGTGCTTCTCTGTTTTGGTGGCCCTTTCCATGTGCTTCTGTGTTTTGGAGTTATGGTAATGACTTCCTTCTTGTCTCTTAAGACCTCTGGGCATGTATTAATAATATTTTTTACTTACTTTGCTTTATGATGCTTTGACATCTTGGAGCCTTGTGGACCCAGGGAGGGGAAGGAACTGCCTCTCCCAAAGTTAGCTAATTCTTTGAGATAGTAAGGAACTTGCCTAGGCACATGTGTTAGTATGTAAAGAAGCCAATACAGAGTCTGTACCCCCACCAACCTGTTTTTATTGGGGTCTTGGAGTCAGGGACACAATCCCCCACCATAAGTGATCCCAGGGCAAAGGACCAGAAAATTAGGGACAATTTCTATAGCTTAGAGCCCACCAAAGTTATTCAAACCAGCTAACCCTAAACCTACTTAGCCTGCTTACTCTGCCCTGCCCATTCTTTCCTGAGGAAACCATAATAAAGGCTCTCGTCCATGTTTTTTTCCAACTCTCTGTGCCTCCTGATTGACCCTGATGCTTCCTCATGCAGCCCCCTGCCCTGTGGTGTGGTATGCCTGCTACTCTTGGGGACTGTGAGTAATAAACCATCTTTTCAATGGCAAATGCCTCTTTTTCTGTTGACCTCAACATACTTAATACAAACAAAATCCCAGGTACATTTTAAAACGGGGGCCTTTAAAATTTTCCTACACACTCCCCTCCCCTTTGTAAAAAATTCCTTTAGCAAATTCACCTTTAATTATCCTCATCTGATGTGCTGTTGTTTCCCTGTAGTGACCCTGATTGAGGTACTTTGCCTGTGTTCTGGACTCTGAGAATCAGTGAAAGGTGAATGGAAGGCCTGTGCCCAGTCTGCACAGCTGGGGGCTATGTCTTAATGTACTTGGACTCAACTTGCTGTCCTTCTTTTGCTGTTCTTGCTGTTACTTGGTGCCTAGAGCATGCCTATTACCTATTAGGTGCTCCATAAATATTTGGATTAGTGTCCTCTCCCTTGATCTGCTCTATGCCACATGGCGCTTGAATATACCACAGATACCAAGTACAACGCTAATGGTTTATAATATTTTAGTAGTTGAAGGAATTTTAGAGATAATTCAACCCTCGTAGTTTACAAATAAATAAGTTTAAAGATACAGAAGGAAAACAGCCTCAGATTAGAGGTAGAGCCAAGACTAAAACTCCAATCTCTTGTTCAGAATTTTTTACACTGTTCAATGATAGTAATAATTGTAACAATACTCCCCAAATTTAGCACAGATAGATTATGCTAGGCCCTGTGCTAAGCAATTCTTACATATCAGCTCATTTAATCTTCACCCAACTTTCTTAAATAACTACTAGTGTTAGCTTTGTCTTATAGATGAGGACCCCCAAGGCAGAGAGGTTAAGGAACTTGCTGTGTGTCATGTAGCTATGAAGTGGTAGCTCAGGGTTTCAGTTGGGCAATCTGGCCCCAGAGCCTGTGCTATTAATCTAATGGATATATAAATTCACATTAATTATCCCTTTCATTTGTTCTGTCTCTCTCAAGGAGGTGTATGCAAGGGCTGGACACCAGTGTCCTTTCTCCACGAACAGGGGACTTAACATTGCACATGGTAGACACCAGATGCTCAGTGATTACTAACCAGTTGCTTGCACAAAGTCTTTTGAGCTTCTCAGCTGAGCTCATGGATCCAGTTTGCAGTCAACCCTAATTGGGTGGTCCTTGTTTGTTTTTCTATTGTTAATCCACCAGCACCAAGTAACTTTAGCTAACTGAGTGGAAGAAACCTTTCTGGAGAAGAGGGCAATCCAGCCAGCTGATCTGAGCATACACTTTTCCCCTGGGCTGAGGTCTGCCTTGGAGTCAAATGTGATAATTTTTAGAAGGGGTTGTTTCCTTTTGCCAAGGAGGGAGACTGGCACTTTTACTTGCCTCGTATTACAAAATTTGTAGCAATAAGGCAATTTAATTAGCACAGCAGTTTAAAGTTTTAATAGTTACTGTATTTAAGCAATTTCCCTAGCACCCCTGCTGTTTTATGAGGCTATAATTTGGCTCCCAAATGGAGAAACAATAAGGCCAAATAAAGCAAAAAGATGACAGTGTTATTCTGGAGGTTAAACTCTTGTACAGCCCAGGGCAAGATACTAGTGAGGCAGAGGCTGGCTTCCTACAAGGACACTCTAATTGTTCACTATGTTTCATTGGGTCACTTTGCCAAGACTTACACTGCGTGGCTGTTGCATCCAAATTTCAGAGAGGGTAAGGGATTTTCTAGGACTTGAATTCAGATGGGGTTTTTAAATCAATTTAACCAAATAAAGAACTCATGTCAGCAATGATGCAAACATGGAAATCATATGGTATTTATTTAGGAAAACATGGTGCCCAGTTGTCCTAGAGCAGAGGATGTGGTTGCCAAATGATATCCCTTTAGGGAGGAAGAAAGACCAGTTTTCCTGTTGTAGAGGATGTGGGAACAATGTATTGTCTATGTAGGCAGAGATAGAGTCCAGTTTTTGTTGTGGAGGAGATGTGGAAACATAACATGTGTATATGGGAAGGGGTGGGGATAGTTTTCCTGGAAACGATATGCAGATCATGTGGCATCTATGCAGGAAGGGTGGGTACTAGTTTTCCTAGAGCAGACAATGTCTGTTTTAATAATCTAGCAATTAAGACTCAGCCTAAATCCCGGGAAACTGCTGATCATTTTTACTATCCCTATAGCTTCTACCTTCAGGGGAAGGGGGGAGGAATGCATAGGTGTAGCACAGATTTTTAGGCAGCGAAAATATTCTGAATAATACTCTAATGGTGGATGCATGGCATTACGCATTAGACAAAACTCATGGTATTATACAACACAAAGAGTAAACCCTGATGTAAACTGTGGACATTAGTTAATAATAATGTATCAGTTAAGCTCGGTTCATCAATGACAACAAATGTACTAAACCAATGCAAGATGTCAATAATAAGGGAAACTGTTAGTCTGGGGGTGCAGGGAGTATGTGAATCACTCTGTACTTTCTGTTCAATTTTTTCTGTAAGCCTAAACTACTCTAAGAAATAAAGTCTATTAATTAAAAGAAAAGACTTGGACTAAGGGTTTTACCAGCAGAGACTACATGATGTGAGCACCAGGAAGCTGGAGGTTTATGGTACCATATAGGCAACATTGTATTTAGACTGGATGCAGTGTTTGAGGTTTTAAGATTGGAATCAGGGCGAGCAGTATAATAATACTAATTATCATTTTTTGACCTCCTACCAGGAGCTAGGCATTGTGCTGAAGTGTTTAGATAATCTAATGTAATTCTCACAATAACTCTTGAAGTAGGTACCATTATGTATATGAATGACCCAGATTAATTAATTCACAGAAACATTTACCAAAGCACCTGCTAGACGCTTGGGATTCAGCACTGGACAATACAAACAAGTAACTTACGAAATATCACATGGCAAATAAGTGATGGGGTCTAGACTCTAGTTCATTTCTATCTAATGTCTATATTGTTAATCAAAACTATTATTTACTAGCCCTGCAATTTCAGAACAGAAACTTAACCTTATTGGTCTTCAATTTCCTTATCTGTAAACTAGGGATAATATTTAATAACATCCATCTTATAACAGTGAAGTGAGGATGAAATGAAGAGTTAAAATATGGGCCAACTAGCAGGTATTGAAGGAGTTCTGGTCCCTTTCTTCTCTGATGCTTTGAGGTTCTGAATGCCTTTGCTGTTCTGAATGCCTTTGCTCCAATATTCTAGATGCCATTGGATTTCCACATCCCTAGCACTTTTATGAGGTTCTTCCTTATTCTCACTTTCCAAGTAAGACACCCTATGTCCTTAAACTCCACTTTCTTGAATCTCTGGAAAGGGTCGTTTCTCTTTTGGTAATTTGTGTTCTGATAGGTAGACTTCTAAGATGGTCTTCTGGTACTCATTCCCTTGTATCATTTCCTCCTTTTGAGTGTGGTCTGGATATAGTGAATTGTTTTAAGTACAGACTATAGCAAAGGTGATGCCATATCATTTACATGATTAGGTTACAAAAGATTGTGAGTTTCATTTTACCAGCATACACTCTTTTTTTTTTTTTTTTTTTGAGGCAGAGTCTTGCTGTGTTGCCCAGGCTGGAGTGCAATGGCGCTATCTCGGCTCACTGCAAGCTCCTTCTCCCGGGTTCATGCCATTCTCCTGCCTCAGCCTCCCAAGTAGCTGGGACTACAGGTGCCCGCCACCACTCCTGGCTAATTTTTATATTTTTAGTAGAGACGAGATTTCACTGTGTTAGCCAGGATGGTCTCGATCTCCTGATCTTGTGATCTGCATGCTTTGACCTCCCAAAGTGCTGGAATTACAGGCATGAGCCACTGCGCCCAGCCTACCAGCATACGCTGTCTATTGCTTTCTTATCTTGCATGCTTTATGAAGCTAGCCGCCATGTTGGAGAAACCTGCATGGCAAGGAACTGAGGGTGGCTTTTGGCCAACCGCCCTTGAGTTACTGAATTCTGCTAACTGCCATGTGAATAATTTTGGAAGCTGATCTTTCCCCAGTTGAACCTTGAGATTACCACAACTTAGCTGGCACCTTGACTGCCGCCTATGAGAGATCCTGAAGTGGAGGATCAGCTATGCTGTATCCAGGTTCCCGATCCATGTAAACTGTGAAATAATAAATGTGTATTGTCTTAGCCACTAAGTTTTGGGGGTAATCTGTCATGTAGCAATAGATAACTAATGCATGTACTTTTATAATGGGGAACACAATCACGTGTTAATGGAATCAATTTCAAATTTTTTTTTCTAGCGTATGCTTTCAAAGAACCCATGCAACTTTACTCTGAACCTCAATTAAGTTTCTATATTCTAAAATTGGATTTGGGACCTATTCTGGTCTACTGACTATTCTTTGAGTCAGGAGTGGCCAGCCTTTTTGAGGATGGTTAATGTAACTCTAAGGCATACAAGTCAATTAAGTCCTAGAATTTCAATTTGCCAATACACATGAAAAAGTTATATTCTTGATGGCTTTGATGGTCATGAGACTACATCTTTCTTTCCCCTTGTAGCCAAGTCACTTGAAAGCCACATCATAATGAGATGGCCCATTCATTGATTCACTCACTTGACAAATATTCATTAGACACTGAATAAGGCAGTTGGGTATACAATGGTATACTGAACAGGTTGTAGCTCAGCTCTCATGGAGTTTATATTTTAGGTTTTTTAGATGAGTTTGAAATCCAAGTAAAAGGAATTGGCATAATTTTACTAATAGTCCCACAGGTAACCTGTGTTGAGGGACTGTCTTGCAATGGGAGGTGCCTTAACAGGGGGTCCAGAGAACTTTAAGCCATTGGCCAAGGCTTCAACTCGGCATTGTACTTACAGAATGTCTATATTGTTTAACTTTTTGTCTGTGCCTTCTTATTTTCTGTGGAAACTTTTCTATATCTTTACATATAAAATTATTTTTTATAATATAGCTTAAATTCATTTACTTAAGAAATATTCATTGAGCCTTTACTTGTGTCCAACACTTCTTGGTAGAGGGGATTTAGTGGTGAGACACACAATGTCCTTCTCTTATGGAATTTACATTACAGTGGATCAAGTAAGCTTTAATGTTGTAATTTTGCCCAATTTTGCCAACAGACTTCTTGTATCAGTCTTAGGTCTAGGTAGGAAAGAAATAGTATACTTATATTATTTAAGAAAATTTTAGTGAAGGGACTATTTATAGAAGTGTAGAAAGATTTAGATTCGTAGTTCTTAACTGGGGGTGATTTTGTCCTCCAGGGAACATTTGGAAATGTCTGGAGACATTTTTGGTTGCCACAACTATGGGGTAGGGTACTACTGGCATCTAGTGAGTAGAGGCCAAGGATGCTGCTAAACATTCTATAAGGCACAGGACAGCCTTCCACAACAAGTATCCTAAAATGTCAATAGTGATGAAATTGACTAACCTTGATTTAGAGAAATTGACAAATGATATTGCAGTTCACTGAAGGCTAGCAGCTGAGGGTCTGTAACTACTCTTAAGACTGAAGAAGCAAGTGGAAGGAGGGGTTATCGGAACCTGAAGAGGACTAGTTAGCAAGACCTGTGACCGTCAGTAAAAAGACAGCAAGTGTGGCAGAAAGAAAAGCCAGGGTAATAAATATCATGACCATAATCTCCTGCTGGCCTCTGATCTCCTGTCAGTTGATTCACCAAAAGTCAAGGGAGCTTGTTGTTACCTACAGTTCATTCAGGTTGACCTTTCATGGTATAGGGTAGAGTAGAGGAAGGTAGAGAGTAGATTCAGAGGCGCGTATGGGAAGAAATCTTGCAGAGAGCTCCATTTGTGTGCCTGAATTTAGAAAATCATTCAGCTACTTATTTACACATTTCTGTTTAGGAGGATGGTTTTAGGTTCTGATATGGTTTGGCTGTGTGTCCTCACCCAAATCTCATCTCAAACAGTAATCCCCACATGTTGAGGGAGGGACCTGGTGGGAGGTGATTGGATCATGGGGCAGTTCCCCCATGCGGTTCTCCTGATAATGAGGGAGTTTCCCCTGTGTTCTCTCTCTCTCCTCCTGCCTTGGAGGAAAATGCTTTGCTTCCCCTTCCCCTTCCACCATGATTGTAAGTTTCCTGAGGCTTCTCCAGCCCTATGAAACTGTGATTTAATTAAACCTCTTTTGTTTATAAATTACCCAGTCTCAGGTAGTATCTTTATAACAATGTGCAAACGAACTAATACAGGTTTAGAACTACTTCCTTGAAGGCTTGATTTTATAATATAAATCTCAGAGGCCAATTTTGTTTTCTTACTTTAAATACCAATGATGGACATTTGGACCATCTTGTGGTTGCAAGTACAGTGAAGGTTTGGGATTTTAAAGTATCTAGCAGAATAGTTGGAGTATGAGAGAATGCAACAAAGAAAAAGAAACAAAAAAGAGTAATAGATAGCTTTATTCAGAATTTATCTTAGGGCTGGACCTAGTTCCTCCCCTTAAAATAGAGGTGAAGCCAGCTAGTTTAACTCTTGTTGACCTGGAGTGGGGGTGGGTATCTATCTGGGGTTAAATTAGACCAGGATCAAAGGATAGACCTGATTCTATCTGTGTATAGGAGGTAAGAGGTGCACACAGAAGTATTGATGTTAAGCAGAAGGGTAGATTTATTATTATTATTTTTTACTTCACGTTTCAGCTTCAAGCTCATCTTGCCTATCTGTCTCTCTTCCAAGACTGGATTAGATGCTCCGACATGTGCTTATTTGCATTTAATACCTATGAAAAGTACCTGTTTTTATTTATCTCTTTGAGGGCAGAAATAATCCATAAACCTTTGACCATTGTATCTCAGTGAATGAAAATTATGGTCAATAAGTACTTGTCAAATGAATGGGTGGAGGTACATTGGAGCCTGTTTCAAAACTGGGGAGAACTATGCAGGCCATTCATCTTCCTTTCTTCTCATTATGTTTTGTATGTTTTTCACTTTTTGATTATCTATTATCATCTAGCCATACCTGCCTATTAGTACCTCCATATTCCTCTAGGAAATTGTCCATTGTATTGATAGGAAGGTTACTGCTGAGATTGCTTCTTACTGTCCTCTGTCTCTTTGGTAGCAAAGGAGACCAGATCCTTCTTCAAAGCGTGCCCTGGGACAGCCAGGTGCAGGCATGTGCTCCAAGTGCTGTTGATAGAGACAGGAGACAGCCAAGGGTCCCTGGCAAACCCCACCTTCAAGCCTAAAACAGCCTGAAGGCTGAAGAACTGGACTGCTGGTCCTAGATGATGCCTGCCCTTTCCCAACTGATTCTCTCTGAATAATGCCCATCTGCACACTGGGAGGACTGGGTGGAGCCTTGGGGAGTTCGTGATGTTTGCACAGGGGAAGAGTTTGGCTTCATCAGTTCCTGTATGGAAACCTGGGATTCAATCTGTGAGTGGATGGCCTGTTAGCAGGACTCCATCTCACTTTGCTGAGATTTTTCCTTTTTCCTTTTTGCCCAATAAATTCTGCTCCTCACCCTTCTATGTGTCCATGAGCCTAATCTTTCCTGGTCATGTGACAAGAATCCAATTTTAGCTGGACTGAAGAGAAAGTTCTGCAACACTGTTAAATCCTGTACTTCAAGCCCTGAATCAGGGGCCTACAGAGAAGGGAGATTTGGAGTTCAGATTCAGCTTGGTGGCAAATGTGTCCTGTGTACCAGCTTGTATCTGTTGTGTAACTCTTGCTGGGCAATCCTGCTCTTGAGCTCTGCAGCATTCCTAGATCCTGCCTGGTTTTTAGGCCTTGATCTTAGAGCCTTCCATAGATTCATCTTCTGAATTCCTGAAACTCTTCCGATAAATTCCCCAGTGCTTAAAAATCAGTTTCTGTCATTTGCCATAAGAACCTTTACTCGTATGTGTTGGGAAAAAGTTGAGGACGCATGCAGCATAGGAAAGACATTGAATATATGTAATTTCTATTTGATGATAACCACCACATAACTGATGTAATTTCCCTCCACAGATTTGGGAAATGATTTATTACTTATGTTGTATAGGAAGGGGGAGTAGAGAATTGGGTGTCTTCTGTGTTCCAGGCATCATGTAAAGGCCCTGCAGTCAAATGCCAACAAATCCAGCTCAGTAAGGCCTTATCTCCATTTTACTGTTGATAAAACTGAGACTCAGATAAAGCAAATATATTATCCAACTTCTCATAGACAATAGGTGTTAGATCAATGGGTTTCAAATGAGGAAGCCTGTGCATTCTCTTCCCCTGTATCATTCCAGGCAAGTGGTCAGTTTATCCTCCCTCTTATGTCCAGCAAGTCTTGGCCAGAACTAGAAGCCCTTTGCCTCTTGCATGTCTCAGTGTAAGTTTAGGAAGTAGCAGACTTTGTTAGCCTCCTTTCTTTTATTCTCATGGATAACTATTTTAAAATTCTCTATGATACAGTCTTGTGGTTTTTCTGTGTGGTTTTTTATTGTTGATAGTGGTTAGTGATTCCTTTATAAATAAGAGATCATTTATGATGAAAGAGGCATTTAAGCCCCAGTTATCAAAGGTGGTCCATGGTGATGCTAATGTTTCTTGGTTCAAACTTGCTCTCTGGGAAATGGTGTGTAACTGGATAAAGCAGGATATTTTGATGCCAGTGTTTTGACACTTTATAATTGTCAGCCTTTTTGCAATTTTTCTCCCTGAGAAAAATATTTCTGACCTTGTCAGTAATATTTGGCAAAGGTTAGTGGTACTTCTTTCCATTTCTGGTACAACGAAGAAATTGGAATAGTAGATGATACCTACTTTGTTACCCTAACAAATTAACCGCCAAAGTTTCAGATTTTGAGAGCTGTTGTGGGGCATTTTCTGCTATCAGCAATATAACCATACAATATTGTATTTATTTTATTTAACAAACATTTATTTAGTGTTTATATGTGGCAGTTCCTTTTCTGTGTATGTGTGTGCATTCATAAGTATTGACTCATCCTCTCAACAGCTTTATGAGTTAGGTATTATTATTACCTTCATTTTACAAAGGAGGAAACAGACACAAAGAAGTGAAAAAATGTGCCGCAGGTCACACATCTCATAAGTGGCAGAGCCACAACTCACACCCAGGCAGTTTGTCCCTTGAGCTCATGTTATTAATAGTGTCCTAGGTTGCCTCTCGATGTGCCAAGAAATGAATGCAACACATAGCCAGAGGAATCCCTCCTTATGATGGTGAAACCAACCAGTCGGATCATTCTTTTCGTCTTGATCAGGATTCTCAGTTCATGCTTAGCTTCTCTTGATTCTTACGCTGTTTTCAAAGTGAAGTGAAGTAGAAGGATGATTTGAATGAGGCATCTCAAACACTGCAGGCATTCTCAAATGCAGAACTTGCTGTCCTGGTAAAGTGGAATAGCAAGCCCCATTGATGTCAGAATTGATGGGAAATTGGTTATGACCTAAACCAGGGCATGGAAAAATTGATCACTAAAAAATCTTTTTCTGGTTTGGTTGTTGATTTGACATGGTTAGAAGATGAGGAAAAACTAGAATCATCTTGTGGAAAGTAAAGTGGGGACGGAAATGGGATACCAAAATCTGTCGAGATGTAGTCAAGATGGCTCACAGTAAAATAGTTGTTTCAAAAAAGTGATGTATAAAATGTCTTGAGTCCAAAAGGGATGTGATGGGTTGACAGTGAGATTTGGTGGGGCAGGAGTATAGGTGGGGATGTAGGGGGAGATTGGCAAGAGACGAGGATGCGGGCAGGTAAGTAAGGGCAGATTTTAGGTTATGGGAATTGGGGAGCTACCAATGTATCTTAAAAGAAAAGCGAAATAACTAAATATGGATTTTAAGGCAAGCTTTCAGAATTCGTGTCAGGAATCGATGACTAGAGACAGAAAATAAGTTGCTTCGTTCCACTGTGGTTTATTCTCTGACTGCAGATGGCTTGGTATGCACTCAAGGCCCTTCTGCATAAAGATGGTTGATCCTAATCAGCCCTGCCTTCTCTATTCCAAAATGCTCCAGAATGCTCCTCTTTGGAGGAATTCAGTATGTGAACAATGGTCAATTTTTATCAATATGATAATTTTCTGCCATTATGAAGCAATGTCTCTTGACCTTTGGGTCTCACAGATGTGGTAAGTCAAATTTGTTTGAAACCCCCGAAGTGCCAGGAGTATGCCAGGGAAATAATGAAGGGTCATTTATCCTGCTGAGAGTCTCCTTAAAGGGAATCAATAACTTCATTGGAAAGAAAAATTGCATCTTTTCTATGAGGCCCCTTTCTAGGTGAGTAATGCTGCTTGAGTGTTCAGCTGTCACTTAAAGAATGCATCCTTATGACAGGCCCTGGCAAGTGCTGATAGACAGGAGCTCATTTCATTTGAGATGGGTTTTAATGCTCCCATTTTTGGATGAGGATACTGAGGCTCTGTGAATTTATCAGATATTAAAGACACTATACACTGGTTGCGTGTGTGTATGTGCATGTGTGTGTAAGGCGTCTCTAAGGTGTAAGGTGAGTAAATTGTTTTAGTTACCTTTTCTTTTGTTTTTGAGAGCGCAGTCTCAGTCTGTCTTCCAGGCTGGAGTGCAGTGGTGCCATCTCGGCTCACTGCAACCTCTACCTCCCAGGCTCGAGTGATCCTCCCGAGTAGCTGGGATTACAGGCATGCGCCACCACCCCTGCTAATTTTTTGTAGTTTTGGTGGAGACTGGGTTTTGCCATATTGCCCAGGCTGGTGTCGAACTGCTGGGCTCAAGCGATCTGCCCACCTCAGCCTCCCAAAGTGCTGGGATTACAGGCAGGAGCCAACATGCCCTGCTTCATTCTCTTTGTCTTAGTATACATACCTGTAAATTGGGTATAAAGGTACTACCCATCTCTCATAGTTGTGAACATTTTAATAAAATACTGTATATAAAAAACATTTTATTAACTTTAGCACAATGTAAAAATGATAATAATCATAATTTTTGTCTATTAAATAGTGAATTTCCTAAGACATAGAAACTATTATTTTACATTTCTATATTCATATAGGTATCTTTGCCACGAGTAACTCTAAAGGACGCTTACAGTTGAATGTATAAGTAATTTTATTATTTTAGGGGAAATAATGGCACAAAGACTTTGTGGTTCTGGGGACATTTTAAATTATTTTTCAGTAATCTTTCCATCAGCAGAGAGTATGAGTAGCCTAAGAGGACTTTGAAAAGGCTAATCATAAAAGAAATCGCTTCTCTTCTCACATCGCTAAGTCAGATCAATATACACTTTCTCTTGGCTAATTCTGAGGGCTGGTTAATTTAGTGACACTAATGGTTTCTATGACTATCCTGAAGTTGAGGTTACCAGACCCCCTATTGAGGAAGGCAGAGACCTGGGAACTAATTTATCACTCCAGGCGAGACCTGTAAAATTCTTGGCCATATAATTAGGAAATTTGCATATTAATTCTCCAAGTGTGGGAGGATTATAGGCTGCAGAAATGATGTCCAACCTGGAGAAAGGGGCCAGAAGCAAGAAGAAGCTGTACGTCTGTTTCCTTTGTTGGTTGAATCTCTTAGAAATTGCCCTGAGGTCATTCTGAAAAGAGAAATGTAGTCTCATCCTTCATGCTTTGACCTCTTCACCTCACGTTTAAGCAAGACACATACACACCAGTTTGGTCGAATAGTATTTATTAATAATACTGACAATAGCTACCATTGTTTAGAACAACAACTGGGATCATTTAAAAAGGGCTGTGTTAACCCTTGGCCTTGCTCTCAGCATGGATGGCTAATGTTCGGAATTTTGGTCTGGCTCTTCCAGTCAGAGCAAATAGCAGGAGGAAGATTGAAGACAGGAAGTAGGTATTATGCTAGTTCTTACTGCACAAGCCACATATTGTTTCTGCAGACTTTCCACTTGGGAAAGTGTTGTGAGCAATTTTATTTGACAGTTTTTTGAGTAAATCAGCCCTGGTTTAGCAGGGATAAAGGGAGAAAATATTCTAATATTATTGAGTGCACCTTAGGTTGCAGACCTTTGAGGTTATCTATGCCAGAACCATTATAAGCAGGGAAGTAGCTATTAATTTTCATTTGCACAGATGTAGAAATGGGGACCCACCAAGGGAAAGTGACTTGCTCAAAGTCACAAGACTAGTAAATGAGGCTTGAAATACAGTTCCAGCTCTGGCCTTTTCCACTAGACTCTATTGGAAGTATCCTGGAATTTCTGGGAGCTAACTCTGCCATCCTGGGAACCTCTCTCAATACTTTTAATGGTGTATATGGAAAGATGAGAAGGGCTCAGAATAGAAAAACTGCAGAGCCCTCCTCCCTAGCCCCTAGTGCTTGTGACCAGCAGGGGGCTGTATCATCTGTAGGTAACTGTCCACTAGTGTCAATTCAGATGATGTTGAAAAAATACAGGAAGTGTCAGTATACTTAGGAGCCTTTGCTCCTGACCCTGTGCATTTCCAAGTGAAGATTCTGCCTCTGGGTTCATACTTGCCTTTCTTTCATCTCCAACAGTGGAGCTGGAGTGTGTAAACACTACAGACAGCTCTCCTTAGGCATTAGCTGTTTGTTTGGAGAATTAATTTATGTTCCCCTGAAGGAGTATTGATTTGAGTTAGGTGATTAAAGGCACTCGATAAAGAACCTGCTAAATCTATTCACCTGTGTTCCACTGATTATGGAAAGGAATATATCAATCTTTTCTCATCAAATGACTCTTCCTTTGCCTCAACCACTCTTCTGTTCTGCTGCCCTCTGGCTTTCAATTAGGCTAGGAGGCAGAATTCATTGTCTCTGGGGGAGATATGGAAAGGAGAAACTGTAGTGTAGAGTGGTCTGGAAAGCAAAAAGAGGAAATGGCTTAACCTTTTAAGTAGCTGCATAAGCTTGGAAAACAGAGGAATTCAAGACTCCTTCTTCTTCTCATCTTTTTTTTTTTTTTAATCAAATTGTTTTCTGATTGCACATCCAAAATGTTTCGCAAGTCAACTTTCTTTCCTTCCTTACTTCTGGTGCTGTCCTGGTTCAAGGCCTGATTGTATACCCAACTATTGCCATAACCCCTTACCTGCCTCTAGTACCTCTCCATCTCTCCAATCTCCTGTCCACTCTGCCACTGGATGTCTTTTCAAAGTCAAGTTCCGGTGATGTCTCTTGTTCCCCTATTTGGAACCTACCTCAATGCCATTCATAAATTCTGAACTTGTTAGTATAGCCTAGAAGGCTATACTTTTTATAGCCTGAACTTAGCTCATAGGACTAACGAAGTAGCCAGAACTCCCAGGATACTTCCAATAGAGCCTAGCGGAGAAGACCAGAGCTGGAACTGTATTTCAAGCCTCATTTACTAGTCATATGACCTTGGACAAGTCACTTCACCTTGGTGAGTCCTTATTTCTGCATCTCTGCGAATGCAAATTAATAGCAACTTCCTTGCTTATAATGGTTCTGGGATAAATAAACCCAAAGGTATGTAACCTTAGGTGCACTCAATAATATTAGAATATTTTCTCCATCATCCAAATATTACTCTTTTAAACCAGGGTTGACTTACTCAAAGAACTGTGGAGTAAAATGTGTTCTCAGCCATTGTCACATATACTAGGCTTTAGTCACACTGTATGCCCTGTCATTTATTGAAGAGACCATTTACTCCCATACTTCTGCATCTTTGCTTATATTTTTTCCCTGGAAACTCATATTTATCTTCAAGGACCACCTCAGACACTCAAATGTAAAGCCTTTGATGATTCCCTAAGCTCAAGAATTATTATATTAGATTCTCTGATTTGCCACTTCCTACTCACATAATATCCTGGGTGTCTCCTTATTTAGTGTTTTTTAGCATTATCTTTTTAGTACCATCTGCCCACCCCAAATATGAGTTCCTTGAGGACAGAAATTATGACTTAATAATCCTAGTATTTCCAAAATCTACCAGACAGCCTAATGAATATTAAATGATAGATTAGATTGTTTTCAGTAAAAATTTATCTTCATTTTTTCCTCCTTGATATGGAGTATACTTCTTGTGCCCTCTTGACTTTGAGCTTGGCAATGTGACTTCCCTAGCCACTGGAATGTGAGCAGACATGATGTAAGCAGAGGCCTTAAATGTGCATAATTTGCTTTTCTTGTCATCTTGTCTTCTTATGCTCCTGTGTTTCACTGGGGCCACTGGTCTAAGGCAAATAGGGACACACCTGGAGGAGGTTTGAGCCAAATCATGAGTTTGATCTGGGTTCTGCCAATTTGAAGATCTGTGAGGAAGAAATGAATGCTTGTTTTTTAAAGTCATTGGGTTTCAAGGTAGTTTGTTACTCAGTGTTATTACAGGAACAGCTAATTAATACAGATACTCATGGATGAGTAATGCCTAGTTAAATAGGATGAGTTAAAAGGATGAGAGAGGAAGAGCTTAGAAATTGTGAGCTGAATCCTTATGCCTTTCTTTCCTGGGAAAGCTTGGCATTAGGACTTAATTATAATTCATCATCCATGGAAAGTTCAGGATGGGATTATACAAAGTTATGGTAATATCAACAACTTTAGTAAAAGACATTACATTTCAGTTCTTCAAGCCTGGGATGGAGGCAGAAGTTTATAAATTTTAAAACCCTAGATACAAATTAAGTTTCTTGCTTGAATATTCATCATGAAAAATATAATCAGAAGGTAAATCTTCTGGGAAGAAAATCACATAATGAATTCCAAATCCTAATAGAAATTATTATTGGTTTGTAAACTATTTTGGATTAACCATGCCACTGTTCCCCTTCATTAGTGTGGATAATTAAAAGTTAACTGTGTATCATTTTCTTGATATTTATGAAGATTGCTGTACCAACGATGGTGTAATTAGTATGGTCTATGACCAGTTATTTTCTTGAGCTAGGGCACTCAATTAGTGAGTTCAGCATTATAGAATTGAGATTTAACTGGGTTTATGAACTTTGTCTTTATAATCTCAAATGCATGCCAGGAAGACCTAATGAGAATATGTGACTGAATAAAGACAACATTTATCTGGATATTTCCAGAGATCATGTAGCATTCAACACATAGTAGGAACCAAGTGTTTATATGAACGAGATATTCATATTATGTAGAATAAGACAAATAAAAGATGGAGAACTGGATCGGTACTTGCATGTTGGATAGTTCCCAAGTTTATGCACCTTGGTATCTGGGTGTGAATCTGGTGGAAGTTAGGTTTGACCAACCATTCTTGGAGAGTTTATAATGTGGTAAGGTGACTCATGAATCCAAAACTATCCTGCATTGTGTTTCCGGCCTGAGAGGACCCAGGGTTGTTGAACCCTGCAAGGGTGAATTCATAAATTTTTGAACTCGGGGTTAGAAATTAAGTTGCTTGCTTGAATATTAATCTTCCAAATGAGAAAAATGTCACAAGTTGTTGGTTCGATTTGGATTAATAAGGTCATGTTTGTATTTTGAGTAGAGAAAATTACATGCTTGGAGGTGCAAATTTGTTTTTTCTCTTCTTTTCTTGTTGGGATATTATGACATTTGAGGATTGTACCATTGTAACATTTGAACTGTTCATCTCCTAGTCTCAATTCGAGGCTACTGCATCTCCTCTAGAGTTAGTTTGCTGTTAATTTAGGACACAAAAATATGTCATTGCTACCACTGTGGTGTTTCTTTCACGGCAGTTGCTCCAGTGGTGCCCTCTCCTCTGTCCACCTTGCACATCTCCTCAGCGACACTGAACAGCTCTTTGGTCACATTAGAGACGTCAAGAAAACTTTGTTGAGGTCTGGGAAAGGTGATGCTAGTAAATAAAACTACATTTCTTCCATTTGAAGGTTGATAATAATACTCCCTCAAGCATAATCTTCACAGAGCCTTTACATTTGCTCTTCTTAACAGCTTTGGAATCTATATGTCATTCACTCAAGTGTTGGACAGATCTGAATTTACATATAACTTAGTAATTATCTAAAACATTGGTTGTAATGCAGAGAAGATAATATGTGACAGCACAACTGGATTTTGTAATGTGTTTCTAGTAGAAACTCTGTTTTCCTGGGTTACTATACCTCAGAATAGACCTGGTGTATGGAATAGATGGTAGTAAGATGACTCCAATAAGGCATCATACAACAAACATGTTCAAATACCAAATTATTGAGGCCCAGACAAAAGTTGACTCTCCATCTTTGGGAAACTAGCAGCCAGGAAAATAACCTAAAGAAACACAGGTTTGTGGAAGAAGGAGTTAGCTTCTTACACTTCATTACAGAAATTCCTTGCTTTCTTCTTCCTTTTGGGCACTGTTGGGAGCTAGATACTATTCTCTTATCATATGCAGAAAGAACAACAAAAGGCAGTAAACAGCTTTTTTCACTGGCTCAGAGTCTTTTACAATAAGGCAGCTGGAAAAATGAATTAAAAATAACACCTATGCAATTGTTGTTAGTGCATGAGGACCATACATTCTTTTCCAAATTATTTTATTGTCAACTTCAGCAAAAGTTATGGTTTGTCCAAAATACTTTGAAGCCTGCTTATACAAATAACTATTCTGTTGCTAAATGTAATTTCCCTTGCATTGCCTCCATCTCCAAGTTTCATAAATTTGGAATCACTTCTGACTAGTTAGAATGGGAGATGCACTCTTGTCTTTTAAGCCTAAATGGTGGTAGTGAGGTTTAATGCTATCCTTGAGTTTGAATTATCATTATGATGAAGAAATCTTTGCATAAAAGATGGAATTTACATTCTATAGGTGGGTAGATGTTTATTATACCTGTTCTTATAGTGTGATGGCTAAGAGCCTGGACTCTGAACCAGACTTCCTGAGTCTAAATACTGGCTCTGACACTTACCAGCAACATGTTTTTAGATAAGTTGATTCATTTCTGTGCATTAATTGTTGTATCTGTAATAAGGAAATAATAGTACTGATCTCATAGGATTCTTTTGAAGATTAAATGAGTTAATGTCAACAAAGTCCCTGATATATGGTACATGCTAGGTGTTAGCCATGATGATTATGATGACAATGTTTAAGAAGAAGAAGATGAAGATGAAGAAAAGAAGAAGAAGATGAAGATGAAGAAAAGAAGAAGAAGAGGAGGAGGAGAAGAAGAAGAGGAGGAGGAGGAGAAGAAGAAGAAGAAGAAAAGGAGAAGGAGAAGAAGACAAAGAAGAAGAAGAAGAAAAAGAAGAAGAAGAAGAATACAATTTGATGATAATGTGCCCGATGTGTATGCTTAATGACAGAAGAGAGAATATGACCATGAACTCCCTACCTCCAGAGCAGGGCAGTTGGTTACCTGCTGTATATCAAGTTCTTTTTGGTCTGAGGTTGAACAGTTACAGTTATTCTTGAAGGCAGGGGAATACACTAAATGTGCACTCATGGGCTTTTGGACTTAGTAGTAGGAACAAAATTCTGAGCCAAATGTTGCTTTTTAGTATTATTTTAAAAATTAGGATAAATATTATACTTCAATATATTTTGTGTTGTGGTGTTGCCCCTTAATTTGTGTCTGTCTTCTTTCCATCTCCTTCTTTCTTTCAAGGCAGTTTCTAAGACAGACATAACCCCTAAATGCTAGCTCCATAAGTTGTCTCAAAGCATCACTGTAGAAACTATTCAGAGATTGGGTTGCTGAAATTTACATTTGAGAGAGGACAAGAGGACACCCAGGTTGAGCATAGTTGTTAATAAACTAATTGGTACTTGGGAGAAACATGACCTTCTGAAGGAGATGAAAAATGCATATTTTTTAGTGAAGAGGGTTTTGGAAATTTGCTGGCCCAAAATGTCACATTCTTTTATAGAAAGAATAAACAAAAGGAAGGCACATTTAAAAAATGTATTCCCAAGCTGGGCGTGGTGGCTCATGCCTGTAATCCCAGCACTTTGGGAGGCTGAGATGGGCGGATCACGAGGTCAGGAGTTCGAGACCAGTCTGGCCAACATAATGAAACCCTGTCTCTACTAAAAATACAAAAAATTAGCCATGTGTGGTGGTGTGTGCCTGTAATCCCAGTTACTCGGGAGACTGAGGCAGGAGAATCACATGAACCTGGGAGGCAGAGGTTGCAGTGAGCTGAGATTGCGCCATTACACTCCAGCCCAGACAACAGTGTGAGACACCATTTCAAGAAAAAAAAAAAAAATATATATATATATATATATCTATTCCTGTTGCAGAGATAATCACTATTAGTGCTCCCCACCTTTTTCTCTCTTACAAAAATGATATTAGGCTCACCTCCTGCCTTGTAAACTATGTATTTTTACTTGACAACACATTGAGACCATCTTCCCATGTAGCTAACTTTTCTCCTATATCAGGTTTGGAGCAGGATTTAATTCCAGTGGGATCTCTCCACCTGTTTGACCACACCTTTGGCCTTCTCCACATCTCATCATGATCAGTCTTCTTTCCCCTCTTTGCCACCTCCTGTTTTTCCTTTGTCTCATCATCTAATTGCTGTGTGCTGCAGTTAATTTGACCCAAGAGAAAGTGGGTTGGGATTACTGACTAATCAGGGCTTCGTTGGGCACAGAGTCTCTGTGGCAACACTGGGATTCTGGCCTGGACCTTTGCATTTCCAGACACATTTTTAGTTGAAACTATGGTCATTTGGGAAGTGGTTATGCACATGCACTCTGGATCAAATGCTTCAGACTGATTCCAGCTTTTCCATTTACCATGCACTTCAGTGTCCTCATCTGCTCTCATATAGTTGCTGTGATTGACAACCACGTTAATGCCCAGAAGACACTTGAAACTGGGCCCAGCACATGGTAACCACTCAGAAAACAATGCCAGCTATTGATTTTTTATTTAGATAGAGATTTAAAATTGATTATTATTTCTTATCACCACTCAAACCAATTTCCTGCATTTCTTCCTTACTAACATTCTTAGTTCAGATGCCTTGTCCACATAACAGCCTCAAAACTGCTCCTATCTGCACAATTTTATGCCTCTGATTCACTCTTCACGCTGTAGCCACAGTGAAAGCTCTGAAATACAGATCTAATCAGGAGCTTCCTCTGGCTGAAACCCTTCAGTGGTGCCCTTTTGGTCTTAGGGAAAAATCCAATTTCTTTTGCTTGACATAGGAAACACTTCAAAATTTGGCACCTGCCCTGGTCTCCAGCCTCATCTCTTGCCATTCTCCCAACTCCCCTTAAAGCTGTGCAACTCTGTACAGGTCCCCAGAATGACCGTGTGTTTTCTCTCCCATCAGGGCCTTGTTCTAGACCCCCTTCCCTGGATCTTGTGTTTTTCTCTTTCTTGTACTACTTTTTCATTTTGTTGGAGCACATTTTCCGGAAAGTTTCTGAAAAGGAGTTCATCAGAGATATTTTACATATTTATGGTGGATTGATAATTTGGCTGGATACAAAATTCTATGCTGTAAATAACTTCTTCAAAGAATTCTAAAGCATTGCAGTGTTTCTTTTGTGAACGCTAATGCCATTCTGATCTTGGATTATTTTGGTGTGACATATATTCTCCAAGACAGCTCTGAACAACTCCCCATACACCCCACTCCCTTCCTCTCTCTTTCTCTCTCTCTCTCCCCATCTCCTTCCCTCGCTATTTCCTCTATTCTCCCCTCAGATCTGTAAACCTCCTCTTCTGTCCTTATTCTCAGCGATGACCTCGCTTCCTATATCCCTGAGAAAAAAATGGAAGAAATTTTTAAAAGTGGCTTTACTCCATCACTCTATCACTTTGACTAAACTCTGCATATATTCCTTTTTTTATGATATTCACACTATGCATGTGTTATTATTTTTGTAATTGTCTCACAGTTCTTGGCATTCCATTCCATCTTTTTCATTCTTTTTTTCTCTTGCTTTTCAGTTTTGAAAGTTTCTATTGACATTTTCAAGCTTACTGATTCTGTTTAGTCCATTGATGGCCTATCCAAGGCACTCTTCGTTTCTGTGACAGTGGTTTTAATTTCTAGCATTTTCTTTTGATTCTTTCTTAGAGTTTAAATCTCTGTTTAAATTATTTATCTGTTCTTGCACATTGTCCGCTTTTTTCATTATAGCCATTAGCATATTAATCACAGTTGTTTTTAAATTGCCAATGTGATAATTCCAAAATCTCTGCAATGTCTGAGTTTGGTTCTGTCTCTTCAGACTGTGTTTTTGTCTTTTAGTATGCCTTGTAATTTTTGGTTGAAATATGGACATGATACACTGAGTAAAATAAACTGAGGTAAATCAGAATTTAATGTGAAATTTTGTTTATCTGGATAGAAGTTAGGGTGTATTTACTGTGGGCTATAGCTATAGGAGTCATAGGCAAAGTGTCTTCTGGTGTCCTTGTTTTTTTCTTTCTTGTGCCTTTGGGTTTCCATAGAAACTTACTCTTAAATAAGGTCTGAGATGTGCAGTTCTTTCAGTTGTATTTCCCTGTTATTATCCAGGTGCCTTATTGATGTAAAAAGTAGTGCAGGGGTCAGGGGAGAGTTGTTCTATAGTACTATGAATAGGTCTCAGTCCTTCAGTGAGCCTGTGCCCATAGGCTGTGACTTTCACAAGTGCTTTTCAGCCTTTTCTCCCCCTTAAGAGATACAGGAAAGATTGGGGGGATGGTGAGTTGGGTATTTCCATTCTCTCAGGTCATTTAGGCTCTGGTAAAATGTTTTCCTTGAGAGAAATCCTTATTAAGGAGAACAGAATGTTTTTAGCCTATTTCAGAATAATTACTTTTTCCCTCTCATTGCCAGAAGTAAAGGGGATTTTTCTCTGATCTTCACTTTGAAAACCTGATAGGGCTCCTGGAGGTAAACCACAAGAATGAATGGGTGGGGGCTCCTTAAGAAGAGACCCCTTTGGAGTTAACTTTCAAGCTTGTTCATGCTTAGGTTCCCACATTTCATCAATTACTGTTTAAGTTTTCCTACCATTTTACTGGCTCCACTGGTGGTTTCTGCTACTGCCTGCTCCAGTAAGCTGTGATTCTCTGTATCTGCCTGTCTGTGTCTTTAATTTTGGGGATAGCAGTTTGCCCTGTGACCTCAGTTCTCTGAAAGATCTAAAAAGAATTGTTAATTTCCAGTTTATTCAGCTTTTATCTTGTTGTATAACAAGAGTGATGACTTCCAAGCTCCTTATATGCTGGATCAGAAACCAGAAGTCCCTGTATCACATACTCTACTTTCCCTTCTGCTTCTGCAAATGGTCTCTGTTCCTGTGTAAGAACAGCTCCTATTCTTATGCACTAGGTCTCATGACCTTAACTTCCGCAGAATGTCACGCAAACAACTGTCCCTTCTCTTTTACACACCATAATGTTCCCTCTTTCTCATCAGTCATTCCCATCAACATTTAAAAATACTGTAATAGTTTCTATCTTAATAAAACAACAAACAAAACTAATAAGCAACAACAAAAACATACCCTCACTTGACCACATTTCCTAATCCAGCTATTGTGTCTTCTCCTTTACCACAAAATTCTCCAAAAGAATTAGCCATGCTCACTGTCTCCAATCTCTCCTCACCCAGGCTTTCATCTTCCTCACACTTGGGAAACTGCTTTGGCAACAGCAGTGGTGACTTCTGTGCTGTCAAATTCAATGCTCCGTTCTCATTCTTCATCTCATCTGACCTATCAACAGCATTTGGCAAATGTTGATCTGTATTTCCCTTGAAACACTGTCCTCATTTTGCTTCTGAGAGTTCATACATGCTTCATTTTCCTCCTAATTCATCTTTGTCTCTTTTTTCTGATTTGAACTTTTCTCTTTATATTCCTGACCTTTAGATTTTGGAGCGGCCCAGAGCTTAGTCCTCAGATGCCTTCTTTATCTGTACTCTATCTTTCATGACCTTATCAGGTCTTCTGGTTTTAAATATCCATTTTTCATGCTGTCATTCCTATGTCAGAGATTAGATAGTTGCTCAGCGGACTAGTTTCTCTTTGTCCAGGAATCACAACCAGACTGCATTTCCTAGCCTTCACTGCATTTAGCCATTTGACTTAATTCTAGGCAAAGAAATGTGAGAAGTGACATCTGCCATTCCAGGCCTAGCCATAAATATCTCCTACCCCTACTCTTCAATCCTTTTCTCCCATCTGCTGGATGGATGCAGAGGACTCCAAGGATGGAGTCACAAATGGGAGAAGCATGGATCCCTGAATAATCAGGTGAAAGGTTACCCACCAATCGGGAATATTAGTTTGGACTTTGTGATGGGGCCACTGTGATTTGGGAATGTGGCCTTAACCAAGACAGAAATTTGTATTTGCAGTGGTTATTGTTGTAATAGAAATCTAAAATATGTGACACTCCTTATTGGTTGGGTGTCAAGAAGCAAGGAAGCTTATGTCAGAGGCAGAAATGATGATTTCTGTGTAATGAAGTTGAAAATATCTGGTTAAAACATTTTCTTTTATTCCTGTTTTTTTTTTGAGCAACCCATGTTTATTTAATGAACACCAGAGATCACTGCTTCTGGAAGGGAGTAGCTAGTGAGAACAGTAGGATGAAAAGGCAGAGAGGTATGGGGGGTTAAAACGTAACTTGGGAGGCAAACTTGTTGCTAGTAAACTTGTACAGATAGGGAAGGAGTTAGAAAGTAAAAGTATAGCAGTGTATGTTGGTTGCTATTGGCTACTTTTGGCAAGGTACTAAAGGAAAAAGATGAGCTTCAGAAAGAATCAGAAGAATCAGGTGGTATATAAGCAGAATGAAAGACATAGAAAGAATACAGAAATTCAACTAGAAGAACCAACTGTTTCTAAATTCGAAAAGGTAAGAGATAAGACTAAACAAGGCTTTGAGGGGCACAGACCCATTATGATTGAGCCCCGATGCAAAGATTAGATTAAGAATACAACTTTCCTCCCCAAGCCTATTATCCCAGCTGCTTTTGTTAGAGTGGGTAGCTAGGGAGACATGAACAGGACAGGAGAAGCCCCACTATACCCCAGGAATGTCAGGCGACCATCAGGGGATAGTTAAGTTGTTGTTAAACTGTCTCTAATTGGCCATACCTGGCACCAGGAAAGGGCAGGCTCTTAATAGATAGAAAATACCTGAAGCTGGTGATCTGCAGCTTCCGAATAAGATCTCTGGAGTTGGGCAAGTGGACTCAAGCATGTGCACTAGGAGGGAAGATGGCAGAGTTTAACTGGCATATGGCCTTCCTCCAAGACCACTGGTAAGGGAAAAATGCTTCAAATGAGCATGCACACAACTTCAGTAAACACACTGTGCATGTGGCCCCTCCCAAGTGCTGGCAGGTCACTGTGCATGTGGACACGCTACCCCAAGGGAAAAATCAAGGGAGGAGAAACAGAAGCCCCAGAACCATGCCAATGTATAAAACCCTAAACCAAGGGCCAAACAGTGCACTTGTATCTCTCAAGTTGCCCACTTGCCCCTGTTCCAAGTGTACTTTACTTCCTTTTGTTCCTGTTCTACAACTTGCCTTAGTCTCTCACTCTGTCTAATGCCCCTTAGCCGAATTCTTTCCTCTGAGGAGGCAAAAATGGAGTTGCTGCAGACTTATATGGATTTGCTGCTGGTAGCAGTTTGAAGTTGGTTTTTGTTTGCTTAAGAGTGAGAAGCACGGGGCAATGAAGCCAAGTTATAGGTTAGCATCAGCTTGAGAATTACATTCAGGAAAGAACTTGTTGTTAGTAACTGACAAGGGCACTGACAGCGAGTATATAGACTTGTAGTCTACTAAGATATGAGGAAGTTGTACTGTCAAGGAACTGTAAGCCTAGACTAAAAAGCCTGTGATTATTCAAGCCTTAACACTTGGGATCTCAAAATTGCATCAGCAGGAAGTGTGCTGAAAAAGTCGAGTAGCTACAAAGAAGAGTTTACTCCACAGCAGCCACACTGGGTGTTGCTACAGAGAATAATGGACAAGAGAGTTCTTCCCGGAGAGCATAATCAGAGTGTGATGAAGGAATTTACTTACCTCCAGGGAAGGAGTGTTCATTGTGCTCAGCCAGCAGTATCTCAGTGAATGCAACATTTCTTCTATTTTTCCCCCTTTTGACTGAGAGGTTTAATTGGGGTTATCTTGTTCCCTATTCTTCTAGTAAATATTGACTGTGGGTGAGGGGAAGGCCAGTTAAGTTTTTTTTTTTGGGGGGGGGGGGTTTGTAGATGGATAAATTTTGAGGAGCCACATCCAGATCCAAGGGTGAGGGTAACACACACCGGAAGTATCTGGATTTGAGCTGGATCCAGGGAATCCGGCTTGAAACTGCTGGATGGGACTTGAGGTGGCATCTCTCTGGGACAAGGTGTGTCTGTGTGTTTTATATATAGGAGGAAGTGAAACAGGTGTTTGCCTATCAGGAGGGTTGTCTGTAGCAGAGACCAGAAAGTTGTTCACTAAACCCATGTCCTCTTTTCCTAAGCACATGGCTAGACCACCTATCTCAGTCTTTCTTGCAATGAGATGTGGCTATTCAAATGGAAGTGGTTTGCATCTTTTCTTGATCTGGCCTATAAAAAACTTCTCTCATATGATTATCCATCTCTTTCCCCTACCTTATGACTGAATGCAGAGGACTCTGAGACAGAGAGCAGAGCCACAAATGGAAGAAGCCTGGGCCATTGAATAACCACAAGGAAGGCCACCCACCAACTAGGAATATACATTTGTTTTGATTTCTTGAGTGAGAAATAATGTTCTATTTTGTGAAGCCACTGAGAATTTGGGATTTATCTCTTACAGCAGCCATCATTACTCTAACTAATACCACTCTCCAAGTGACATATACAGCCCAGTCCTTTCCCTGAAATCTAAACTTGTATTATCCAATCTCTTTTGGACATCTCCAAATGATGTCAAATAGAGATATCTCTAAATTAACATTTTTCAAAAATGTTATTCAAGATCTTCTCTACCCACAGTTTTCTACATTGTAAATGATAGTTCTATTAGTTGTTCAGGCGAAAAAGCTTAGAGTCATTCTTGATTATTCTTTTTCTCTCATACTCTACATCTAAACCATACACAAATACTATCAGGTTTACTTTCAAGAATCCAGCTACTTCAGGATTTGCTTTCTAGAATCCAGCTACTTCTAAGAAGTAGCTAATTTACTTTCTAGAGTACTTTCTTCAGGTTTACTTTCTAACCTTAGTTTCAGGTTTACTTTCTGGCTTTACTTTCAGGTTTGCTTTCTAGGTTTACATTCAGGTTTACTTTTCTAGATTTACTTTCTAGGTTTACTTCAGGTTTACTTTCTTCAGGTTTACTTTCTCTGTTTACTTTCTAGGTACTTTCTTAACTTTCTAGATACTTTACTTTCTAGGTTCTTTACTTTCTAGGTACTTTCTTTACTTTCTTCCTTTACCTTCTTTCCTTCCTTCCTTCCTTTACCTTCTTTCCCTTGTTCGCTTCTTTCTTTCTTTCTTTCTTTCTTTCTTTCTTTCTTTCTTTCTTTCTTTCTTTCTTTCTTTCTTTCTTTCTTTCTCTTCCTTCCTTCCTTCCTTCCTTCCTTCCTTCCTTCCTTCCTTCCCTTTCTTCCTTTACTTCCTTTAGTTTCTAGGTTGTTTCTAAGTATTTTCTTCAGGTTTACTTTCTGGGTTTACTTTCAGGTTTACTTTCTAGGTACTTTCTTAACTTTCTAGATACTTTCTAGGTTCTTTACTTTCTAGGTACGTTCTTTACTTTCTTCCTTTTCCTTTCCTTCCTTCCTTCCATCCTTCCTTCCTTTACCTTCTTGCCCTCCTTCCCTTCCTCCCTCCCCCTCTCTCTCTTTCTTTCTCTCTCTCTCTTTCTCTTTCTTTCTTTCTTTCTTTCTTTCTTTCTTTCTCTTTCTTTCTTTCTTTCTTTCTTTCTTTCTTTCTTTCTTTCTTTCTTTCTTTCTTTCTCTCTCTCTCTCTTTCTTTCTTTCTTTCTTTCTTTCTTTCTTTCTTTCTTTCTTTCTTTCTTTCTTTCTTTTTTCTTTCTTTCTTTTCCTCCCTTCCTTCCTTTCCTTCCTTCCCTTTCTTCCTTTACTTTCTTTACTTTCTAAGTACTTTCTAAGTATTTTCTTCAGGTTTACTTTCTAGGTTTCCTTTCAGGTTTGCTTTCTAGGTTTACTTTCAGGTTTACTTTTCTAGGTTTACTTTCAGGTTTACTTTCTAGGTTTACTTCAGGTTTACTTTCTTCAGGTTTACTTTCTAGAATCCAGCTACTTTTCACTATCTTTACAGTCTCTATTGGATGCACGGTACTGTGCTTTTTCATGTGGATTATCCCAGTGGCCTCCTAATAGATCTCTGCTTTGACTCTTGCTACCCTAGTCTGTTCTCAATACTGCAGAAAGAGTAGATTTTTAAAAAATGTGTCAGATTTTATAAGTTCTTTGCTCAAAAACCTTTAAAACTACCTGACTCACTTAGAGTAAAATTCAAAGTCATAAGGTGCTGCTGGATTTGGTCTCTCTTAGTTGTCTGAACTTACCCCTTCTCACTCTTCTCACTCATCCTATTCTGACCATATTGGCTACTGAGCTGCACATCAGACATGCCAAGAACACTTGCACCTCAGGGACTTTGCACTTGCTGTCTTGCTGCCTAATATCTCTTTATACCCATAAAGCTCATTGTCAAATTTCCTTCAGATCTGCAATCTTAAGCCATCTTATGAATAAGTTCTGTTCATAGTAGGACTTCAATAAATATTTGTGGAATAAACGAATAAATGGGTGATGAATTTTGTCTTTTTGGAAATTTTTAGGACCTCTTTTGTTATAATGAAATTTCACAATGATGTACTTTAATGTAATTATTCTTTATCCTCTGTGCTGGCACTTGTTGGACTCTCTTATTTGGAAACACATGTCTTTCAATACTGAAACTTTTCTTGCATTATTTCCTTGATGTAATCTCTCTTGCATTTCCTTAATTCTCCATGTCTGGGATGTTTTACATTTTTGTTTGTTTTTCTACCCTCTGATAAGCTTTTTACTTCATCTTCTAATCTCATCTAATAAATACATTTAAAAATTTTTGAGATCATGCATAGTATTTTCAATCAACATTTCTGTTTTATTATGTTTCTTCTTTTGAAATACATATTATTTGTACATCATGGGTACAGTATCTTCTTTTGTCTTTGAAGATATTAATTATATCTTTTAGAAGCTTTTTTGCATTGCCTCTGTTTCCTCCGAGATGGACATCACACTCTGGGGACTGTTGTGGGGTGGGGGGAGGGGGGAGGGATAGCATTAGGAGATATACCTAATGCTAAATGATGAGTTAATGGGTGCAGCACACTAGTATGGCACATGTATACATATGCAACTAACCTGCACATTGTGCACATGTACCCTAAAACTTAAAGTATAATAATAATAATAAAAATTGTTTGTTTGGACTTTTTTTCATATTAGGTGCTTTCCTTGAATGTGTGATATCCATTAGTGGCACATTCCAATTATGGAAAGTGGACGTGATTGGGAGTTCTCGTGTTTGGCAGAATTTCAGTGAAGGCTAATAAGGTTGACTTGGCATTTTATTGGTGCATCTCCAATAGTCAGTATGTATAGTTATTTTCTCTTCTGCAGGTCAGTTTTCCCAGACAGGAAGCATCTTTTGCCTCCTGCTTGAGATATGGGAAATGCGTTTTTGAGAGTGGGGGTAAGGAGAGCTGCCAGCATTTGGGTAGCCAGGGAGGAGAGGAAGATGTGAATCTCACTGCTCAATATAAGTTCTACTGACTCATTCTCTTTTCACTGAGATTTCTTGCTCCTACTCTTATTTGGACCTGCTGTCCCTCAGACAAAAATCTCTCTGGTTCAGCTTCTCCAGAGGTTAAAAGTTCAATCTTCAGCTGGAAGGGGGGCGGGACAATTGCCAGCTGGGGGCAGGGGGAATTAGTCTCCTCCTCCTCCTTCTCCTTCTTCCTCCTCTTCCTTCTTCTTTCTTCCTTCTTTTTTCAGAATCAGGGTTTCACTTTGTCACTTAGGCTACATTGCAGTGGTATGATCATAGTTCACTGTAACCTCAAACTCCTGGGCTCATGTGATCCTCCTGCTAGTCTCCCAAGTAGGTAGGACTACAGGTGCATGCCACCACACCCACCTAATTTTTAATTTTTTTTTTTTTTTTGTAGACATGGGGTTCTCGCTATATTCTGCAGGCTGATCTCAAACTCCTGGCCTCAAGCGATTCTCCTGCTTCGGCCTATCCAAATACTGGGATTACAGGCATAAGCCACTGTGATTGGATATTTTTACTCTTCTTTATAAAAACTTTCAAACTACCTTTCATTTTCAGCCCAATCATCCTTGGAACTTCAAAGGTACTTGCTCTCCAGTTCCTAAGCATGCTGTATAAGTAAAATGTTTTCTGTATTCCCACCCTCACCCCAAACTTTTTGTAAACACGTTTTAATTTCCTCCAGTTTGCTAAGTTAGTGACACTTGCCCATCTCCTTAACAATTTCCAAAACTTTGATGACATATCTAATCTGCAGGTATCTTGTATTCTATTCTGTCTATGCATTTATAACTTAAAATATTTTTGGAAGGTAGAGCCAAGATGGCTGAATAGGAGCAACTCCAGTCTACAGCTCCCAGGCGTGAGTGACGCAGAAGACGGGTGATTTCTGCATTTCCATCTGAGGTACTGGGTTCATCTCACTGGAGAGGGCCGGACAGTGGGTGTAGGACAGTGGGTGCAGTGCACTGTGCATGAGCCGAAGCAGGGCGAGGCATCACCTCACCCGGAAAGCACAAGGGGTCAGGGAATTCCCTTTCCTAGTCAAAGAAAGGGGTGACGGACAGCACCTGGAAAATCGGGTCACTCCCACCCTAATACTGCACTTTTCCAATGGGCTTAGCAAATGGCACACGAGGAGATTATATCCCGCACCTGGCTCGGAGGGTCCTATGCCCACGGAGCCTTGCTCATTGCTAGCACAGCAGTTGGAGATCAAATTGCAAGGTGGCAGCGAGGCTGGGGGAGGAGCGCCTGCCATTGCCGAGGCTTGAGTAGGTAAACCAAGCAGCAAGGAAGCTCGAACTGGGTGGAGCCCACCACAGCTCAAGGAGGCCTGCCTGACTCTGTAGACTCTACCTCTGGGGGCAGGGCATAGCCAAACAAAAGGCAGCAGAAACCTCTGCAGACTTAAATGTCCCTGTGTGACAGCTTTGAAGAGAGAAGTGGTTCTCCCAGCACGCAGCTGGAGATCTGAGAACAGACAGACTGCCTCCTCAAGTGGGTCCCTGGCCCCCGAGTAGCCTAACTGGGAGGCACCCCCGAGTAGGGGCACACTGACACCTCACACGGCCGGGTACTCCTCTGAGACAAAACCTCCAGAGGAACGATCAGGCAGCAACATTTGCTGTTCACCAATATTCGCTGTTCTGCAGCCTCCACTGCTGATACCCAGGCAAACAGCGTCTGGAGTGGACCTCTGGCAAACTCCAACAGACCTGCAGCTGAGGGTCCTGACTGTTAGAAGGAAAACTAACAAACAGAAAGGACATCCACACCAAAACCCCATCTGTACGTCACCATCATCAAAGACCAAAGGTAGATAAAACCACAAAGATGGCAAAAAAACAGAGCAGAAAAACTGAAAATTCTAAAAATCAGAGCGCCTCTCCCCCTCCAAAGTAACACAGCTCCTCACCAGCAAAGGAACGAAGCTGGATGGAGAATGACTTTGACGAGTTGAGAGAAGAAGGCTTCAGACGATCAAACTTCTCCGAGCTAAAGGAGGAAGTTTGAACCCATGGCAAAGAAGTTAAAAACCTTGAAAAAAGATTAGACAAATGGCTAACTAGAATAACCAATGCAGAGAAGTCCTTAAAGGACTTGATGGAGCTGAAAACCATGGCACAAGAACTACATGATGAATGCACAAGCCTCAGTAGCCAATTTGATCAACTGGAATAAAGGGTATCAGTGATGGAAGATGAAATGAATGAAATGAAGTGAGAAGAGAAGTTTAGAGAAAAAAGAATAAAAAGAAATGAACAGAGCCTCCGAGAAATATGGGACTATGTGAAAAGACCAAATCTACGTCTGACTGGTGTACCTGAAAGTGATGGGGAGAATGGAACCAAGTTTGAAAAACTCTGCAGGATATTATCCAGGAGAACTTCCCCAATCTAGCAAGGCAGGCCAACATTCACTTTCAGGAAATACAGAGAATGCCACAAAGATACTCCTCAAGAAGAGCAACTCCAAGACACATAATTGTCAGATTCACCAAAGTTGAAATGAAGGAAAAAATGTTAAGGGCAGCCAGAGAAAAAGGTCAGGTTACCCACAAAGGGAAGCCCATCAGACTAACAGCAGATCTCTCGGCAGAAACTCTACAAGCCAGAAGAGAGTGGGGGCCAATATTCAACATTCTTAAAGAAAAGAATTTTCAACCCAGAATTTCATATCCAGCCAAACTAAGCTTCATAATTGAAGGAGAAATAAAATCCTTTACGGATGAGCAAATGCTGAGAGATTTTGTCACCACCAGGCCTGCCCTAAAAGAGCTCCTGAAGGAAGCACTAAACATGGAAAGGAACAACCGGTACCAGCCACTGCAAAAACATGCCAAATTGTAAAGACCATCCAGGCTAGGAAGAAACTGCCTCAACTAATGAGCAAAATAACCAGCTAACATCATAATGGCAGGATCAAATTCACACATAACAATATTAACTTTAAATGTAAATGGGCTAAATGCTCCAATTAAAAGACACAGACTGGCAAATTGGATAAAGAGTCAAGACCCATCAGTGTGCTGTATTCAGGAAACCCATCTCATGTGCAGAGACACATATAGGCTTAAAATAAAAGGATGGAGGAAGATCTACCAAGAAAATGGAAAACACAAAAAGGCAGGGGTTGCAATCCTAGTCTCTGACAAAACAGACTTTAAACCAACAAAGATCAAAATAGACAAAGAAGACCATTACATAATGGTAAAAGGATCAATTCAACAAGAAGAGCTAACTATCCTAAATATGTATGCACCCAATACAGGAGCACCCAGATTCATAAAGCAAGTCCTTAGAGACCTACAAAGAGACTTAGACTCCCACACAATAATAATTGGAGACTTTAACACCCCACTGTCAACATTAGACAGATCAACGAGACAGAAAGTTAACAAGGATATCCAGGAATTGAACTCAGCTCTGCACCAAGCGCACGTAATAGACATCTACAGAACTCTCCACCCGAAATCAACAGAATATACATTCTTCTCAGCACCACACTGCACTTATTCCAAAATTGACCACATAGTTGGAAGTAAAGCTCTCCTCAGCAAATGTAAACGAACAGAAATTATAACAAACTGTCTGTCTCTCAGACCACGGTGCAATCAAACTAGAACTCAGGATTAAGAAACTCACTCAAAACTGCTCAACTACATGGAAACTGAACAACCTGCTCCTGAATGACTACTGGGTATGTAACGAAATGAAGGCAGAAATAAAGATGTTCTTTGAAACCAATGAGAACGAAGACACAACATACCAGAATCTCTGGGACACATTCAAAGCAGTGTGTAGAGGGAAATTTATAGCACTAAATGTCCACAAGAGAAAGCAGGAAAGATCTAAAATTGACACCCTAACATCACAATTAAAAGAACTAGAGAAGCAAGATCAAACACATCCAAAAGCTAGCAGAAGGCAAGAAATAACTAAGATCAGAGCAGAACTGAAGGAAATAGAGACACAAAAAACCCTTCAAAAAATCAATGAATCCAGGAGCTGGTTTTTTGAAAAGATCAACAAAATTGATAGACCACTAGCAAGACTAATAAAGAAGAAAAGAGAGAAGAATCAAATAGATGCAATAACAAATGATAATGGGGATATCACCACTGATCCCACAGAAATACAAACTACCATCAGAGAATACTGTAAACACCTATACACAAATAAACTAGAAAATCTAGAAGAAATGGATAAATTCCTGGACACATACACCCTCCCAAGACTAAACCAGGAAGAAGTTGAATCTCTGAATAGACCAATAACAGGCTCTGAAATTGAGGCAATAATTAATAGCTTACCAACCAAAAAGAGTCCAGGACCAGATGGATTCACAGCCGAATTCTACCAGAGGTACAAGGAGGAGCTGGTACCATTCCTTCTGAAACTATTCCAATCAATAGAAAAAGAGAGAATCTTCCCTAACTCATTTTATGAGGCCAGCATCATCCTGATACCAAAGCCTGGCAGAGACACAACCAAAAAAGAGAATTTTAGACCAATATCCCTGAGGAACATTGATGCAAAAGTCTTCAATAAAATACTGGCAAACTGAATCCAACAGCACATCAAAAAGCTTATCCACCATGATCAAGTGGGCTTCATCCCTGGGATGCAAGCCTGGTTCAACATACACAAATCTATAAACGTAATCTAGCATATAAACAGAACCAAAGACAAAAACCATATGATTATCTCAATAGATGCAGAAAAGGCATTTGACAAAATTCAACAATGCTTCATGCTAAAAACTCTCAATAAATTAGGTACTGATGGGATGTATCTCAAAATAATAAGAGCTATCTATGACAAACCCACAGCCAACATCATACTGAATGAGCAAAAACTGGAAGCATTCCCTTTGAAAACTGGCACAAGACAGGGATGCCCTCTCTCACCACTCCTATCCAACATAGTGTTGGAAGTTCTGGCCAGGGCAATTAGGCAGGAGAAGGAAATAAAGGGTATTCAATTAGGAAAAGAGGAAGTCAAATTGTCCCTGTTTGCAGATGACATGATTGTATATCTAGAAAACCCCATCGTCTCAGCCCAAAATCTCCTTAAGCTGATAGGCAACTTCAGCAAAGTCTCAGGATACAAAATCAATGTGAAAAAATCACAGGCATTCTTATATACCAATAAGAGACAAACAGAGAGCCAAATCATGAGTGAACTCCCATTCACAATTGCTTCAAAGAGAATAAAATACCTAGGGATCCAACTTACAAGGGACGTGAAGGATCTCTTCAAGGAGAACTACAAACCACTGCTCAATGAAATAAAAGAGGATACAAACAAATGGAAGAACATTCCATGCTCATAGGTAGGAAGAATCAATATTGTCAAAAAAGCCATACTGCCCAAGGTAATTTATAGATTCAATGCCATCCCCATCAAGCTACAATTGACTTTCTTCACAGAATTGGAAAAAACTACTTTAAAGTTCATATGGAACCAAAAAAGAGCCCACATTGCCAAGTCAATCCTTAGCCAAAAGAATAAAGCTGGAGGCATCACGCTACCTGACTTCAAAGTATACTACAAGGCTACAGTAACCAAAACAGCATGGTACTGGTACCAAAACAGAGATATAGACCAATGGAACAGAACAGAGCCCTCAGAAATAATGCTGCATATCTACAACCATCTGATTTTGACAAACCTGACAAAAACAAGCAATGGGGAAAGGATTCCCTATTTAATAAATGGTGCTGGGAAAACTGGCTAGCCATATGTAGAAAGCTGAAACTGGATCCCTTCCTTACACCTTGTACAAAAATTAATTCAAGATGGATTAAAGACTTAAATGTTAGACCTGAAACCATAAAAACTGTAGAAGAAAACCTAGGCAATACCATTCAGGACATAGGCATGGGTAAGGACTTCATGTCTAAAACACAAAAAGCAATGGCAACAAAAGCCAACATTGACAAATGGGATCTCATTAAACTAAAGAGCTTCTGCACAGCAAAAGAAACTACCATCAGAGTGAACAGGCAAGCTACAGAATGGGAGAAAATTTTTGCAATCTACTTATCTGACAAAGGGCTAATATCCAGAATCTACAATGAACTCAAACAAATTTACAAGAAAAAATCAAACAATCCCATCAAAAAGTGGGCTAAGGATATGAACAGACACTTCTCAAAAGAAGACATTTATGCAACCGAAAGACACATGAAAAGATGCTCATCATCACTGGCCATCAGAGAAATGCAAATCAAAACCACAATGAGATACCATCTCACACCAGTTAGAATGGCGATCACTAAAAAGTCAGGAAACAACAGGTGCTGGAGAGGATGTGGAGAATTAGGAACACTTTTACACTGTTGGTGGGACTGTAAACTAGTTCAACCATTGTGTAAGTCAGTGTGGCGATTCCTCAAGGATCTAGAACTAAAAATACCATTTGACCCAGCCATCCCATTACTGGGTATATACCCAAAGGACTATAAATCACGCTGCTATAAAGACACATGCACACGTATGTTTATTGCGGCACTATTCACAATAGCAAAGACTTGGAACCAACCCAAATGTCCAACAATGATAGACTGGATTAAGAAAATGTGGCACATATACACCATGGAATACTATGCAGCCATAAAAAATGATGAGTTCATGTCCTTTGTAGGAACATGGATGAAGCTGGAAACCATCACTCTCAGCAAACTATCGCAAGGACAGAAAACCAAACACCACATGTTCTCACTCATAGGTGGGAATTGAACAATGAGAACACATGGACACAGGAAGGGGAACATCACACACTCTGGGGCCTGTTGTGGGGTGGGGGGAAGGGGGAGGGACAGCATTAGGAGATATACCTAATGTTAAATGATGAGTTAATGGGTGCAGCACACCAACACGGCACATGTATACATATGTAACTAACCTGCACGTTGTGCACATGTACCCTAAAACTTAAAGTATAATAAAAAATATGTTTTTTTATGATGCTTTTTTTTTCTTGAGAAGAAAGAGGTAAATATATATATTCAGTTTGCTTTGTTTTTCCACAAATCCATTCTTCCTGAAACTCTCTGCCTCCCTGGGTTCTGTAACTCTCACCTGGTTCTCTTCCTTTTGCTGTGTTTCTCTGCTGTTTTTCATGGACTGCTCTTATGTTTCTTTCCCCTTCAACAATGGTAGTTGTCAGCCCTCTCTCAGAGTTCTTACTGCTACTCTTGTGAAACACTTTTTGATAAAGTGACTCCCATATTGTTTGTGATTTTAATAACTCCTATAGGCTAATAACGCACACATCTCTGTCTCCTGACCTGACCTCATCCCTTAGTTATAGATTCCAGATACCAGTTCTGGACATATCCACTGAGCATCTTCCCATAGACATCTTCACAGATGCAATGTGCATAAGACAGAGCACAGCGTCCATTTACCTCCTTACACGAACTTCTTCTTCTATATTTGCATTCATAGTTACTGAAGTGACAAACCTGGGAGTCATCTTAATCTTCTACCTCTTTTTTACTTCATAGATCCAGGTAATCACTAAATACTGCCAGTTCCCCCCCCACACACATATTTTCTTGAATCCATCCCCTCACTTTGTCTCCATGATGATCACCCTCATAACCGCCTTTCTGATCTGTTGCCACAGCTTCCTAACCACCACCTGCTTCTGCCTTTTCCCTCTTAAATTCATCCTCTGCTCAGGAACAATAGTGATCTGCACATAGCATAAATCTCATCCTATAGCTCCCCTGCTGAAACCCCTTCAACGGCTCCCCTGCCTGGAACAAAATCTATGTTGCTTGGCATGGCATACAAGGCCTCCCATGACCTGGCCCTGGTTTGTCTGTCTTGCTTTATCTCATTTCATTCCTAGCCTCATATGTTCACTCTTGTAGTACAAAACTGCCTGTTCCTGTCTCCCCTTAGATTTCTTGCTTCTGTGCCTTTGTTCCTATGATTTCCTCTGCCTTCTTTCTTCTTTTCTTCCCGACTAATTCTTACATATCTTTGAGGATTCAGCTAATAATGTATCTTCTACCCCAGGAATCAGCTCTAATTTCTCTATCTCTGTGCTCCTTCTCTGTGCTCCTGTATATGCATGTGTGCACACCACCATTCCAGCACATTGTATATATCTATGTCACTAAGCAAACACAGACACACACATACACACACACACGTGTGTGACTGCAATGGTTAATATTGAGTATCAACTTGATTGGATTGAAGGATGCAAAGTATTGATCTTGGGTGTGTCTGTGAGGGTGTTGCCAAAGGAGATTAACATTTGAGTCAGTGGGCTGGGAAAGGCAGAACCACCCTTAATCTGGGTGGGCACAATCTAATCACCTGCCAGCAAGGCTAGAATATAAGCAGGCAGAAAAATGTGAAAAGAAAGATGGGCCTAGCCTCCTGGCCTACATCTTTCTCCTGTGCTGGATGCTTCCTGCCCTTGAACATTCGACTCCAGGTTCTTCAGTTTTGGAACTCTGACTGACTTTTCTTGTTCCTCAGCCTGCAGATGGCCTATTGTGGGACCTTGTGATCATGTGAGTTAATACTTAATAAACTCTCCTTTATGTATATATATGCAATTATTATATTATATTATATTATATTATATTATATTATATTATATTATATTTTATATATGTTTTCCATTAGTTTTGTCCCTCTAGAGAACCCTGATTAATACAGTGACATATATGTATGTGTGTGTATTTGCTTAGTGATATATGGGTGTGTGTGTGTGTGTGTGTGTGTTTGTATAGTGACCTTGGTAGATTGTAAGCTTCCTCCAGAGAAAGGATTCTCCCATATTCTTGGTGCCTGTACTATAGCTGGGATTCAGTAATTAGAGGATTGAATGAAAGCAAACCTGCTTATAAATTACTTCTTGGTGGTTTGGAAAACAGCAAGAGCTCAGAACCTAGCAGGAAGTGCTGGCATTATAGTGATGATGGGAGCATATTTTGAGACAAAAGTGATTATTTCACCTCAGTTTCTCTTGATACTTTGCATGTTTCACATGGCGTGTGTTTGGGAAGGATGCTTCCTGATCTAGGGGTGTTGTATGGCAGGAAAGGGAGAAAGCCAGGGACAATTTTTATCCTCAGCCAATGCCTCGAGCGTGCAAAGAAAAGCTGGATGTGACTTGGGTCATTGCCATGAGTTAAAGCAGACTATTTTATACTGTCAAGTGGTGTAGAAGAGGGTTGGTGAAGGGTGAATCCTACAAGTGCCTGGCAAATAGGACTGAATTGGTTGAGGGGCAGAAAGCGTTGACATAAATGAAAAGTGACATCCACTTTTACCTTTCTCACATATCAAAGTTCTCTTGGTCCAATCGCAGTTGTCTCCCGGCCAGGTCCAGTTTGCAGATAGCATAGGCACTTCAAGACAAGCTCTCATAAATAGCTCCCATGCCCTGGAAGGTGCGCCAAAATGCATTTCAGTGATGACTGCAGAGATGCTTGCTAAAAAGCAAACAGCACATTAGTGGCCTTCTGAGTTCTTGTGCAAATGGAGTGTGAAATTGTGGCTTGATGCTCCAAAGCTATACCTTTTTGTCTTCCTGATGATGATTAGGAGAAATCTGGCTTGATTTGATTGGGAGGGTGTGTGTGTGTGGAGGGCGGGGGGGCAGATGGGCAGTGAAAGAAGAATGGCTGGTGAAGGGGAAGGGAGGAATGAGCACACCCCTTTGAATTGAGTGCTTCATTTGACCTTCAGGAAATTGGAATAGAAATCACATGATTTAACGTTTGCCTGGAAATTAACTGCCTCTGTTTGTTCCAGACCCTGGGATTGATGAAAGAGCCAGGGGATTCTGACTATAGAATTATAATAAAGGGAAATGTCTCAAGCAATTATTAAATATTTAAAGAGCCATCTCAACACTAACTTGTCAGATGGAATGAATGAAATTGAAATGATTTTTAAACATTATTTCCAATGACATGGATAGAAATTCAGGGATAAAATTGGCTGTGTGCTGTAAAGAAAATATTTTCAGTTTGTTTTTGTGACACTGGTGTTTCTGCATCACCTTTCATCCCAAATGTTAATTAATGAATAGTATGCTCAGGAGGTGGATCAAATGAGGAATGCGAAGGAAAAGGACATGGCCAGGGTTTTTTTTTTTTTTTTCTTATTCCTTTGCATTATTATTAAGCAAAGCGGTGCAGAATACAAGGGGACATTAATCCCCAGTGCAATTGGTATATCTCTATTCAAATAAATGGAAGCAAGAGGTTTTTTTTTCAATCATTAACTTAAATCCCTATCATTATTCTTAAATTTTTTTTTATTTTACTTTAAGTTTTAGGGTACATGTGCAAAACGTGCAGGTTAGTTACATATGTATACATGTGCCATGTTGGTGTGCTGCACTCATTAACTCGTCATTTAACATTAGGTTTATCTCCTAATGCTGTCCCTCCCCCTTCCCCCCACCCCACAACAGGCCCCAGAGTGTGTGATGTTCCCCTTCCTGTGTCCATGTGTTCTCATTGTTCAATTCCCACCTATGAGTGAGAACACGTGGTGTTTGGTTTTTTGTCCTTGCAATAGTTTGCTGAGAATGATGGTTTCCAGCTTCATCCATGTCCCTACAATGGACATGAACTCATCATTTTTTATGGCTGCATAGTATTCCATGGTGTATATGTGCCACATTTTCTTAATCCAGTCTATCATTGTTGGACATTTGGGTTGGTTCCAAGTCTTTGCTATTGTGAATAGTGCCGCAATAAACATACGTGTGCATGTGTCTTCATAGCAGCATGTTTTATAATCCTTTGGGTATATACCCAGTAATGGGAGTGCTGGGTCAAATGGTATTTCTAGTTCTAGATCCCTGAGGAATAGCCACACTGACTTCCACAATGGTTGAACTAGTTTACAGTCCCACCAACAGTGTAAAAGTGTTCCCGTTTCTCCACATCCTCTCCAGCACCTGTTGTTTCCTGACTTTTTAATGATTGCCATTCTAACTGGTGTGAGATGGTATCTCACTGTGGTTTTGATTTGCATTTCTCTGATGGCCAGTGATGATGAGCATTTTTTCATGTGTCTTTTGGCTGCATAAAAGTCTTCTTTGAGAAGTATCTGTTCATATCCTTCGCCCACGTTTTGATGGGGTTGTTTGTTTTTTTCTTATAAATTTGTTTGATTTCATTGTAGATTCTGGATATTAGCCCTTGCTTTGTTTACAGTTTCTTTTGTTGTCTAGATTGGACGATGTGAGATGGATAGGTGGTAAAATAATATTATTTATCAGAGATACCATAGAGGTTTTTCCTCAATAGATATGTAGTAAATATTGTGAATTATTTACCTAATCCTCATTATCCCTTTTTTTTGTCCCAAGCCCCTATTTTGTTCAAGGACCACCTCTGGGAGAAACTTCTTTGCAACTACTCCCACCCAATTATTAATTTTTATTTACTCACACAAGTATAATTTGATTGTGGGAAGTAAAAGTGGCCAGCTGTACTTCTCAGCTTCTCTTGTAGATGGGAGTGATCACATGACATAATGCTAGCAAATGAGATAAAAGAGTAAATTACAATGTGGGACTCCAGAGAAACTCTTAAAATAACAGGAGTAGAGTCATTTAACTTGCTCATTTTTTTCCTCCCTTTTCCTTCTTGCATGAATTGTGGACATGATGGCTAGATCTGCTCCAGATATCTTGTGATAGATAATCAGGGAAAGGCCAAGAGAATTGCAGACATCACTCTTGGCCATTGTATATTTAAGCTTTTGCACTAGTCCTGAATTTCTTCTGGACTTCTGATGACATTAAAGAATAATGGGCCTCACTTTTTGTGTAAGTCACTATTATTTGGGTGTTATGTTATTAAACTAAACCCAGTTCCAGTCTCTTAAATACATCGTCTATCAGTTAACATGTCTGTAGCTCTAGCTTACTTGTAAACTAGATTAGTCTAAGTAATAAGAATTCCCATTCTGTTGAGAAATATTGGTGTAGGGATGAGCATGTATGTGTTGGTAGCTGATAAAGTTGTGACCAGTGAAGTGTGAGTGAAAGATGCTTTTCCTCAGAGGGAAAGGCTTCTTCAGTCTTTTAAGAAAATGCAGAAGAGAAGGAATGGTATTTTCTGTTGAACATTGTATAGGTCAGAGTATGATATTAGGAACCATGGTAGCCATTTTGCAACTAGGAGGGCCATTAGCTTGGGCATGAAACTGACGGCATAGTGGGTATTTAGAAAGAACCAGTCCTTGATGACATCATTGAGCTGCTACATCAAACAGTTCTAGAGGTTGCCCATCTTTGGGCTTCCGACTTTGAGAAGTAATTTTTCTTTTTTTTTTTTTAATTTAGATTAGAGGTTGGCAAACTTTCTCTGTAAAGGGCCATATAGTAAATACTTTAGGATATGTAAGCCAACTCTGTCATTGTAGCATGAAAGCAGCTAAAGAAAATACACAGACAAATGAGAATGGTTGTGTTTCAATAAAACTTTATTTGGAAAAACAGGCCATGGGCAGTATTTGGTTCTTGGGTGGTAGTTTGCTGACCCCTGCTTTACAGTTGACTTGAGATTTTTGCTTCTTAACTGATGTACATCTTGACTGATACAGAGTTAAAGGTTGGAATACATAAAATCCAAGGCTTCTTCTAACTCAGAGACTTGAAGAAACACATAAGAAAAGACAAGAGGGCAGGCTTGGTGGTTCACACCTGTAATCCCAGCACTTTGGGAGAATGAGGTAGGCTGATGGCTTGAGTCTGGGAGTATAAGACCAGCCTGTGCAGCATAGTGAAAACCCATGTCTACAAAGAATACAAAGAATTAGCTGGGCATGGTGGCATGTGTCTATAGTCCCAGCTACTTGGGAGGCTGAGGTGGGAGGGTCGATTGAGCTCAGTAGGTAGAGGCTGCAGTGAGTTGTGATTGTACCACTGCACTCCAGCCTGGGTAACAGAAGCAGACTCTGTCTCAAAAAAATAAAAAGACATGACCAGAAAAGAGAAAAGCAAGTTAAGAGTGGAAATGATAAAAGGTACTCATAGAAGAGCCAGACCTAGAAGTCAAACAATTTATACCTGCCCCAGGTGAACAGAAAAGAAAAAAAGTCTTGTCCCTGGGAAAACACTGCTAGAAGAAGATGATGTGACAGGATATAGCTGCACTTTAAAAATTAAAAATGTGCATGATTTATTTGACACATAAATAAAAATTTGAAATATATATAATAAAAAGTGCTTCATATCACACAATCTGGACATTAATCTTGTGACATAGATGTAAATATATACATTTTCTTTTTAAAACATTCAATCATGCTACATATACTGATTTATTTTTGTCATTTCCACCTCAGCCATAGATTCTGAAAAATGCATACGATTTGTAAATATACAGCAAAATCATTATTTTGAAGTTTTCTTAGTAGCCGATTGTGTGAAGGTAGTGGTTTATTTATCTGGTCTCTTATTTTCTTTTGTTTTGAGTTTCCTCCCTTCTTCCCTGTTTTGCTATTACACAACAATCCTGAAATAATCTCTTTGTTGTGAGGAAGTTCTGTCCTGTTCCTTCCCTAAACACTTCTTGTTTCAGATGATAATATCCAGCAGCTGGTCAAGGCCAATTTAAAAATGTTTCACTTTAACAATCAGAGACATCATCTTCTATTCTGCTTTGGGTAAAATCTTAATGTGGTCATTTGTCCAGATGTGAAACCCATGAGTCTTCAGGGGTTTCAGTGATGGTTTTGCTATTTTGTTTAGTCTTGTGGCCATACATGTCCATATTATACACAGTTCTTCAATTATAAGGTAGGGCTGGCTATTGATCATAAGCAGTAATAGTACAGGCTCTGGATTTTTTTTCCTGTTTCCCCTCTTTACCTTCTGCCCCTGCATCTGAAGATGGAATCATTTGAGGAGCAATTCAACTTTTACTGTTTTAGTCTGGAATTTTCTAGCAATTTGTGTCTGTTAATTAGTAAGTACTCATGCTCACTGGGCCAGATAGAACAGGAAAACTGTGTCCTTTATCATTGAATGATAAAGTCATATAGTAGTTTATCTACAGTATTAGGAAGGAGTAGTGGGTAAATAATCTGAGCAGCATTTATATTTAACTTTATAATGGAACCTAAGACCCAGAGAAAGAATGAAACTTGCCCAGTGATGCACAATTAGATAGAGGTGAAGCTGAAGAAGGAGCCAAGTGTTTCTGGGACTCTTCACTGTACCCGGGTAGTTGAGAACATACCAGAGGAATCTCTCTTATGCAAAGTGTTCATTTAATGTCGCAGAGTTAGGGGCGGGGTGGGAAGTGGAGAGAATAAGCACAGAGCAGCAGATGTGGTGCACAAAGAAGGAAGGTTCTGAAAAAAATTCCAGCAACAGCAAATCGAATATTAAAATATTTTGTGAGTAAACATTTATTGACATGAAAAGATGTCTGCTATATATAAAGTGAAAAATTTAGGTAACAAGATAACATGTGGATCATAAGCCCATTTTCATTGACAAATTAACCTCACATAGGTGTGTCTATCATCTGTTTATCAATCAATCATCTATCTATCATCTATACATTTTCTATCTATCAATGATCTATCAAGTTATAATGTAAGGTGTTACCAGTGGTTATTTTGGGGTATTGGAAACTGGGGTATTTTTATTTCCTTCTTACTGATTGGCAGTATTTTCTAATTCTTTTATAAATAACATGTATAGTCGTTTTAATAAGAAAAAAGTGTTATAATTAAAGAAAAAAGGCATTTATAGATAAATTTATAGGTCTTGTTTTGAAAGCGTATCTGTGTGTCACTAAGACTTACGAGGGGCATTTTCAAAATTCTTTTGAGTGAAGAATATTTCTTTTATTGGGAACACCTTTCCCATGGGCCCTTTTGCTGTCTGTGGGCCATCATGCTGTCTTTGTGGTCCTCACTATCCTTCACAGCTCCTGAGAGCAGAGTCTATGTCTTACTTGAGGGTCAATGGCTCTTTGATAATTTCCTTTTTTGCTTTGAATGATTGAATGAATAAGAAACTTTGAATAACATAATTTTAATATCACTGAGGCTGAATTTAATCACAGAAGGGATATCAATGAAAGGGCAACAAATGGGACAATAAGTGTAATTCTTAATTTTGGTTGGCGGAGGAGGAAAGCAAGAGGCAAGATCAGCAATGTGACCCTTTCTCTTCCAGATCACATGTGAAGAGAAAGTAATCCCAAATCTAGCTGAGGATCATTAAATGTAGTTCTGTTTCAGATGCTTTGGGATTTATGCTGAGAATACAGAGTTGAAAATGCAATTGTGAGTTTGGCGCTTTCTGGGAGGGCTAGGGACTCTAGGTGCACAAGAGGGAAGGGAGAGATCTTCTAGAGAAATGGCAAAATGAAGATTTTGAGAAAAATTGTTCAAGGGACCATAAAGGAAACTTTAAAAAACTATTTGCCATGGGCTATGTGTGAGAAAAAAGTATCTGTTAGAATTCAAGGAAGTCACCAACTCAAGGTTGGGTTAGATGCAAAGGGAACACAAGGAATCAGAGAGAAAGGCCTTCCTCTGCCATCAGAAGTGTGGCATGGGGCTGAGAACTAAAAAAACTGAAATACCAATGTAAGCCAATGGATGGAAGGGCGAGCTCCTACCTTCCTGCAATCTATTCCCTGAATAGCAAATACTGTTGCTCCCGGTAACCATCTGAGAAGCCTGCGTGACATTTAAAACAAAATTGAATCCCCTTCCCTTGGCATCCTTGCAAGGCTTTGTATGATGTGTCCCCACCCCACCTCCTGCCCCTTTTTTTTTCCTTAAGTGTCTGCTTCATGGACCTTCTTTCTGTTTCAAGAACAGCCCAGTCATTTTCCCTCCTTGAGGGATTGCGCTAGCTGTTCCCTCTGCTTGGAAACCACTGTCCTGGATCTTGGCTGGCTTGCCTCTTCTTGGTCTTTCAAGTCACAGCTGAATGTCACCCCCTCAGAGAGGATTTTCTCTATCATCCAACCTAAAATATATCACCAGCTACTTTCTGTCGTATCACTCTCTTTCTTTTCAGCAAAGCATTTATTATTACTTGGCATTTTTTTTTTCTTTTTTTTTGGGACGGAATCTTGCTCTGTCGCCCAGGCTGGAGTGTAGTGGTGCCATCTCGGCTCACTGCAAGCTCCGCCTCCCGGGTTCTTTTTATTATTATTATTATTATTATTATTATTATTATGCTTTAAGTTTTAGGGTACATGTGCACAACGTGCAGGTTAGTTACATATGTATACATGTGCCATGCTGGTGCGCTGCACCCACTAACTCGTCATCTAGCATTAGGTGTATCTCTCAATGCTATCCCTCCCCCCTCCCCCCACCCCACAACAGTCCCCAGAGTGTGATGTTCCCCTTCCTGTGTCCATGTGTTCTCATTGTTCAGTTCCCACCTATTAGTGAGAACATGCAATGTTTGGTTTTTTGTCCTTGCGATAGTTTGCTGAGAATGATGGTTTCCAACTTCATCCATGTCCCTACAAAGGACATGAACTCATCATTGCCATTCTCCTGCCTCAGCCTCCCGAGTAGCTGGGACTACAGGCGCCTGCCACCACGCCTGGCTAATTTTTTGTATTTTTAGTAGAGACGGGGTTTCACCTTGTTAGCCAGGATGGTCTGGATCTCCTGACCTCGTGATCCGCCCGCTTCGGCCTCCCAAAGTGCTGGGATTACAGGCATGAGCCACTGCGCCCGGCCGACATTTTCTTTCTTAAATTTACTTTTAAAAAAATCTCTGTTCTTCTGCTAGAATGTAAACCTCATGAATAAAGAGAGACACAGTCTGCTGTAATGTTTAGAATAGTCTCCAGCACTCAATAATATTGTAGAATGAATGAGCAAGTATACCCCAAGAACTCCGTATCTTTATATCTTTATTCCAGGAAGACTTCTGTGTCCCCTTAGGCTGATATAAGTATCTCTCTGTTTTACTTCCAGAGTAGTCTCTCTCTTTGAATGTAGTATCCAGATAAGTTGTAAACTTCTTCAACATAGGCAAAATGTCGTTCATTTTGCAACCTCAGTGCTCTTTTATGTGCCAGACACTACTGAGTGAATGAAGAATGAATGGATTAATAGGTGCAGCAGACCTGGTAAATTCTTAGGCATAGCCTCTGCAGTAGAAAATCTGGTCTTGTTGGGCAGGGAAGGAAAGGGGCAGGGGCATCCATCATGACATAAAAATTTTGTTTGAGGACTGTCTTGGGTCACATTTAAGAAAATAAATGGCTGGGCATGGTGGCTTATGCCTGTAATCCCAGCACTTTGCGAGGCCTAGGCAGACGGATCACCTGAGGTTGTGAGTTCGAGACCAGCCTGGCCAACATAGCAAAACCCCGTCTCTACTAAAAATACAAAAATTAGCTGGGTGTGGTGGTGCACACCTGTAATCCCAGCTATTTAGGAGGCTGAGCAGGAGATTTGCTTGAGTCCAGGAGTCAGAGGTTGCAGTGAGCCAAGATTGTGCCACTGCACTCCAGCCTGGGTGACAGAGCAAGACTCCATCTCAAAAAAGAAAAAAAAAAAAAGAAAAAAAAAAGGACAGAAACAAAAATAAGACTGAAAGGGCTATGAGATGAGTTGACAAAGAGGTAAAGTAATCAAGGTAACTTCTAGGATTAGAAATCTGGAATGTTGATTTTAGAAGTCTCTGCGCTTAGCCTAACTCCAGTCTCCAACTTTTATTAAATATGAAGGCCATCCTCCTATTCTGCCATCTTGGAGATCTGATTAAATATAAAATTCTTGACCAAGAGAGAAAGAAAGTATATGGAACCTCAAGAGATCGCAAAAGGGATATATTTGAAATAGGAGAAGGGAGAATAATTAGAAAATATTCCACTGGGTGACATAGCATTCTCTTCTATCTTTACACTTCAGTGGATTCCTGAAGTTTCAAGATTTAGCTGTCATTGAGCATATTAATGGCCCAGGGAAGCTGGCAGTTCATTTATTTTATGATAACTTTTGAATTTCACTAGGTAATTTTCACAGAATGAAATTCCTGCTATTCAATTTCTATGAAGGGTTAAGGGATTTGGGGGCTTATTAACATGGTGGAAAGCAAGATGTCCCACATGGTATGCCCTCTTCCAGATAACCGGTCCTCTTCTCTGAGACGTAAGACCATGCATTTCTGATTCACAGGATATTTATTAGCAAACTATTTATTAAAATCTGTTCTATGGGTCAACAGTTCCATGAGATGCTCCACGAACAAAGGATTCTCTAAAATTAGTTTGCAGAATGCCACTTACTCTCTGTGTCTTCTTGAAGATTTACAATTTACATTAGCATAGAAAAGGCTCTGAGAAGACCTACAGTAAAAAAAAAAATCCTGCCAATTTGACTGTGCAGCTAGCTGTGTGTGTGTGCGCAAGCACACGCTACTAACACCCATGAGAAAATCGCATGGTAGAGAAAATATTATGGAGATTGGACTGAGACGCACCTGGGTTTGAATTTACTTTTTGCTATTCACTTCTGTGTGACTCAGGAGAACTGATTTAATCTCCCCAAGTTCCTGTTTCTTTTTGAAAATTGGGTATAATACTTTGCCTCGTAACTTTGTTGTGATTATTAAATGAGGTCAGGCATATTCTAGTGTCTGACTTAGAGCACTGAATGTAAGTACTTAATAGGACTGGTGACCAGCATGTGAACAACTGTTTAGATGATGTCATGGTAAGTATGTGTGGGATACAAAACAGATTAAAATACTCAAACTTACACCAAAGATATTCACTATGTATCAGGTATTTACAAAATATTTATAGACCTCTGGGCCCACCTTGTGCCAGGCACCTGGGATGCAACCTTGCAGAGCCCCATGGAGCTTGCTGGCTTGCTCTGGGTGGTATTTGTGTTTACATGGCCTATTTCCTGCTATAACTTGTTCCCTAGCCTCATGCCTAGGGGCCATCATTTTGACATTAGAAATAACTTTTTGTTTCCCATGTTCTCTCTTCAGGTGTAAGTTCCTGAGGGAGATATTTTGCTGCTGGAGTGTCTCTCTCTCCAAGTACTCCTGCAAGCTGAATGCATAAAAATTAAGGAAAGTCTCATGGGTGACAGTCAAGTGTTTAGGAACTTGGTGGGGAGAGGAACTGAATGGCAGTGAGGACACTGCTTATAGAGCATCAAGGAAACTATAAAGCAAACATTACACTTCGGCTTCCTCTTCTATCAGGGAAAGAGAGAAGCGCCCTTCCTAAATTTTGGAGAGAGCATTTATAATGATACTCTTAAAGGATAATGTTTAGGAATGCTTAGTTACGGTTTGAAAAATGATTTCAGGATATAAGGATGGCAAGTATTATGGAAATAATTGTTAAGTGTCCTTCCTTGTACATTTTCCTCAGATTTGTTTGAATGCTTCTATTTGCATTTATGTGGAGAGTAATGACAAATGTTGAAAATCGTCGATAAAATACCTGAGAAGATTTTCAAGTTTTTTGAATGATTTCAAAGATGGAAAATGTATTTTTTGTGTGTGTGTGAAAACTCTTTAGCTTCTTTATGCATATGTTTAAAAAATAGGGGTGTTTTATGAATCATTTGGAACAGAGAATGCTTTCCTGAGCCCCAGGCATGCAGCAGTCAGTAGCTCCTATCTGCAGCACAAACTTTGATGGCAAAGAGTTTTCACTCAGAAGACTTAAGGGGCCTTGCAGGTAAAAGAAAGAAAATATCAGCTCTGTGACTGCAGAGGGACAATTTCCTATCCTGAGAAGTGACCTTGAAATGCCATTCAAAGCGCCTATGAGGGATGCATGGCTCATTCTGGCTGGAGAACATGTGTGCTTGGAAATGAACTGCCCTCTTGGGTTGAGCCTGCTTTCTAGTAGGGGGACACTAATGCATTTTAATAGTATTGCCCACACTAGGGTTAGTTGATAAAAAAGAACAGCTATTTCTAAGCTGATTTTCAGTCTTTTTAAAAAATTTCAACTTTATTTTAGATAAAGGGGTACACGTGCAGGTTTGTTACATGAGGATAATGAGTGATGCTGAGGTTTGGAGTACGGATCCTGTCAGCCAGGTAGTAAGCACAGTACCCATATGTAGTTTTTTTTTTTTTTTTTTTTTTTTTTTTTTTTAAGACAGAGTCTTGCTTTGTTGCCCAGGCTGGAGTGCAGTGGTGTGATCTCAGCTCACTGCAACCTCTGCCTCCTGGGTTCAAGCAATTCTCCTGCCTCAGCCTCCTGAGTAGTTGGGACTACAGGTGTGAACCACCATACCAGGCTGATTTTTGTATTTTTAGGAGAGATGGGGTTTCACCATGTTGGCCAGGCTGGTCTCGAACTCCTGACCTCAAGTGATCCACCCGCCTCAGCCTCCCAAAGTGCTGGGATTACAGGTGTGAACACCACTGAACCTGGGTCAATATGTAGTTTTTAACCCACTCTTCACTCCCTCCATCCTCTAGTAGTCCACAGCGTCTATTTATCCCGTATTGATGTCAAAGTGTGCTCCATGTTTAGCTCTCACTTACAAGTGAGAAATGCAGTAGTGGATTTTCTGTTCCTGTGTTAATTTGTTTAGGATTATGACCTCCAGCTCCATCCACGTTGCTTCAAAGGACATGATTTCAATTTTTTTGTCCTGCAAAATGATGTTTCCTTTTGAGGCTTGGTTCTTAGAAAGACTGTGGTTGAACCAAGTGGGAGTGAGATGGGGAATCAGATCATCTGCTTATAAAAATGGACATTTATTGAGGCATCACTCTAAGCCAGGAACGGTACAAAATGCTTCAAGTTCATTTTCCCTCTTAATTTATATTTTAACTCTGTGACAGATTACTTCCGTTTACAGATGATCTCCAATTTACTGAGATTTAGAGAGGTAAAGTGAATTATCCAAAGTCACAAAGCTAGTAAGAAATGGAACTGGAGTTTGAACCCAGGTCTGTTTGTCTTGAAACCCTGTTCTCCTTTTAATAGACTGCATTTCACAATGCCAACATAGCAATTACTACCACCATTAACTGCCATTACCACCACAAGCAACAACTAATATCGATTAAGCTCTTACTGTATGCCAGATGTTGTGCTGAATTGTCTCACTTAATCCCCACAACTAGACTTTGAGATATTATTCTGGTAGAGTCTCCATTTAGGGATGCAAAAACTGAGGCACAGAGAGGGTAAGTAACTCAACCCAAGTCACACAACTAGCAAGTGGTGGAAGCAAGCTTGGAGCCTAGATGGAGAGACTTTTGGCCCTGTCCTCAGTCACTACATTACTTCTTGGTTAAGAATTTCAGTGTGTCAATGAATTCTGTAGACACGGCCTGAAGAGGAGAAGCTGGGGACATCTGTTAGTTTTCTAGGGCTGCCATAATAAAGTGCCACAGACTGCATGGCTTAAACAACAGAAATTTGTCTCTCAATTCTGGAGCCTGGATGTCTGAGATCAAGGTGTTGGCAGGATTGGTTTCTTCTGAGGGCTGTGAGGGCCTTCCTCCTTGACTTGTAGATGGCCACCTTCACATTCACATGACATTCACTCTGTCTATGTCTCTTCAAATGTCCTCTCTGTATAAAGACACAGGGTAGTCTAACTCTGAATTACCACAAGTATCATTCACACGCTCATTCATTTACATATTCATCAAATTTTCAAAGGGTGCCTTCACTATTCTGGATTCTGTGGTATCAGTTGGGAGCAAGTGAAATCAAAGTCATTGTTTTTGTCCTCAAGGCAAGCATATATGTTAAACCTTTGCAAATTCCAAGGAGAAAATTCACTATTGTGAGTCTGTAGTGCCCTCCAACCTCTATGGCAATATCCCTGAATATGCAGAAAAATCACTGGGAGCATGAATAAATAAAACCATTTTGGTACTCAATTTGTATTAATTATCTGATGCCCGTGGAGGCAATTCTTGAGAAACAATTTAGGACCTCGAACAAGAAACGTTTTGAGCTGAGGGAATGGTGATTCTATTCTTTCCAGGGAGTGGTGCTCTCAGGAGATTAGGGCTGTGTCCATCCTCATCTCCTCCTTGCTTCTGTCCCTGCACCTGCTACTCCTCTCATCCTTGGCATGTCTCAAGATCAAGGAAGACATCTTGGAGTTAAAAAAAGAGTTCCACAATCTTTCTTCCCAGATACAGCTCTAAAGGCTCCCCCAAAATCCTTAAGAGGCTTAGCTTTGGATCACTTTAGCTGTCACTGGAGGGCTCAGAATGGACTTTGACTGCCAGGAGCTACCCTCTAGATGTGATGGCAAGAGACAAATAAGCTATTGTTATTAGATGGCAAAAGGATGTAGAGGCTCTCTGAAGACATGAATCGTCCTGAGATGCCACCGGGAACAACTAGGAAAGGACATTAGGGGAAGTGAGGGTTGTGGAGAATGACCCATGGGGTCATTCAGTTGATGGGAAGTGACTCTTCTCCCCAACATTGGAGAGTGTTGGGCTTTTCATGGAGCTCACTAGGGATTGGGACAAGAAACATATACACTCCAGATGGGGGCTTAAGCCAATCACAGCACCAGTTGCAAAGTCCCTAAACAGTAACTCAACATGCAGTTTTTCTTAAGCACACGGACTCAGTCTTTTGAAAGAGGGATCTCATCACACAGCAGTATGCTTCTGGATACCTCTCCATCCCCAGCCGCGTTTCTCCCCAGCACCACTTTGCTTTCGTTTATGTTTAAATTACTACCAGCTAGTGGAGCCAAAGATCTACACACAAACCCTCGAAGGAAAATGACATTTTTTTTTCTTCCTGAGCTAGGATAGACAATAAGAACTAACAAAGGGTGAAAGATTTTCGTATGTGAAAAGATACGTATGTGAAGATACGTATGTGAAAAGATACGTGTGAAGATACGTATGTGAAGATACGTATGTGAAAAGATACGTATGTGAAGATACATATGTGAAGATACGTATGTGAAGGTTTTGGTTAAGTGTATCTATTAAATACAAAGAGGATGCTATACTTGAAACATTGTGGTCTATTTTTACTTAATAAATTAACCCACCTGTTTTGGTCTTTTAAAAATTAACATCAATGACAAAGCTAGGTTTCATTTGTAATTTCTTTGGAAGGCAACTGAAAATTATAGAGGTAGAATTTAATCTCCCCCTTTTGGGAATTATCTGAGTGACAGCAGTTTAGGAATAGGGTGTGGTGTGGGCTTCCAGGAAAGAGGAGCATATTTGTCTTCCTTTGTTCACAGGCTGCTCTCTCAAGAGAAGTGACTGACACTTTGTTTACCTAGGAGAAGTAGTTGTCCACAGACATAGTTTCTAGGGAAGAGCTCAAACCTGTAATTTTTCAGTTTGTAAAAACTCCATTTCAGCAGGAAGGATGAGGGTCTCTCCATTTTGCCCATTCCATGACTGAATTTGGATGGCATTGCACTCATTGGGAAGCCAGATTCTTCCTCTGCCATTTGTCCTAGTGTGGCCTAGTTTTACATCAGGGAGGATGGTTTACAGAGCTCAGGAGCTGCCTTGCTGGGACACAGCTTGAACCCAGACACTTCTGAGCCTCCTTCTTGAGATGATTGAGTGCTTAAATGCTAGGTAGGGGGACTGGCTATTTTTGTGTTGCTTGTGCACTTGAAAGGCATAATTGCTCCCATTTTGATACCACTATACACAATGGCGGGTGTTTGTTAGCTTGGATTCCACTTTCTTTGGAACCTGCCCTTGATTCTTTCAGTTTGGGGTTGGTGCCCCTTTTAGGTATTTCCAGAGTGTCCCATACTTCCCCTAGCACTATATTTATTCCACTTTGTGCCTGACTTTTTAAGTTGAAATCACACTGTTTTTTTTTTGTTGTTGTTGTTGTTTTTAGTTTACTGCAACTTCATTTGTTGTGTGTGTGTGTGTGTAAGTTCTGGGATACATGTGCAGAACATGTAGGTTTGTTACATAGGTATACATGTACCATGGTGGTTGGCTGCACCTATCAACCCATCATCTAGGTTTTAAGCCCCGCATGCATTAAATATTTGTCCTAATGCTCTCCTTCCCATTGCTCCCCACCCCTCAACAAGCTCTGGTGTGTGATGTTCCCCTCCCTGTGTCCATGTGTTCTCATTGTTCAACACTCACTTACGAGTGAGAACATGCGGTGTTTGGTTTTCTGTTCCTGTGTTAGTTGGCTGAGAATTATGTCTTCCAGCTTCATCCATGTCCCTGTAAAGGACATCAACTCATTCTTTTTTATGGCTGCATAATATTCCATGATGTATATGTGTCACATTTTCTTTATCCAGTCTATCATAGATGGACATTTGGGTTGGTTCCAAGTCTTTCCTATTGTAAATAGTGCTGCAATAAACATATGTGTGCATGTGTCTTTATAGTAGAATGATTTATAATCCTTTGGGTATATACCCAGTAATGAGATTGCTGGGCCAAATGGTATTTCTGGTTCTAGGTCCTTGAGGAATCACCACACTGTCTTCCACAATGGTTGAACTAATTTACACTCCCAACAGTGTAAAAGCATTCCTATTTCTGCACAGCCTCACCAGCAATTGTTGTTTTCTGACTTTTTAATAATCACCGTTCTAACTGGTGTGAGATGGTATCTCATTGTGGTTTTGATTTGCATTTCTCTAATGATGAGTGATGATGAGCCTTTTTTCATGTTTGTTGGCCACGTACATGTCTTCCTTTGAGAAGTGTCTGTTCATATCCTTTGCCCAGTTTTTGATGGGGTTGTTTGTTTTTTTCTTGTAAATTCGTTTAAGTTCCTTGTAGATTCTGGATATTAGACCTTTGTCAGATGGGTAGATTACAAAAATTTTCTCCCATTCTGTAGGTTGCCTGTTCACCTTGTGGGTGGTCAATTGTATTTGATACACTGGTTCCAATGGGATATCTTCATGAGTCGGCCTCCACCAAGGATTTGGAATCCTTGAATGCACAAATGTGTACTTCTAATATTTAAATCAAGTCAGGCACAGGGACTGGAATGAGGTTTTCTTTTGCTGAATCACACTGATTTTTAAGTATGATGAGTAATTGAACTCATCCAGATATATATTTTATTGAACGAGTCTTTATTAGTGATTGCTATGTGCCAGGCACTGTGCTCACGACTGAGGATTCAGAGGTAGATATTTATTCAAACGAAATAAGAGATTGTGAGGGTAAAAAGGAGAGCTCTCTTTTAAACTCATCTCTCCCTCAAGTTGTACTCCTTTAAAATAACTTACTTTTAGTAATTTAGAGCAGAGTTTGGCAAACTACAACCTGAGGACCAAATCAATTTTTGTAAATAAAGTTTTATTGGAACACAGATATACTCTTTTGTTTACATATGAACTCTATGGTTGCTTTCATACTATAACCACAGAATCAAGTAGTTGTGATAGCAACTGTATGGCCCACAAAGCTGAAAATATTTACTATCTAGTCTTTTGCAGGACAAGGTTTGCTTACCACTGAGTTAGTGAATAGATTACCAAAACTTTTTTGTGTGTTTTTTATATATGCATATATGGTAATGTTTTGGCTTGTGTATTTTTACTTAAATGAGATCATGTTATATGTATTATTTTGTAATTTGCCCCTTTTTTTCTAGTTGCTTGTGTAATTGTCTGTCTCCCAAACAAAGGAAATAGAGAACCTGTTCCTGCTTCCATTTCAGCCCTTACTTAGCATGGTGTCTGGTGCATTGTGGGTGCTCCATAAATATTTGTTGAACAACTACATGAAAAGCATATTGTTATTTTTATTAAAGTTTCAAAGTTGTAAATTGTTTACTTAAAAATAATTCACAGCATACTCGAGGTTATTCATATTATAATATTCTTCTTCCTCTCATGTTTCATTGTGATTTCTTCGAATGAGAGAGAAATGGAAACAATTTCCTCTTGTCTCTGGAGAATTGTGCAAGGACATGTCTCACAGGTGTGTACCACCTGTTAAGTAGATTGGGGTGGAAGACAGGTTGACAGCTGTTTATTCTTGGGAGCACCGTGATTTTCATTTGGCCTGATAAGCTCTTTGTTGAAGTGTAAATGAATGCAGGTAGCCCCGTCTTCAATTGGTAATTTTGGATTTCATGGTTTGAGTACAAGAATTATACTAGTCCAATGCCCATGGCATTACAACATGTAGCTATACTGCTCATAAGTGTATCTCTTTTATTAATATTTTGTAGCTTACACTTTTGCTGAGGGATATTCTCCACTAGACAGTATGAATCATGTATTTAGCTATTCATAGGGATTTTTATTTTCACTAAAGGTGGAGGAGGGCTGCTTTTTTTAATCAAATGTGTGTGTGTGTGTTTGTGTTTGTGTGTGTGTGTGTATATTTTCCCCATAGTTATGGCACATCCATTTCCCTGGATATTGAGGAGATGGTTTCAGGGCGGCTTTATTTTATTTCAATGGCTTTGTTTTCTTTTTGTATCCTTTCCCCTCATGCCTCAAACCCTCCTCATCTCACTTTGGCAAAACATGAGGTGCAATTAGAGTAAACATGTTGCCAGGGTGAGGTGAGCTATGTGGGCACCTGAGAGCCTACCTGCTGAAGTCTCAAATTTCTGTGTGGGCGAAACATGTGTACATTTCTCATCATCCAGCCAGTGCTTGCTGTTGATCTTCCTCTCTTCCAGGCATTTATTTGGTTTGGAGGCATGAAGTCGATCTCAGGAGACAAACTGGTTCTGGGCAAAATCTTCCTCAGCACCTGGGAGTCTGAGTGGGACTGTGGCTGCCTGGTGAAGCCTGCTTCCTCCTTTTTGTTTTTTGTTTTTGTCTTTGTTATCCCTCTCCTAGTGAGCACTCTTGGGTGGCCACTGCACAAAATGAATGCTTGTAGTTACAGAGATAGAGATCTATGTTAGTCTATTCTCACACTGCTAGTAAAGACATACCCAAGACTGGGTAATTTATAAAGGAAAGGTTTAATTGACTCACAGTTCCACATGGCTGCGGAGGCCTTACCATCATGGTGGAAGGCAAAAGAGGAGCAGTCACGTCTTACATGGTGACAGGGAAGAGAGATTGTGCAGGGAACTACCATTTTATAATCTGACGGTTATAAAACCATCAGATCTGGTGAGACTTATTCACCATCACAAGAACAGCACAGGAAAGAGCCACCCCCATGATTCAATTACCTCCCACTGGGTCCCTCCCACGACATGTGGGAGTTATGGGAGCTACAATTCAAGATGAGATTTGGGTGGGGACACAGCCACACCATATCAAGACCCTTTCAAATCATCTCAAGAAAAGCTATTTATTGTGAGGGTACTGCTGAACTGGAACCCAAAGTGGGAAGGTGGGAGACACAATTCTAGTGATCATTTACTCATTTGCTCTCTCTTCCTCATGGGGTCAGCCTCTTTCTGCTTGTCTATGTAGTTCTTTTTATACCCATCTTCCTCTGCTGTTCTATATCTTCACATTGCCATGCCCATCATGCTTTCCCTCCCAGCCTCTTTCAATTTCTGTTTTATAAACCTAATTTTCATCTACCACACTGAGGAATACAACATATTTTCATCAGTGGCAGTGATTCCTGCCTCCTGAAATCTCTGCATTCTGTACAAATAGGTTGAGAGAACCCCTCAGGTTGTTCTGATAAATTCTCTTCATGTAGAGTACAACTCCTTAGTTGAGAGTCATTGCTTCTTCTTTTGACTATTTTTATCTTCTTCCATTGAAACTCATTTAATTTTTTTTTTGTGTGTCTCAAACTTTAATGCACATAACAGTGTCAACTGAAGAATCATGAGATCTATAACTTTGGAAAGAAGATGCTATTTCTTATACAAAGTTACGGCTTGCAGGGTGGCCATCCTGACAGTCTGGGAAATGTAGCTGCTGGCAGAGCTTTCAAGGGAGGGGAGGGTGAAACGGGGATCTATGCTAAATTAGTTGGCCAAGTATACATATTCAACAGGTTATAGGAGGAGCTGTGAATATTCACGAAAGGGGTCCTGAAGCATGCCGACAGAATAAATCTGAATGTTACATATGACCCATGTTCACTTTGGGGTGGAGACTTAACATTTAAATGCATTACAATAAGGCCCTATACATCAGAAGGTGAAGCAAGGACATGAAGGAATCCAATAAGCATTCTCTGTAAACCAGCCAGAACAAGACTGTGGTCCATGGTCTCGTATCAGGAGAAAGTTACTGAAATCAGTCTCTTGTCCAAGAAACCTGAACTTATGGCTTGTGGAACAGGGAAGGGGGACAGTTAGTCAAGTTCTGATGGTGGGTGAGCTGCAATTGTCTCAATATTGTTTGTCTCAGGGCCAGTGCTGGTTTAGCTGCTGGAGGAAAATGAAAACCTTCTGACAGTTAGAACATAGCTTGTTCTTTAAGTGTAGGGATGCGTGACTTAACCATTGCCTGGCATGGCCCTAGGTCCTGTTTATAATTTGGTGTCTTATAGCCACGACGAGTCTGTTCTGTCAGTCTTATAATCTCTAGTATAACATTAATGCTGGTCAGTTGTGTCTAAACAACTAAAGGGTGGGAATATAATGAGGTGTGTCTGATTTCCCATCCTTTCATGGCAGGGAACTCAGGTTTTACAGTTTCTCTGGGATTCCCTTGGCCAAGAAAGGGGTTCGTTCAGTCAGTTGAAGGGCTTAGGATTTTTAATTTTCACCAGTCATCTGGAGATCTTGTGAAAATGCTGATACTCATTCACCAACTCTAGGTTGGGGCAGAATATTCTGTGCTTCTAGCAAGTTTGCAGGTGATTCCGATACTGCTGGTTGATGAACAACATTTTGAGTAGTGAGGCTCTAAAGCCGTGGTCCTCAAACCTCAGTGTCTGTCAGAATCATATGGAGGGTTTGTCCAAATGCAGATTGCTGGGTACAGCCACCAGCATTTCTGATCTGGCAGGCCTGGAGTGGAGCCCAAGAATCTGTATTTCTAACAAGTTCCCAAGAAATGCTGATGCTGCTACTTTGGGGACCCCACTTGGGGAGAACCACTACTCTAAAGCTGTGATGTTCAACCTTGGCTTCATGTTAGAGTCAACAAGAGAGCTTTACAAAATATGCATGCCAGCTCACCTCCCCTCAGTTTGATTTAACTGGCCTGAGGTGGAGCCTGATAACTATATATTTAAAGAGTTGATTCTAATCTGTACCCTGGGAGAGAAAGCCCAGAGAATTTAATTGGTCCAGTTGACCCTTTTTCTTAACCAGTCCATAAATTGACTGTCCGAGATCAAGTTCTTGTTTGTGTTCTAAACAGCTGCAGTCAGGAAGGGTTCATGTGGGGTAAGTGTAGGCTCTTAGGCTAAAAAAAAATCTGTGAGTGGTCTGGTTGCTGTTAACAGAAGCCAGAGCAGAAAGATGGCTGATGTTTGCAGCCCATTGAAGATAATGATACCTAATTCAGGGGACTAATGTAAAGGATTCAATGTAGTTGATATGGGCTTGGCATAGAGTAAACATTTAAGCACTTATAATAGCAGGGGCAGCTCTAGTCATAGGAGTTACAGTGGTTGCTATTTTTACTTAAGTCTTGGAGTCCATGGGAGATATCCTGAAGGTTACCACAGATAGCCTTTCTATCACTAGTAGTAAAGCAAATATTCCCACTGCCCTACACCTTCAGTCTTTATGCTGACTTCATTCTGTTACTGGTCTGTGAGTTTCTTGGTTCTAGGGGCCACATCTCACTTACCTCAGCATCCTGGCCATCTCACTGCTTCCATTAGGATCTGGCGCATAGGTACGCCTAACACAAAGGTGAAGGAATGAAAGACACACACACAGACAGTGCTAGGTAAACCTCATGTGATGAAGTTGCTGTTTGTGCAGCTGTAATTTAATATCAGCCCCCATCTCAGCCTCAAGGAGGGGATCTTTGGGGATTTGCTTGCATCCCTGGGGAATTGCTCAACAATTTCTAGACAGTTCTTGTTGGAATTGAGAAGGTAAGAGATTTAATACAACCACCTGATTTTACAGATAGAGATGCTGAAGCCCAGAGAGTAAAGAAACATTTACCTCTGGTGTTCAATTATATTATAAATCATCCAGCGTCCTAATATGAGCTAGCAATACAGTTACAGGGGGCAGAAACTTGCAAATTTTGCTTTCTTTTTCATTCATACCTGGTAAGTGCTGCAAGGCAGGATAATAGTTTTTACCTATGCTAGGCATTGTGCTTTATGTGTTATTTTGTTGTCACAGTAACCTTATAGTTTGGTGCTTTTATTAACCTCAATTCATGAATAAGTAAAGCAAAACTAAGAGAAACTAAGATTTATCCACCGTCTCACTGATAGTAAGTGCCACAGCCCAAGAAGTCTGACTGCAGAGCCCATGTTCTTCACCAATGCATGTTCTCCTTATACTTTGAATGAGGTCATTTAGAGCACAACCTTCGAAAGAGGCTTGATGCGTGAAAAGTGGGCAAAATCCCACATTTAGTTTCTAGTGTAGCCTGCCTTCTTCATCGTACCTGGATGGACAAGGATTATAAAGACCTTACAGGACCAGGACAAGATGGCATTCCTGACTTCCTAGGTCAGCGAGTGAATGAAGCAAGCTCCTTGCACTTGCTCTCCTTGCTCCACTCCCCTTGTGATGTTGTCCTTGCAAAATGGTAGCAGTGAAAAGAAGGGGCTTGGTGACTTCTTATAATTTTGAAGCTCATAAAATATTTGTGAAAGCTTTTCTCGGAGTCATACTTGAAATATTTCTCAATGGCCTGAATCGCAACATGGGGCCGCTAGTATTTCTTGAAAGAAATTGTGTTTCTTCCAGTCCGACTTTCTTTATGTTAATTTGTCTTAATTGATGTTACACCCAGGATCCTGAGGGGCATGAGTGAAGAGGGTCAGGTTGGCTGTTACATGGTTCAATTTCAATTGCTTCTCAGAATCTCTGGCATTTCCTGTGGTCACTCAATAACAGATGAACTTTGTGGCATCTGTCTTTATAGTCCTGTGGCTTGAAATGGAACGTTGCTGGTGGAGGAAATACAGCTAGAGGGAGGACAATGAGAAAGAACACAGTGAGAGGACAAAGATTCCAAAAGTATTCTAACACACATGAATAAGCTAGTCCTTCCTCTTCTTTATATTCATTTGGGAGTTTAAATAGATTACAAAAGGACTAAGCCTTCAAATTGGACCTGGGGCCACACAGGCTTTATCAGATTCATTTTACTCCTTTTGATTCAAGGGTAGGCATTGTGTTTTATGTGCCTAAATGAAGGCATTCCCTCCTCCTGGTGATTAGTTGGCTGCCAGGAGAGTGTGCAGAAAGGGTTTGCAGTCCCAGGAGCCCCAGAAAGCTGCCTTCAATAGCTTTTATACTCTCATTTGATTTATTTGACATTTGGTTGTTGAAGATGATTTATTTTCCCTGGGTTGTTTTCATTATCTCAGGCACATTAGAGGGGGAGAATTTAGAGGCTGGGAAATAGGAGGAAAGCAGTTCCTTAGGTCCTAGCCACTTAAAGTGAGGTGTATTGGGCCAGAACATTGCCTAGGAGTTTGTTACAAATGGAGAATCTCTGGTCCCTGCCTAGAACCACTGAGCGAGAATCTGCATTTTCGCAAGATGCCCTGGTGATTTATATGCACATTGCAGCTTGAGAAGCACTGCTCTAGAATGCCTCCTGCTGGTCTTTGAGATGCTGAGGGAGGGCTGCAAGCTGAACTGGCCTAAGGTGTGTTTTGCCAGAGTGGTATAATTTTTTAACACTTGCACCTAGCGCAGAACCCGGCATGTCTTTCTTCTCTTGGTCATTGCTACATCATCCATTAAGAGCACTGACAATTGAGTGGTTACTCTGTGCCATGCACACTTCTAAATGCTTTACAAGGGCTACCTCATTTAATCTGCAGAATAACTCTGAAGAAAAACTGTTATTCTCTCTATTTTATAGATGCGAACATGGAGATAAGAGAGATGGATCAAATATTTTTTTGGCCAATGGAACTGACATTGAAGAGCTGACCTTAGGGAGACAGCATGAGAATAATGGAAAGAGATTAGGCTTTGATGTTGGGTAGAGACTAGTTTAATTTTGATTCGTTTTGCACATGAGGAAGATAATCTTCAGGGTATTATTACACACCTCATAGGTTATTATGAGGGTGAAGTGCAATAACATATGTAGAGGTTCTAGTAGAATTCCTAGAACATAGTAGGCACTCAATAAATGTCTTTTCTTCTCTTTTGCTCTTTCCTCCCTGTTCTTTCTCTTTCCTTCCCTTCCATTCGCCTACCCCATGGCACTCTCGTGCTAGCTAACTCTGGTCCAACATTTATGTCCTAAGGACTGGTGCCTGGAAACCCCCAGGTGAGTGGGGATGAGGTTTTATGATGCACTTATCTTCTTAAACGTACAGCTTAGAAAGGGCTGTAATATGAGGGCTTAAATCAGTTGTCAGTTGGTTAATAAGCATCTGTACTTTAAGTACTCAGTTTAAAGAATTCCTTGGGTCGAGGTCTGTGCCGTAAGAGAATTTAGATTCTGATCTGTACTGAAAGCAAGTGCCTTTAGGTGAAATATGTGGGAACATATACAGATTCAGTACCCTACCTGGAGTGTGGCTGAGTTAAAGTTCATCTCTATTAACTGCCATCTTTATGACCTAATACCATCTAATACCATTTGAGAATGAAACAGGGTAGGGTCAAGTACACAGAGGCCAAATTGCCTGGCTCTGATTCTTGGTGTTGGTGCTAGCTGTTTGAAACTGAAGAGTTGTGTACATAATCTCTGTGCCTCAATCTACTCATCTGTAACATGGGAATAATTAAACCTACTTCATAGGTTATTGTGAGAATTAAATGAGCTGATGCATGTACAGCTCTTAGAACAGGCCTGGCCCATAAGAAGGGCTTAGGTAGGTGGTTGTTTCCATTGTACTTGACCAATCTGAGACTCCATTTTCTTACCCGTGTAACAGGGATAATCCAGTCTGCCATATGGCATGAAGATTAAATGTGGCCACAGAATGGGTCTAGCACAGTGCCTTATATGAGCAGGCACTTGGCTCATGTTTGTTCTGCTGAACTAGTGTGACACACAGGGTATTGTTTTGAAAAGTTAGCCACGTGCTTGTGCTCTGTATTTATGTGTATAATTTGGTGGTATCAAGCTGTAGATTTTTCTGAGATCTAATTTAATTATTCATTGATCTTATTATATGAATAACAGGAGAGTTTGATGTCATATGAGCTAAAAACTACATAATGAAGTAATTATACTACTAATAGTAATAATAATGAAACAGGTTGGGATGTTTCCAGAATTCTCCTTGGAGAACTCCCTCTCCTCTCTAAGGGTGGTGGTAGGGCAGATGTTGTCTGAAATGTCATTTAGATAAGGAGATGCATCCATGGCAACTAATGAGACTGCAGACAGGCTGGTAAGACTCAACTGGCAGTGGGTCAGGTAATAAAACAACGGAAATGACATTCTTTAAGTGCTCTCCTGACAATCATCAGCTAAACCTGGCATCCAAACTGCCCCAGGTGAGAGGTGATCATAGTGGATCTATGCAGCTAATTTATTTATAGTACTGGGATGCATTATGACAACATCAACTGTTACCTTGTAAGCATTCTGAGAAGTGGGAAGGCACAGAATAACATTTTTCTTATTTCATGGATTGGCAAGGCTGTTCCCAGGAAATATTGTGGAGTGGAACTTGGTGCCTGTCTTGCTGTCTTGCTGTTCAGCCCTCTATGGTTGCCTTCTCCTGGTTACCTCCCATGAGGTTTCTCTCTTTGTCTGTCTGAAGCTCTTTCCTTTGGGGGTTCTTCTTTTTACCTAGTTCTCAAGATGAAGAGTGTAGATGATAAATTATATAGCTTAATATGCTATTTCTTACGCTTGAGAGTATTTGCATGATAAGGTTTTTTATAGACTGAAAAATTTGTATCTGGAAGAGCAGGGTTTGAGGACCACCTGGTGCAAGTTGCCTCAATATCCATAGGAAAAACCTGTGGTTTTGGTGCAGGAGAAAGCACCGTTTTCCTCAAAGTACATTTTATTTATCTGCAGAGCCTGCTGTAGTTTCCAGTTATTGTCTTGGCTCTGAGAAAAGCAGACTTTGCTCCACATGAGCTGCTCTTTGTCCTTGCTCTCTTGCTCCAGTAGTTCTTGAGTTTCAATTTGGTTTTTCCTTTCTGCTCAGCTTAGCCTGCCAGTGGCTCGCCCAGGCTCCCTATAGCTGCACAATTGGGTCTGAAGACATAAGGGATTACCAAACTCATCTTAAATAAAGCAGTCTCAAACTGTCTTGAGTACCTCAAACTATGTCTTGTCCCACAACATCTACATATAGCTACATAGAGTCAGTTAGTTAAAAATATACTTATAATGGCTGGGTGCAGTGGCTCATGCCTGTAATCTCAACATTTTAGGAGGCTGAGGCAGGAGGATCACTTGAGGCCAAGAGTTTGAGACCAGCCTGGTCAACATAGCCAGAGCCCATCTCTACAAAAAATAGAAAAAAAACTAGCTGGGTGTAGTGGCATAGACCTGTAGTCCGAGCTACTCAGGAGGCTGAGATAGGAGGATCCCTTGAGCCCAGGAGTTCGAGGCTGCAGAGAGCTAAGATGATGTCATTGCACTCCAGCTGAGGCAACAGAACGAGACCCCATCTCTCTCTTTCTCCACACATACTCTCTCTCTCTCTCCATCTTAGGTATTTGCCATTTTTAGTCAAATGCAAGTTTGTGCCTTGGGATTCTTATTGTACATTTGTATGAGTACACTTTAGAGTTGGAAATAAGTTAGGCCCATGGCTCCCAAACCTAGTCATCTGGCCCTACTCCAGCCCCACCGAATCCTACTCTTTGGTGGTTAGAGCCCAGGAATCACAGGAACAACATCATCAACAACAAAAACTCTGTACATGATACTTATACAGCCATCCAGCCTCTAGTCCAAGAACCAGCACTTGGGAACTAGTTCAACACTTTTAAATTGATCACCGTTGAAACTTATGCCCAAGAAACTTCGCTAGCATCACAGGGCAAGCCTGCAAGCAAATTACATACATATCTGGCTTCATGATTATCTTAAGCCTTCTCTTTGAAGGGACCATTTAAGGAGTGTTGATAGACGGACTGTGCTTTTACCATGTTTCTTCTTTAAGCAGCTGAGTAGCAACTTTCCCTGCAATTGCCTCATCCTGTTCCATCAATACTGGCTTTTAATTTTATAGTGACCTATTGGGCCTACTTTTTATTTAAATGGCTCTCTATTATGGTTAAAAAGTACTTCACTTTTGCTTAATTTCCAAATCAAGTGTGCATAAATAATTTATTTACTCAATGGTGCACTCAGATAATTTTTTTTAATTTTTGCACTCAGATAATTTTTTGAAATTGTCCTGTGTAACTTTATTAAGGGCAGAAGCTGGAATGCTAATTGTCTGATTGGAAAAAAAATACAAGGAAGTATATATTATTAAACCATTCAAGTGGTAAATGGCATTGCCTCCCCCAAAGTCCTAATCACTGTTTGTAGTCATCAGATTTAAACTGTAAATGAAACAATGTCAGTGCATTAGAAAAGCACATGCCATGTTTTGTTAACAAAATCAGAAAAATGGAGTTGCCACAAACCCTTTCCCCATCTGCCAGTCATTGTATTAAATGCTTCTGCAATTTTATTAGAATTCTCTGTCCCTGCAGATGCCAGTCATCTGTGAAATTGAAATTGCAAACAGAAATATTATATTTTCATCCACAGTGGAAACTGAGAAAGTCCATTTATTTGACAGGTAAAGAAATGGCATGACCTTGTCAACCAGGTCATATGTGTTTAGACGTGAAGGCAGTTTTGAGCTCTGCTCTTGAAAGGGAGGAAAGAAGGTGGCTCTGCCTTTCTGTTGGCTTTCTCTGGCAATCTGATCAACAAGTGTCCTCTACAGTTCACAGATGGAGAGCTTTTGAGTTTTTCTGAATACAACTTATTTTTCTTTTTCTCTCCTTCTCTGAGTGAATTGAGGTTGTGCTGGAGAAGCTTTAGTTCTTGAGAGGGGAAGAGATTTTAACAAGATGTGAGCTCTAAAATTTCAAAGTTTTCTAGTGGGTAGGGAGGATCAATGGCAGTGATTAATAGCTCTTGCTGGGCTGTAGTAACCCTAGCTGTGCTTGAAGCGTAGGTCAAGATCGATGGTTGGATTGTCTTTGATTGAAACACTTTTTCCTCTTTTCTTCCCCTGAGTATTTCCTGGTCATTCTGTTGGTTCGGCTTAAATGTCACTTTCTCTTAGAAGATTCCCTCAGTCAACCTCATCCATTCACTCAAGACCCGGTTATTTGCACCTGCTTTGAGCTACTATTATTACCCTTACCCATGAAGTGATTTGCTCATTTAAATGTCTACCTACCTTGACACAGTGCAGGATCCCCAGATATCTTGCTCATCTCCAGGCTTAGATTGGTGCAGTCATGTTGGGGTTGGATGAGTAAATCTTTGTTAAAAGCATAAATGACTGAATAAAAGGTACTTCCAGAAATGGCTTAGATGAGATGTACTGGGAAAATAGGAAGATCAGAATAAGATTAAGGAAATATAGGATAGAATTCCAAAGGATGGAATATAGAATGGGAACCAGAGAAACTACAGCAGTTACAATAACAGGCAATCTCCATTACTTTTGGATGCCAACAGGCATCCATGATAATAAGATGTTATCAAGTCTGACCAAGCTTTTTAAGTAGAGGGGAAAAGTTGAGGTGGGACCTTTATCTTCAATTTCAACTGTAAATATTTTGTGGTTTGGAAGGAAGTGATATGGAGATTTTTTTTCCCCACCTAGATATGTTGTAAAATTCTAGGCATCAACTTGAGTTGAGGAGATCTGGCCTTGAGCTTTTTAAATTCAGCATAGAGCCCAACTCAGTTTAGCTACTGTGTATTTGTGCTATCTTGTGCCAGGCTTGTGTTGTCTTTCTTGTACCTTATCTCACTTAATCCTCAAAATAATCCTATAATTATTGGTATAATTTTTATTTCTCTTTTAGAGATGTGGAAACTGAGACACAGAGAAGTTTTCTGACTTGCCCACAGCCACAGAGCTAATGAATGGTGATGCTATGGTTTGAGTCTATGACTGCTGGATTCCAAAGCTCAGCACACTTCTAACCTTTATAAAAAGCTTCATCTCTACACAGACCAGACTAGGTGCTTGATAAGTCAGTGTTTAATTAGCTCAAAGAAGGACTTTGGGAATATAGGCAGAACTGCTCACTAGATGAACCTGATGGCTTTCACAATCCTGGAAATAAGGCAGCTGGGAAGGGTGGTCCCCTTCCCTCAGAGGGAGGGGCTGTTGCTTGATTTCACACAAGATGCCCAGGTACTATCAGCTGATGTTTCCAACACTGTCGGTTGTGCAACTCTCTGAGCAGTCGGTGCCTAAGCTCTTGCCATTTTTCCAGACTTGGAAGGCTGCCTACATGAAAACCCTACAGAAAGGTAAAGCAGCAGGGAATGGGGGTCTTCCTGGAGCAGAGCTGCTGATGTGTCCAGCTGTGCCTGATCCTAGCACATCTGTGGGCTGCTGAGAGGATGGGACCAGGCACAGCATCCTGCTGCTGACTGTTCTTCCTGAGAGTTTCAGCTTGCACTGTGGTCTTTGTTATGTGGTCTTTGTTCATCCCCCTTGCTTGCCAAGACAAGGTGAAAGGGGAAAGCATCCTTCAGACTTGGGGGAACAAAATAAAAGCAATAAAACAGATAACTGAATGCTGCTGGCCCTCCTTGCATTTTTGGGAATTTCTATGCATGATGGCCTTCAGTGTTTGCTCCTGACAACCACTTCCATTATTCTATCCATGTAATCATCATTATCTTATTATTTATTTAATATTTACTAAGTACTTTTAACATGTGCCATGCTATGAGCTGATTATCTTGTTACAGTGTCATTTTTTCTTCACTGCTTTGATTTAGGAAATATATTCTCTATTCACAGATGAAAAAGTCCCATAGTATAGAGAGGCTTAGGAGCTTGCCTAAGATCACATACTAGTAAGTTGTAGAACTGGATGACCATCTAGGTCCATGAGACTCCAGAGTCCAGCTCTAAAATTAGTCACTCTATACAATGCTGAAGGACTGGCTGGGCCACATTAATGAGCATTGTCTTTGAAATCATCTCTCTGGTTCAACTTTGAGATGCACAATGGCCGTGATATGCATTGATGCAGGAAGTTGGGCAGCCAGTTTTGCTGCCAGGACTGCTCTGTGTCTGTGACTACCTATTCATCAACAAAGTCTGTGCACAGCTGAAGGACCCCAGAGGCAAATCTACCTGGGAGCCAGTATTTCTCCAAGGAATATAAAAGCAGCACCAGCTCAGTCTGGTCTTCTCTGTAGAGCTAGCTGGATACTAAGCTTCACCAATGATTTCATACCGTAGGCTATAAGCCTGATACCTTATAAAGCCTCTCTGGCAAAACATCTCCAGGAGGCACCTGCTATTTTTGAATACTGTCTTCCTTTGCTGGCATGGTTCCGGAATTTAATTATGGGGCCTGGATTAGTGTAAGGCCATGTTCCATCTGCTACTGTACTTAGTTCCTTTTCCCTTCAAGAGAAGATGCTGTTTCCACCTCCCTCTTCCAATTTTTATTTGGAATTGGGCTTGTCAAAGGGTTTAACTGCTGTCTGGTTGGTGGCTTTGGGCTGGTGTATCGCTTCTGATATCCACTCAGACTGGCTGCCACTAGCCTTGGGATTTGCTTTCTGCATTTTGTCAGAGCCTGACCTTGCACATATTCTTTTTATAATGTCCACAGCAGACTTGATTATAAAAAAAGGTCAAGGTAGACTGGCTTTTGAACACTGACAAAATGCTGCCATTTCTCCTGATCAAAGGCAACCAGAGATCAGCAGCACATTTGAGAAGCTGCAAATTGGTATCATGCTTAGTCCCCTTAAGCATTCTTGGAAGTCTGCTTAAACAGAGGCAACTTGTGCCTCAAAGTCTCAGCCTTTTGGAAGGATGGTCTGCCTGAAGTCGATACCCTGGGCTTATCCCAGCAGAGGAGTGGACTGTTCGCAGCGAGTGTGCAAGCCATGTAACAGGACACCTGCTTCATAGATTTGGCAAATTTCTGAAAAAGTGTGAAATATGAGATTTGGAAAGTTGAACCATCCCAGTGGCAGCAAAGGGATTTTTTTTTTTCTTTCATGGGATCCTGGCACTGAATGCTTTCATCTGGCAAGCATCTCTTTGTATATGTTTGAAATTTGGGGCTTTATAGAGTAGGGGGCACCTGCAACAGGGAGTCATTACTGCCTATGGTAGGCCACAAAATGCTCCCTGCCAAAGATATGCATGTCAAATACCTGGAACCTGTGAATGTTATTTGTTATTTTGTTTGATAAAAGGGATTTTGGGGCATGAGATCATCCTGGATTATCTAGGTGAACCCTAAATGCCATCACAAGGATTCTTATAAGGGAGAGGAGAAGAAACAGAAGAGGAGGAGGCAATGTGACCACCGAGGGAGAGAGTGAAGTGATAGAGCCTCAAGTTGAGGAATACCGATAAGTACCAGTTGCAGGAGGAGAGAAAGAACAGATTTTCCCCTAGAATTCCTAGAAGGAAAATGGCTCTGCAGATGCCTTGATTTGGGGCTCCTGAGACAACACATATCTGTTGTTTTAAGCCATCCAGTTTGTGGTCATTTGTTACAGCAGCTACAAGAAATCAATCAAACACTACCTTTATCAATGTCAAACAAATTTTTTCTCACATTTCTCATCTCCCTTTCAAGAGGCCTTATGTCCTACTTACCTGTGTTGCAAATTCTTTGCTGGGTGCATGTGTATTAATAACTGCTGACTGTAAGATACTCTATATATTTAAAAATTCTTTGAACAAATCTATGAAAATGAACGAGGTTTATTTACTCAGCACATTCTTGGGGTTAAATGCTTGGTCTCTGAAGTCCTCCTGCCCCTGGTGTAATAACCTAGCATAGAAGTTAGGAAGTAGTATTCTTCCCTGTCCTCTTTGAACATGCTGACTGGACTTAGTCCTTCTTAAAATGCACTGAAGGCAGTGAAACACCAGGAAGTAGTTAAGAAGAAGGTTCTTAAATAAGAATAGTTGAGTGTAAATCCTGACTTCCTTTATTATTAGCTGTGTGATTTTGAGCAAATTACTTAAACTCTCTGTGCCTCAGTTTCCTTACCTTAATTCCTGAGACACACTTGTTCACAGAAAAGGAGGAGACCCTAAACAATGTGAAGTTACTTTTATTACTATGGTGCCCAGCATCAGTGGGGACAAATGGATGGTAGGTGTTGCTGTATTATAGATGAGGAAACCCAAGATTAGAAAGGTGAAATAATATGCTCGGTGTTTGCACCGCCCAGTAAAGCACTCAGATCACAAACAAGAATGTGTAAATTCCCAAGGGAGAATATCTTTCTAGAAAAAAATGTTGAATTGGGTGTGATTTTGAAGAAATATATTTTCTGGGTCCCCAGGGTCTCCTGGTATAGTTGGTATTCCAAATCTGCCTTTAGGTTTCTTGTTTCAGCTCCTTCTCACCTACCCATGAAAGTTAACCTGCTCACATCCCTTCTTTTTTTTAAATTGCCATATGAAAAGTATTTATTTATTTATTATTAACTTTTATTTTAGGGTTGGGGTACATGTGCAGTTTTCTTATATAGGTAAATTGTGTGTCTTGGGGGTTTGGTGTACAGATTGTTTTGTCACCCAGGTAATCAGCATGGTGCTCAATAGTTTTTCAATTTTCACCCTCCTCCCTTCCTCCACTTTCAGGTAGGACCTGTCTGTTATTCTCTTCTTTGTGTCCATGTGTACTTAATATTTAGTGCCCATTTATAAAGAGAACATGCAGTATTTGGTTTTCTGTTCCTGTGTTAGTTTTCTAAGGATAATGGCTTCCAGCTCCATCCATGTTGCTGCAAAGGACATGACCTCATTCTTTTAAGGCTGCATAGTATTGCATAGTGTATATGTACCGCATTTTTGAAATCCAGTCTACTGTTGATGGGCATTTAGGTTGATTCCATGTCTTTGCTATTGTGAATAGTGCTGTGATGAACATATGTGTGCATGTGTCTTTATGACAGAACAATTTATATTCCTTTGGACATATACACAATAATGGGATTGCTGGGTCAAATAGTAATTCTAAGTTTTTTTGAGAAATTGCAAAAGTGCTTTCCACAATGATTGGACGAATTTACATTCCTACCAGCTGTGTATAAAGATTCTTTTTTCTCTACAGCTTTGCCAGCATCTGTTATATTTTGACCTTTTTCTAGTAGCCATTCTGACTGGTGTAAGATGGTATCTCATTGTGGTTTTGATTTGAATTTCTCTAATGATTAGTGATGTTGAACATTTTTTCATATGCTTGTTGACTGCATGTATGCCTCTTTTGAAAAGTGTCTATTCATGTTCCTTGCCTACTTTTAGGTGGGATTGTTTGTATTTCGCTTGTAATTTGTTTAAATTCCTTATAGGTTCTGGATATTAGACCTTTGCTGAATGCAGATATTTTGCAAATATTTTCTCCAGTTCCAGTAGGTTGTCTGTTTACTCTGTGGATAGTTTTTTTTTTCTGTGCAGAAGATCTTTAGTTTAATCAGATCCCACTTGCCAATTTTTGTTTTTGTTGCAATTGCTTTTGTTGTCTTCATTATGAAACCTTTGCCAGCTCCTATGTCCAGAATGGTATTTCCTAGGTTATTGTCCAGGATTTTTATACTTTTCAGTTTTACATTTAATTCTTTAATCCATTTTGAGTTGATGCTTGTATGTGGTTTAAGGATGGGCTCTAGTTTCAATCTTCCGCATATGGCTAGCCAGTTATTCTATCATCATTTATTGAATAGGGAGTCCATTCCCCATTGCTCATTTTTGTCAGTTTTGTTGAAGATCAGTTGGTTGTAGATGTGTGGCATTATTTCTGGGTTCTCTGTTCTGTTCTGTTGGTCTATTTGCCTGTTTTTGTACCAGTACCATGGTGAAGTATAAATAGCTTGAAGTCGGGTAATGTCTCTCTAGCTTTATTCTTTTTTCTTAGGATAGCCTTGGCTATTTGAGCTCTTTCTTGGTTCCGTATACGTTTTGAAATAGTTTTTTCTAATTCTGTGAAGAATTTCATTGATAGTTTGATAGGAATAACATTGAATCTGTAATTTGCTTTGGGCAGTATGGGCATTTTAACAATATAAATTCTACCTATCCATGAGCATGGAATATTTTTCCTATTTGTTTGTGTCATTTCTGATTTCTTTAGGCAGTCTTTTGTTATTCTCATTGTAGAGATTCTTCATCTCTCTGGTTATCTGTATTTCTATGTATTTTTTTCTTTTTGTGGCTGTTGTGAATGGGGTTGTGTTCTTGATTTGGCTTTCAGCATGGATGTTATGAGTGTATATTTTCCTTCAGGAGACAGATACCTACCCTGAGATTCTTCAGAGCTAATGAGTATGTGGATATTAATGTGTTAATGTTGGTTCTTCAGGATAAATGCTTGCATTTTGATAAGTATGTTTATTTTATCATGCCTGAACATTATTGGTGTTTGGGAAAGAAGTGAATAAATGTGAATAAATATCACCACTTTCTTTTTTCTCCAAAAGTAGAGAAAACTATCCCTTTTTCCAGACATGCCATGTTATCACATACACTTTCAGATCTGCAGGCACCTGATCTTGCTAACACCTCATTTCAAAATACAACAGAATTATTCGCCCAATCACCAGCATTGCAGGGCACTTAGGCAGGCACGAGTTTTTCTTTTCTTTTTTTCTTCCTCATGGCAGAAAATGTACTGGATGTGTGTTCTTAGCAAGAGGCTGATTCCTTGAAGAGAATTCTATGGTTTGAATATGTCCTTCAAAGTTCATGTGTTGGAAACTTAAAGCCCAATGCAAATGGTGTGGAGAGGTGGGGCATTTAAGAGGTGATTATGTCATTAGGACTCTGCACACATAAATAGATTAATGCTGTTATTGTAAAAGTGGGCTCCCGATAAAAAGATAACTTTGCCCCCCATTTTCTCTCTGTCTTGTAAGCTGGCTACTCTTCTAGCATTGAGGACCCTTACCAGATGCCAGAGATGATCTTTATCAGATGACAGTGCCATGCTCTTGGACTTCCCAGCTCCCAAAGCTGTGAGCCAAATAAACTTCTGTTCTTTATAAATTACCCAGTCTGGGTATTTTTTGATAGCAGCAGAAGACAAAGGCAGAAAATCGGTCCCAAGAAGTGAGGTTGTTGCTATCACAAATACCTGGAAATATGGAAGCAGCTTTGGAATTGTGTAATGGGTAGAGGCTTGAACAATTTGGAGAATCAGGCTAGAAAAAGCCTGTATTACCATGAATGGAGCATTAGGGGTGATTCTGATGAGGGCTCAGGCGAAAAGAATAACTGTAAGGAAAGTCTAAATCTTCTTAGAGATTATTTAAGTAGTCATGACCAGAGTGTTGGTAAAAACACGGATAGTAAAGACCCTCTGATGAGGTCTGAGATAGAAATGATGAAGTTATCCTAAGTTATTGGAAGCTGGAGTAAAAGCCGTCCTTGCTATAAAGTAGCAAGACCTCAGCAGAATTGTGTCCTTCTTCTGGAACTTTATAGAATGCCAAAACTTAGAGCAAGAAACTAGGATATCTGGCAGAAGAAATAGCTAATCAACAAAGTGTTCAGGCTGCTGTGTGGCTACTTTTAATGCATACAGTGAGATACGAGAAGAGAGAGATGACTTGAAGACAGAACTTATAATTGAAAGGGAAGCAGAATGGAATTATTTGAAAAATTTGAAGCCTAGTCATATAAAGTGGAAAAAAGCATGCTTGGGAGAGAATAATAAGAGTATGGCCAAGTGACCATTTGATAAAATGACTACGATGAAGAGGAGGGAGCCAGGTGTTATTCATCAAGACAATGTGAGAAAGACCCCTAAAGGCATTTCAAAGGTCTTCCACACTGTCCCTTCTATCACAGGCCCTGAGCGCCAAGAGGGCAGCATGGTTTCAGGAAATATGCCCAGGGCATCCTCTACTAGTTTGCTACCCAGAGCTGCCTCAGTTCTCTGCTCCTTACTTTCCAGAATAGCACTCCTCAGCTACCCTAGCCACAGCTTAAGTTGTCCCAAGGTGTGGCTTGGGCCACCACTCTGAAAGGTATAACCTGTCCAGGCAGTGCTCATTCTGCAAGTGCAGAGAATGCAAGAACTGTGGAGGCATGATTTCTTTCACTTAGTTTTCAAAAGAAGCTGTGAACTGCCTGAAAGCTCAGGAAGAAACCTGCCATGGTGGAGTCACTGCAGAAAGCTCCCACTATAGGGTAGTGCCTAGTAAAGCTGTGGGAGCAAGACCACCTCAGAGACCCCAGCCCTATAGAGCTACTGATGTGCAATGCCAGCCTGGGAATGCTGTGTGCATTGAGCTCAGTAAGGCCATAGGGGTAGGGCTGCCTGTGAACTCAGGGGCCCAACCCCTTCCCTATTGTATCCAGGAAGCAAGACATGGAGTAAATAAGATTATTCTCCAGGTTTAATACTTAATGTTGTTTTCTCTGTTGGAATTTGGACTTACTTGGGACTAGTTACCCTTTTTCTCTTGCCTATTTCTTTATTTTGGCCTGGGAATGTCTATCTTACACCTGTCTTACCATTGTATTTTGGACATAGATAACTTGTTAGGGTTTCACAAGCTCACAGCTGAAGGAAACTTGCCTCAGAGTGATTTTTGCCTTGAGTCCAACTCATATTTGATTCAGATGAGAATCTGGACTTTGGACTTTTGAGTTGATGCTGAAATGTGTTAAGACTTTTGGGGCTATTGGTATGGAATAAATGTATTTTGCATGTAAGAAGGGCATGAATTTTGGAGACCAGAAGCAGTATGCTATAGTTTGAATATGTCCCTCAAAAGCTCATGTGTTGGAAATTTAATTCCCAATGGAACAGTGTTTTGGGGTCCTTAAAAGATTATCAAGTTATGAGGGTTTTACCCTCATGAATGAATTATGCCAGTATCTCAGGAGTAGGTTACTTATTATGGGAGTAGGCTCCTGATAAGAAAATAAGTTCAGCCCCCATTTTCTCTCTGTCTTGTGAGATCACTTGCCCTTCTGCCCTTCTGCCCTTCCAACATGGAATGACCCTCACCAGATTCCACTGTTACACTCTTGGACTTCTCAGCCTCCAGAACCGTGAACCAATTAAACTTCTGGGTTTTTTTTGTTTTTTTGTTTTTGTTTTAAATAAATTGCCCAGTCTGTGCTATTCTGTTACAGCAGCAAAAAATGAACTAAGACATCAAGAGAGTGGAACTAGCTATCTTATAAATGTTTCTTCTTTGTCTCTTCTTATTCAGTACAATTCAATTATGAAGATGTTTTATCTAACTTGCCCACATGCATGTTGAGTCATGGCAGAGTTAAGATTAGAATCTAGGATTCTTGACTTTCCCAATGCAGTTTCTTTTTTACCACACACTTTCCTGACCTCGTTGTTGCTCTCATTTGGATGGTAGTGACATTACCCAGAAATGATACATTCAAAGATGCCATATAATATTTATAATGCTTATTGAAAATATGCAATGTTTTCCTAGAGATAGACTTGATCATTAGAGTGATGTAAACAACTGTCCACTTGGGAGAGGTTTAATTACCAACTCCAGATGTCAGGAGAATCTGGTTCTATGACTTCAGCAACCTGGCTCTGTCTCTCTGCCAGCAGGTCTCTTCCACCCCCAATCAGACTTGCACTCTGGCCACCTCACATCTCAGCAGTAAAAACAGATGCTCCAGACACTTATACATAAGGAGAATATAGCTGACAATCAAATAATGTAGGGGTTCCTGTGTCACATGATGCTTCACAGATTTTCTTTCCCATTTCTCTCATTTCCGGAAAGGGTCTAATTAACTCTTCATTGTGAAGTATTTCTGGAAGAAATTATAATGTTATAATGTTTTGGCACATTGCTCTATATGGCACCATCTCTTGCTAGCATACCTGTCTTTCTCAGTTTTTTTTCAAAAGAAGTAATTGCGATAACACCCAGTGAATCTTTCATTTAGCTTTTAGATATGTTATATGACTGCAGCACGACAGAGGTGTTCATTGCTCTATAAGGTGCAGGTGGTAGTATAAAAATCTGTGATTTTGATTATAGATGTAGTGCAGGTGTCACTCACCATAGCAAATATTTTTATATGCATAACAGTTGCTACTATAGAATTATATAGCATATACCTCTATCCCTTGAGCAAATTGTAGCTCCATCACTTTAAACACCATCTATATGTTGACAGTGTTTGATTTTTTATCTTTGGCTGTCACCTTTTCCTTGAATTTCAGACTTAATATCCAATTGCTAACAATGTTGTACATGATCCATAGCCTTGCTGAGTTCATAAATGAGGATGAGGAGTATCTATCTGATGGAGAATGGAGGAGGGAGAAGTTGAATATTAATTTTAACCCAAAGATCAACTACAGCAGTGGGGTTATAGTTTGTCCTACTAACCTCCTTTTATGTTTCCCCATAGGAAGGGCAGCTGTCCCCAAAACTGCATAGAAAGATAAGTCTGTTTGGCATAAGGGATGGACAATTGGATTTCCCTATCTTTATTTTTCTTCTTATTTATCACCAACTATCACATTATGTAATTATTTGTTTTTTATCTTTGCCTATATTAGAATGCAAGGTGTAAACTTTTAGTAAAAAAAAAGATTGAATGAATGAATGAAACTGAAACAGTGACTTTTTCACCTGTGTGTCTACATATTATATAATACTCAAGAGACTCAACAAATATTTGCAGATTTAAATACTGTGTATATGATTTTTAACCATCTAGAAAATTTTAAATATGTATTCTAATTTTATAAGTAAAACATTGATAAAATATCTTTAGAAAAATGAATACCTTAATAGATATGGCAAAAATTGACTTTGTCCACTTTCCCTAATTCCTTCCCATATACCCTTCTGGTTTGACATGTATTATTCTAGACCCATCTTGCTGCATTTACACTCAAACAACATCTCTATCTTTAACTGTATCATTGCAATCAATAATAATTTGTGCATTCTTACTAAGTAGGTAACACCATTGCAAGTGTTCATGTGTGCATGCAATGAATGGTATTGGAGAGTACATATTATGCAACTTACATTTTTTATTCAAAATGTGTCTTGGTGCTGGTTCTATGTCACTCCTTATGGCTATTCTTTATTGTTAAAAACTACTGCATATGATTCCAAAATTTAGACATGGCATAGTTTAATTAACCATTTTCCTGCCAATGGATAATAGACTGTCTCTAATATTTTGAATTACTGAAAATGCTGTAATAAATATTTTTATACACCTGTTTTTTTGGATGTAGATATGAGCATTTTAAATTCTACTTGGTACTGCTAAATTGATGCCTGATGTGACTGTAAAAATTTATGTTCCCACCTGCAATGTGTGACAGTGCCCATGTCCCCATATCCTCACTAATACTTGATTTTATCACATCTTAACCCTTTTGGCCAATCTAATAAGTAAGAACTGTGGTTTGTCATTGTTTCAATTTGCATTTCCTTCGTTACAGTAAAACTATACATGTTTTTATATTTTTATTAATAATTCGTAGTTCCTATTTCATGGATTTTCTGTTTGCATTTTTGCCCATTTTTCTATCATTTGCTTGTATGATTAATCTTTAAGAGTTCCATGTATACTGTAGACATTTATCTCCTGATATATATATGTTTATGTTATGTAAATTTTTTTAGTTTATATATACCTTTAAACTTTGTTTATTTTGTGTTTTGTCAGAAGACATTTTTAATTTTGATCTAGTGAGATAGTCTTTTTAAAAAGTCTTTTTAAAAAAAGACTTGCTTTTTAAATCTTAATTAAGAAAGTTTTCCAACCTCCAGGACTTAATATATTCACCAATCATTTCTTTTATTGTTATTTTGGAGTTTTTCTACATTTAGGTCTCTGGTTCACTTGAAGACATTCTACCAAATTTCTATGTCTAATTCAACAAGTGAATTCATGTAGTTATCCCTTCATGCATATGTGTGTATCTCCCTTTAAACAAGTCAGACCTCTGAGCAGATATGCTCAAATTACTTCTTGTCAGTCAAGTAACTTTTAAAATGATGCACAAGAATAAAGGAGGTTCATTTTCTGTCATGTGTAGGTAATTTATAAACCAAGTGCCCCAATATCTTTTGCATAAATCTCTGCCTGCCCATGCTGTGTTTGTTTTCTTTTCAGTGAGGTCTGGCTACAAATCTCGATGCCTTCAACACCTATCTGCTTTGTTAATCTGAATGTGTTCTGTCTCATGCAGCATTTAAATCATTGGCCTTTCTTTATTTTTAATTCCCCTCCCCCCACACTCTTTTCTACCCAGTTCAATTATCTCATTAATTAAAAACACAGGTCCTGCCCTTTTTTTTTTTTGAAATGGAGTTTCACTCTTGTTGACCAGGCTGGAGTTCAATGGCATAATCTCAGTTCACCGCAAGCTCCGCCTCCCAGGTTCACGCCGTTCTCCTGGCTCAGCCTCCCGAGTAGCTGGGACTACAGGCACCCACCACCACGCCCGGCTAATTTTTTTTGTATTTTTAGTAGAGACGGGTTATCACCGTGTTTGCCAGGGTGGTCTCGATCTCATGACATCATGATCCGCCCACCTCGGCCTCCCAAAGTGCTGGGATTACAGGCGTGAACCACCGCGCCCGGCCAGGTCCTGCCTTTTTAGGGAGGCAAAAATCTGCACTGTGGGATCTCAGGGACTGACTCCTCGCCATAGCCACTTTCGAAATGCTGGCCCTACTGATGCTGAGAATTCCTTTATCAGAGGAAAACATGCTGCATTGCCCTGCTTGAGGGGCAGTTAAGGTGCACAGTGTCTTGAGAGAGCCAATTTATCAAACTGAGTTTTTACTGAGGTGTTACTGTTTCTTTGCTGAAATAGATATGATCTAGATGTGGAAGAGAGCAATGACAGCCTGAAAGAAGGGGATACTTTCGGGGAAGGAATCAAGGTCTTTGCTCATCATTAAAGTGGGGATTAATTATAATATCTGCTCTGTAGGATGAACATGAGGACTAAGTAAAGTAATGCTTTCCTGGTACTCAGCACAGTGTCTGGGACATAATTAACTATTGAATAGAAGTTTACTATTATTTAAAAATTTTAATGGGTACAAAATAATTATACATATTTATGGGGTGCATGGTTGGCCACTATCATTTTAAAGAAATGTAGCAGATACCTTTTGGGGAGTATGGATGTGAATCCCTCTGTCTATGTAGTTCTGGGGAGGCTGACTCGGGTGAGGCACAAGTGACCTAGGCCTGGCCAGACAGAGTACTCCATTCATTCCCTTGTACACAGTTGAGTCAGGAAGAGATTGCAACTCAAGTTAGTCTAATGAGCCCCGGCCCTAGGAGTTCAGCTGGAACTATTGCAAGAAGGCGCTCTCTTTGCCTGGTGGTGCTGACCTGGTAGATTGAAAGCCTGGAGCTTCTGGCTTGCCCTTGCTTTATAATAAACCAACACAGGAGGAAGCAGAGCTGAGAGACAGATTCCCGCTGACACTGTGTGAGTCCTGGATCCAGACATGCCTAAAGCAAGAAATCTCTGGGCGTCTTTGTAGCAGAAGATCATGAATTTCCTCTTTTGCTTAAGGCAATCTGAGTTGAATTTTTGTCAGAGTAAGTGTTAAATTTGCTTTCCTTTGTTCATTTGAGAGCTCAGGTAAATTGATTTGACACAGGCATTTTTTTTTTTTTTGAGATGGAGTCTTGCTCTGTCGCCCAGGCTGGAGTGCAGTGGCACGATCTCAGCTCACTGCAAGCTCTGCCTCCCAGGTTCACGCCATTCTCCTGCCTCAGCCTCCTGAGTAGCTGGGAATACAGGCGCCTGCCACCAAGCCCAGCCAATTTTTTTTTGTATATTTAATAGAGACGTGGTTTCACCATGTTACCCAGGATGGTCTGAATCTCCCGACCTCGTGATCCACGCGCCTCAGCCTCCCAAAGTGCTGGGATTACAGGCGTGAGCCACCGTGCCTGGCCTGACACAGGCATTTTTCTTTTTTCTCTTGAGAGACAAGATCCTGCTATGTTGCCCAGGCTGAACATGAACCCCTGGGCTCAAGCAGTCCTCCTGCTTCAGCCTCTTGAGTAGCTAGGACTACAGGTGTACGCCCTGTGCCCAGCTAGGTATGAATCCCTCTAACCACATGTGCATGCAAACTCCCTGGAAAATGCAAGCCTTATATCCTCCATTCCAGCCAGGGTGGCTGCTGCGCTTCTGGGGTGGAGTGTGAGGGGTTAATTAGAAAAGAGGTAGTTATTGAAACGGAATTCTTGTGGCTCTGTAATATCTGCACTTTGCTTAAAACATAAAAATCCTGTTTGACAAGGAAATCACAACAGTAGAAACGGCAGGGATTTTCTTAAAGCGTGGTTTTATACAATTTCCAATTAATTTACTGCCTATCCAACCACTGTCGAACTGGAAATGCTTTTATTAACATATAGCACCCTAGGACTTCTTGAAAGTGTTAGGGCTTGAAAGTAAATCATGAGAATAGGAAAAAGTTGAAAAGGGATGGGAGAAAACCCTCCATGCCACACACACACACACACACACACACACACACACACACACACACATACGCTTAAAGTACCTGCACATTGGGTTAGCATGGGACCACCCAGTTTGCATTAATACATTTCAGATAGCAGGTGTCTTTAAACTGAAAGCTCAGAAGTTGACTCCCTCCCAGGCTCCTGTAGTATACTGTGGTAACCTCAAAGTTTAAAAAAAATAAAATTGATGCTTGATGTTGCTCTCAATACTAAGCTTTGGATTTGGGGCAGCTAGTTCTAACAACAAGGGCTTTTATGGTAACAAACCCCAAACTCTCTGGAACTCCCTTTACTTCTCCCCTTCTGCATCCTTGTCCTCAGAGATACATGGTGGCCTCTATATGTCAGATGAACAATGTTTTTCCAGGTGTGGGCTTGTGTGTGTGTGCTTGTAGTGTGTGTGTGAATGTGGCTGAAGGAGAAAATTTTCTGTTCTCCCTTGCTTATCCCATTAGGTAGGTAAGAATTACCTCCTATTTCCTTAATGCTCTGTGAATACCTCATTATATTGTAATTATCCTTGATATTTACCAGGTTTCAATTGCTTTTGAGCAAAATTGCCCTAGGACTGTGTATTCTATGAAGGTAGGGCCTGCACCTGGCTTGTTTAGCCCTGAGTCTCTAGGCTTTGATACAGAGCACAAACTAGGGTGGGGTATTCATAAGTATGAGAGATATTATTTGTTGATGCTAGGTCTCATCCCAACCCTTCTAAACTTTTCCCTGTATTAGAGGGTGTAAACCTGAAACCTGGACTCCCTAGTCTACAGAATCTAGTAGATATTATCAATGAGAGGTCCTTATGTAAAATATGGAAGGTTAAAAAAAAAAACTAGAAGCCTCTGTTCCTCTGATGACATTTATTAGCAAATGTGTGAGCATGAGTGATGGCAGAGGTGATGTTTCACCCATGACTTTAGAGCACTCTCTTAGGAATCACCTATTCTGGTGGCTGTAGGTAGCTGAGACTTCTGGTAGTGGCTTTCCTGTGATCTCTGCACTTCCGAATTTCTTAAAAACAGTGTTTCCGCCCTTTGCTCCTGCAGCTGGAACTTCAGTGGTCATGCAAATCTCTATTTTTCTATGGTAAAGCTCTTCCTATTTTAAATAGCTATAATGATTATTCTTTATTATTATTATTATTATACTTTTAAGTTTTAGGGTACATGTGCACATTGTGCAGGTTAGTTACATATGTATACATGTGCCATGCTGGTGCGCTGCACCCACTAACTCGTCATCTAGCATTAGGTATATCTCCCAATGCTATCCCTCCCCCCTCCCCCCACCCCACAACAGTCCCCAGAGTGTGATATTCCGCTTCCTGTGTCCATGTGATCTCATTGTTCAATTCCCACCTATGAGTGAGAATATATGGTGTTTGGTTTTTGTTCTTGCGACAGTTTACTGAGAATGATGATTTCCAATTTCATCCATGTCCCTACAAAGGACATGAACTCATCATTTTTTATGGCTGCATAGTATTCCATGGTGTATATGTGCCACATTTTCTTAATCCAGTCTATCATTGTTGGACATTTGGGTTGGTTCCAAGTCTTTGCTATCGTGAATAATGCCGCAATAAACATACGTGTGCATGTGTCTTTATAGCAGCATGATTTATAGTCCTTTGGGTATATACCCAGTAATGGGATGGCTGGGTCAAATGGTATTTCCAGTTCTAGATCCCTGAGGAATCGCCACACTGACTTCCACAATGGTTGAACTAGTTTACAGTCCCACCAACAGTGTAAAAGTGTTCCTATTTCTCCACATCCTCTCCAGCACCTGTTGTTTCCTGACTTTTTAATGATTGCCATACTAACTGGTGTGAGATGGTATCTCATTGTGGTTTTGATTTGCATTTGTCTGATGGCCAGTGAGGATGAGCATTTTTTCATGTATTTTTTGGCTGCATAAATGTCTTCTTTTGAGAAGTGTCTGTTCATGTCCTTCGCCCACTTTTTGATGGGGTTGTTTGTTTTTTTCTTGTAAATTTGTTTGAGTTCATTGTAGATTCTGGATATTAGCCCTTTGTCAGATGAGTAGGTTGCGAAAATTTTCTCCCATTTTGTAGGTTGCCTGTTCACTCTGATGGTAGTTTCTTTTGCTGTGCAGAAGCTCTTTAGTTTAATGAGATCCCATTTGTCAATTTTGGCTTTTGTTGCCATTGCTTGTGGTGTTTTAGACATGAAGTCCTTGCCCATGCCTATGTCCTGAATGGTAATGCCTAGGTTTTCTTCTAGGGTTTTTATGGTTTTAGGTCTAACGTTTAAGTCTTTAATCCGTCTTGAATTGATTTTTGTATAAGGTGTAAGGAAGGGATCCAGTTTCAGCTTTCTACATATGGCTAGCCAGTTTTCCCAGCACCATTTATTAAATAGGGAATCCTTTCCCCATTGCTTGTTTTTCTCAGGTTTGTCAAAGATCAGATAGTTGTAGATATGCGGCGTTATTTCTGAGGGCTCTGTTCTGTTCCATTGATCTATATCTCTGTTTTGGTACCAGTACCATGCTGTTTTGGTTACTGTAGCCTTGGAGTATAGTTTGAAGTCAGGTAGTGTGATGCCTCCAGCTTTGTTCTTTTGGCTTAGGATTGACTTGGCGATGCGGGCTCTTTTTTGGTCCCATATGAACTTTAAAGTAGTTTTTTCCAATTCTGTGAAGAAAGTCATTGGTAGCTTGATGGGGATGGCATTGAATCTATAAATTACCTTGGGCAGTATGGCCATTTTCCCGATATTGATTCTTCCTACCCATGAGCATGGAATGTTCTTCCATTTCTTTGTATCCTCTTTCATTTCATTGAGCAGTGTGGTTTGTAGTTCTCCTTGAAGAGGTCCTTCACATCCCTTGTAAGTTGGATTCCTAGGTATTTTATTCTCTTTGAAGCAATTGTGAATGGGAGTTCACTCATGATTTGGCTCTCTGTCTGTTGTTGGTGTATAAGAATGTTTGTGATTTTTGCACATTGATTTTGTATCCTGAGACTTTGCTGAAGTTGCTTATCAGCTTAAGGAGATTTTGGGCTGAGACAATGGGGTTTTCTAGATATACAATCATGTCGTCTGCAAACAGGGACTATTTGACTTCCTCTTTTCCTAATTGAATACCCCTTATTTCCTTCTCCTGCCTAATTGCCCTGGCCAGAACTTCCAACACTATGTTGAATAGGAGTGGTGAGAGAGGGCATCCCTGTCTTGTGCCAGTTTTCAAAGGGAATGCTTCCAGTTTTTGCCCATTCAGTATGATATTGGCTGTGGGTTTGTCATAGATAGCTCTTATTATTTTGAAATATGTCCCATCAATACCTAATTTATTGAGAGTTTTTAGCATGAAGGGTTGTTGAATTTTGTCAAAGGCCTTTTCTGCATCTATTGAGATAATCATGTGGTTTTTGTCTTTGGCTCTGTTTATATGCTGGATTACATTTATTGATTTGCATATATTGAACCAGCCTTGCATCCCAGGGATGAAGCCCACTTGATCATGGTGGATAAGCTTTTGGATGTGCTGCTGAATTCGTTTTGCCAGTATTTTACTGAGGATTTTGCATCAATGTTCATCAAGGATATTGGTCTAAAATTCTCTTTTTTGTTGTGTCTCTGCCTGGCTTTGGTATCAGAATGATGCTGGCCTCATAAAATGAGTTAGGGAGGATTGCCTCTTTTTCTATTGATTGGAATAGTTTCATAATGATTATTCTTTGCCTGATTTAACTCTGATTGATAAAATAAGTTGACTGCCTGACCAGAAAGTTTGTAGTGTGTAATAATATTTGAATTTCTGATTTGAATTATTCATATTAGGAAATGTGTCTATTACTAGCTAGTGAGTGTTATTACTCACTAGTGTATATCACTGCTTAGTGGACAGGTCAGGGTCCACATCTCAGACTGGTTTTGTTGTATATTGATGGTGGTCTCATATACACAGCTCTTACACATATACTCAGCTTTTACAAAGAGATGAAACTGTTATTTGGTGAAGAAAGTAATAGCTCCTGCCTAAAAAGGGAAAGAAAAGGAATGTGAAGGGTTATAAGAAAATGAGAGTTCTGTATCACTCAGTTTTTACTGTGAAACAAACAATATCAAAATCTCAGTGGCTTATGACAAACATTTATTTTCTTGTTCACAGGTTTGCAGGTCAGCTGTGGCTTTGCTGACTCAGCTGGGAATTGGCTGGGCTTGGCTCCAAGTTGTGAGAAGGGTTCAGACCAGTTCTACATGTTTTTCCTTTCCCTTTGGACTAGCAGCTCTGCAATTCAGGGTCCTCTATGGCAAATCACAGGAGTACTGTAGGGCAAGGCAAAACAGGCAAGACGTTTAAAGCTGTGTTTGTATCCTAATTCCATTGGCTAAAACAAGTCTCATGACCAGCCACACCATCAATAAAACAGCATAATCTACTCTGTTCACACTTAGAGATATTATGAAGTTAACTGGAAAATGTATGTGGATGTAAAATTCTAATATACGAAAAGTGTAGAGAAGTAGTGTGTCCGGAATTGGTGGGTTCTTGCTCTCACTGACTTCAAGAATGAAGCCACGGACCCTCATGGTGAGTGTTACAGCTCTTAAGGCAGCACATCTGGAGTTGTTCGTTCCTCCACTCGTCGTCTCACTGGCTTCAGGAGTGAAGCTGCAGACCTTCGCGGTGAGTGTTACAGCTCATAAAAGCAGCGTGGACCCAAAGAGTGAGCAGTAGCAAGATTTATTGCACAGAGTGGAAGAACAAAGCTTCCACACTGTGGAAGGGGACCCTAGCGGGTTGCCCCTGCTGGCTCAGGCAGCCTGCTTTTATTCTCTTATCTGGCCCCACCCACGTCCTGCTGATTGGTAGAGCCAAGTGGTCTGTTTTGACAGGGCGCTGATTGGTGCGTTTACAATCCCTGAGCTAGACAAAAAGGTTCTCCACCTCCCCACCAGATTAGTTAGATACAGAGTATGGACACTGAAGGTTCTCCAAGGCCCCACCAGAGTAGCTAGATACAGAGTGTCGATTGGTGCATTCACAAACCCTGAGCTAGACACAGGGTGCTGATTGGTGTGTTTACAAACCTTGAGCTAGATACAGAGTGCCGATTGGTGTATTTACAATCCCTGAGCTGGACATAAATGTTCTCCAAGGCCCCACCAGAGTAGCTAGATACAGAGTGTGGATTGGTGCACTCACAAACCCTGAGCTAGACACAGGGTGCTGATTGGTGTGTTTACAAACCTGGAGCTAGAGACAGAGTGCTGATTGGTGTATTTACAATCCCTGAGCTAGACATAAAGGTTCTCCAAGGCCCCACCAGACTCAGGAGCCCAGCTGGCTTCACCCAGTGGATCCCGCACGAGGGCTGCAGGTGGAGCTGCCTGCCAGTCCCGCACTGTGCGCCGGCACTCCTCAGCCCTTGGGTGGTCGATGGGACTGGGCGCAGTGGAGCAGGGGGCGGCACTCATCGGGGAGGCTCTGGCCGCACAGGAGCCCATGGAGGTGGTGGGAGGCTCAGGCATGGTGGGCTGCAGGTCCCGAGCCCTGCCCCACAGGAAGGCAGCTAAGGCTCAGTGAGAAATCAAGGGCAGCCCCAGTGGTCTGGCACTGCTGGGGGACCCAGTACACCCTCCGCAGCCGCTGGCCCGGGTGCTAAGTCCCTCATTGCCCGGGGCCGGCAGGGCCCGCCGGGCCGGCTGGCTGCTCCGAGTGCGGGGCCTGCCAAGCCCATGCCCACCCGGAACTCCAGCTGGCCTGCAAGCACCCCACGCAGCCCTGGTTCCTGCTCGCGCCTCTCCCTCCACACCTCCCTGCAAGCTGAGGGAGTGGACTCTGGCCTTGGCCAGCCCGGAAAGGGGCTCCCACAGTGCGGCGGTGGGCTGAAGGGCTCCTCACATGCCGCCAAAGTGGGAGCCCAGGCAGAGGAGGTGCCGAGAGTGAGCGAGGGCTGTGAGGACTGCCAGCACACTGTCACCTCTCAGTAGGAACAATGATCAAATCCACCACAGGTGTCTAGTCAAAACGGAGAGCTTTGTAGATAAATTGTAGTAGGATACCCAATCAGGTCATGGCTTCTCTGCGCACTGTGGACCCAATCATCTAATACTCTAGAGAAAAGAGAACACACAACTCATGAAACTGTTTCTGGGTAAAAGATACTTGTCAAATGAGATAGAATAGTGCAGTGAAAGTGGGTGTGTGAGCAGTCATAGAAAATTCTCAATAAAAACAGAGAAGAAACACAGAAGCTAATGTCTTACTCATCTCTGTATTCCTAGTGGCCAGGTGATGATGTAAATATTAGATAAAAATATATTAAGAAGTGAATTACCTAATTGTAGTGGTTGACCAGTAGGTTGTGTTGAGAAGAGTTCTGATGTCAAGTATAGGCTTGCGATTGATCAGTGATCAGTGAGGACTGCTTAGAAAGTGGTGCAGAGAAAGATTATGTGTCTACCATTTCTATATTACTGTGCCTTTCCTTAGATCAGTTGGGTCATTTTGGCTTTAATATCTAACTCTACAACTGAGATTCATTGAAGGGAAAGGCTCAATCTGTGAATACCCAACAGTATCTAACATAAAGAGGAAAGCAGAGTTTCTTAAGGCCACAAATGATCTGGCACATGCTTTTTGAGGTAGGATAGGAAAGGATTCAGCTCCCACCAGCAAATTCAGGGCCCTACCTATATTCCCTCAGCACTTTCCATTTTCTTGCCTTTACAGGATGCCAGATTAAATGAGATAATGCATGCAAAGTTCCTAGCACATTATTTGACACAACAAACTACTTGCTATATTATCAGTAACTGCTTTATTAATTTAATTGTCCATCATTTATTGCTGGAAAGTTAAAATGGGTTTACAGAATGGAATGGGTAAAAAAGTTCTGCTGCATAATAACATTATAGAGCTGGTGCCAGTTCTCAGCCTTTGCATTGGAGTCTCTGATAATAGTTATTTACAGTGCTAAAGCAAAAAACAAAACTAAAACTAAAACAAAATCAAAACAGAACAACATGTTCTTTGGAATGCCCAGTTTAGGCTGGGAGCTAACAGACTCACCTAATCACTCTGGTAACATTTCCTACACTCCTCTCTATTTCTTTCTCTTTTTTTCTTCTCCTTATCCTCCCACTTGAAGTTGGCAGAAAAAACTAGGAGTGGAGAAATTCCCCCCTAAGTAATCAAACATGTGAATTAGAAAGGAAAGGCTGCCAGGTCCTAGGAGCTGGGTGGCAATTTGTAAGAACCAGTTGTATCAATGCACATGTGATGTTGCTGAAAGTCTGGCATCCTCAGAGAAGGACAGTTTGATGTGTTCTCCAATTCGTATGCATGAATGCCTATCCTGCTGAGTCTGGTTTTCCTCTGTAGACACTCAAGGAGAGTAAAGTACAGAAAGCTAAGTGTCTACCATGCTGATTTTAGCCAAATGTTTGCAGACTGTGGCTTCCATTAATGGGAAGCTTGTTGTAGCAGGAAGAGAACTACTCAGAAATCCTCTTAGTATGAAGTATGATGCTTGGTGGGGTGGAGGACTAGAGCCTGATAGACTTGGGTTCACATATTCTTTCTACCAGTCAAGAGCTATATGACACTGGTTAATTTCCGAATCACATTGAGCTTCTCTTACCTCGCTGGTGAAATGGCAACAACATTGCCTCTTTCATAAGGTTGTTATAAGAATTATGTCACTTTTTTTTGCTTATAACCCTCCAGTGATTTCTCACCGAACTTTGCATAAAATCCCAACTCCTAGTCTTGGATTATGTATTATCTGTGATCTGGCCCTTGCCTAATTCTGACATGATTACCCACCGCTCTCCCTTTTACTCATTATCATCTGAACACTCGAGTCTTTTCTTCCTTCCTTTAAGATGCTGAATTTCTTTTAGTTTATCCAGGCCTTTGTATCTGCTGTTCCCTCTGCATGGAGTGTTCTTCCTCCAAATTTTTGCATGCTACTTTCTTGTCAAACATGTCTTAGCTTAATTCACCACCACCCCTGTCATCATCATCACTGTCATCTTCATCACCACCAGCACCAGCATCATCACCATCACCATCATCGTCATCATCATCACAATTACAGCGTCATCATCACCACTATCATTACACTACCACCATCACCACCCTTTCACCATCATCATCCCCATTGTCATAATTATTGTTATTAACATTTACTAAATACTTACGTGCCCCAAACTATTCTTTAGCATTGCATGTGTATCAATTCATTCCATTTTCACATCAACACTATGAGGGTAGTTAAATTATTATCCCCATTTTACAGCTGAGGAACAGAGGCATGAGAAAGTTCAGTAAGTTGCACAAGGTCCCAGCTAAGCAGAGATGGAGCTGGGATGTGAATCTAAGCAAATACTAGAAGCCATTATTTAATAATTGTGCCACTCTAGCTCCCTAAAGCCATCCAGTTACCTTTTCTTCCATCACTCAGCTTAAATTCTTTGCATAGCAAAGAAGAGAAAACAAACAAACAAAAAATTCTTTGCATAGCAATTATCTCTATTTTTTTCTTGTTTAATCAATTTGTTTGTTTATTATGTGTCTACTTTCACTTCATATAAGCCATCAAAATGAGCCAGATTGTTCACTTCTGTACCCCCAGTGATTTGAAAAAGCGTGACACTTAATATGTATTCAATAGACATTGAACACATCATTGAATGAATAAATGAGTGTTATAAATCTAACACCACGCTTAACCCTGGCAAATAACTGGCTTTTAATACATATTACTTTATCTCTATGGCCTCTAACCTGGTTGAAATGACTCAATTTTGAATATGATGGGGCCCTCAATTTTTCAATACTTCAATCTTCTCCATTCTCTTTCCTGTGGCTTATTAGGATTATCTATGGGGACAGACCATGACCTTTTCAGCCATTGAATCTCTTTTGGGTTCCATTTCTCCCACCCCCTGAGTCAGTAGCTTTAATCTTTAACACATCTTTAGGTTTGGGCTGGAGAAATTTAAAGTCCCTCTTAATTAGGAAAAGTTCAGAGACATTTATGTACTTCAGCAAGTTCAAACTCCTCTGCATGAATTTCAGTGCCCTACATAAAGAGGCTTGAATCAGAAGAGAAAATTCCTCTTTTCTTTCATATTTCAAGTACAGAGGGTTGGGTTAAGTATGACTGTCACTTTAAGGAAAATCATTGCCATTGGTCTGCACAAGCCCTTTCTCATTTTTATTTAATTCATTAATTTCTTTTATCTCTTTTGCCCATTCTCATTTTAATTCCCTCACCACAGATTCTAATGTTTATTTGATATTAATGTTTATTTATTTTTCCTTTTATTTATTTATTTATTTATTATTATACTTTAAGTTTTACGGTACATGTGCACATTGTGCAGGTTAGTTACATACGTATACATGTGCCATGCTGGTGTGCTGCACCCACTAACTCATCATCTAGCATTAGGTATACCTCCCAATGCTATCCCTCCTCCCTCCCCCCCACCCCACAACAGTCCCCAGAGTGTGATGTTCCCCTTCCTGTGTCCATGTGATCTCATTGTTCAATTCCCACCTATGAGTGAGAATATGCGGTGTTTGGTTTTTTATTCTTGCGACAGTTTACTGAGAATGATGATTTCCAATTTCATCCATGTCCCTACAAAGGACATGAACTCATCATTTTTTATGGCTGCATAGTATTCCATGGTGTATATGTGCCACATTTTCTTAATCCAGTCTATCATTGTTGGACATTTGGGTTGGTTCCAAGACTTTGCTATCGTGAATAATGCCGCAATAAACATACGTGTGCATGTGTCTTTATAGCAGTGTGATTTATAGTCCTTTGGGTATATACCCAGTAATGGGATTGCTGGGTCAAATGGTATTTCCAGTTCTAGATCCCTGAGGAATCGCCACACTGACTTCCACAATGGTTGAACTAGTTTACAGTCCCACCAACAGTGTAAAAGTGTTCCTATTTCTCCACATCCTCTCCAGCACCTGTTGTTTCCTGACTTTTTAATGATTGCCATTCTAACTGGTGTGAGATGGTATCTCATTGTGGTTTTGATTTGCATTTCTCTGATGGCTAGTGATGGTGAGCATTTTTTCATGTGTTTTTTGGCTGCATAAATGTCTTCTTTTGAGAAGTGTCTGTTCATGTCCTTCGCCCACTTTTTGATGGGGTTGTTTGTTTTTTTCTTGTAAATTTGTTTGAGTTCATTGTAGATTCTGGATATTAGCCCTTTGTCAGATGAGTAGGTTGCGAAAATTTTCTCCCATTTTGTAGGTTGCCTGTTCACTCTGATGGTAGTTTCTTTTGCTGTGCAGAAGCTCTTTAGTTTAATGAGGTCCCATTTGTCAATTTTGGCTTTTGTTGCCATTGCTTGTGGTGTTTTAGACATGAAGTCCTTGCCCATGCCTATGTCCTGAATGGTAATGCCTAGGTTTTCTTCTAGGGTTTTTATGGTTTTAGGTCTAACATTTAAGTCTTTAATACGTCTTGAATTGATTTTTGTATAAGGTGTAAGGAAGGGATCCAGTTTCAGCTTTCCACATATGGCTAGCCAGTTTTCCCGGCACCATTTATTAAATAGGGAATCCTTTCCCCATTGTTTGTTTTTCTCAGGTTTGTCAAAGATCAGATAATTGTAGATATGCGGCGTTATTTCTGAGGGCTCTGTTCTGTTCCATTGATCTATATCTCTGTTTTGGTACCAGTACCATGCTGTTTTGGTTACTGTAGCCTTGGAGTATAGTTTGAAGTCAGGTAGTGTGATGCCTCCAGCTTTGTTCTTTTGGCTTAGGATTGACTTGGCGATGCGGGCTCTTTTTTGGTTTCATATGAACTTTAAAGTAGTTTTTTCCAATTCTGTGAAGAAAGGCATTGGTAGCTTGATGGGGATGGCATTGAATCTGTAAATTACCTTGGGCAGTATGGCCATTTTCACAATATTGATTCTTCCTACCCATGAGCATGGAATGTTCTTTCATTTGTTTGTATCCTCTTTTATTTCCTTGAGCAGTGGTTTGTAGTTCTCCTTGAAGAGCTCCTTCATGTCCCTTGTAAGTTGGATTCCTAGGTATTTTATTCTCTTTGAAGCAATTGTGAATGGGAGTTCACTCATGATTTGGCTCTCTGTCTGTCTGTTGTTGGTGTATAAGAATGCTTGTGATTTTTGCACATTGATTTTGTATCCTGAGACTTTGCTGAAGTTGCTTATCAGCTTAAGGAGATTTTGGGCTGAGACAATGGGGTTTTCTAGATATACAATCATGTCGTCTGCAAACAGGGACTATTTGACTTCCTCTTTTCCTAATTGAATACCCTTTATTTCCTTCTCCTGCCTAATTGCCCTGGCCAGAACTTCCAACACTATGTTGAATAGGAGTGGTGAGAGAGGGCATCCCTGTCTTGTGCCAGTTCTCAAAGGGAATGCTTCCAGTTTTTGCCCATTCAGTATAATATTGGCTGTGGGTTTGTCATAGATAGCTCTTATTATTTTGAAATATGTCCCATCAATACCAAATTTATTGAGAGTTTTTAGCATGAAGGGTTGTTGAATTTTGTCAAAGGCCTTTTCTGCATCTATTGAGATAATCACATGGTTTTTGTCTTTGGCTCTGTTTATATGCTGGATTACATTTATTGATTTGCGTATATTGAACCAGCCTTGCATCCCAGGGATGAAGCCCACTTGATCATGGTGGATAAGCTTTTTGATGTGCTGCTGGATTCATTTTGCCAGTATTTTATTGAGGATTTTTGCATCAATGTTCATCAAGGATATTGGTCTAAAATTCTCTTTTTTGGTTGTATCTCTGCCCGGCTTTGGTATCAGAATGATGCTGGCCTTATAAAATGAGTTAGGAAGGATTCCCTCTTTTTCTATTGATTGGAATAGTTTCAGAAGGAATGGTACTAGTTCCTCCTTGTACCTCTGGTAGAATTCGGCTGTGAATCCATCTGGTCCTGGACTGTTTTTGGTTGGTAAGCTATTGATTATTGCCACAATTTCAGATCCTGTTATTGGTCTATTCAGAGATTCAACTTCTTCCTGGTTTAGTCTTGGGAGAGTGTATGTGTCAAGGAATTTATCCATTTCTTCTAGATTTTCTAGTTTATTTGCGAAGAGGTGTTTGTAGTATTCTCTGGGGGGATCGGTGGTGATATCCCCTTTATCATTTTTTATTGTGTCTATTTGATTCTTCTCTCTTTTTTTCTTTATTAGTCTTGCTAGCGGTCTATCAATTTTGTTGATCTTTTCAAAAAACCAGCTCCTGGATTCATTAATTTTTTGAAGAGTTTTTTGTGTCTCTATTTCCTTCAGTTCTGCTCTGATCTTAGTTATTTCTTGCCTTTTGCTAGCTTTTGAATGTGTTCGCTCTTGCTTCTCAAGTTCCTTTAATAGTGATGTTAGGGTGTCAATTTTAGATCTTTCCTGCTTTCTCTTGTGGGCATTTAGTGCGATAAATTTCCCTCTACACACTGCTTTGAATGTGTCCCAGAGATTCTGGTATGTTGTGTCTTTGTTCTTGTTGGTTTCAAAGCGAATCTTTATTTCTGCCTTCATTTCGTTATGTACCCAGTAGTCATTCAGGTGCAGGTTGTTCAGTTTCCATGTAGTTGAGTGGTTTTGAGTGAGATTCTTAATCCTGAGTTCTAGTTTGATTGCACTGTGGTCTGAGAGATAGTTTGTTATAATTTCTATTCTTTTCCATTTGCTGAGGAGAGCTTTACTTCCAAGTATGTGGTCAATTTTGGAATAGGTGTGGTGTGGTGCTGAAAAAAATGTATATTCTGTTGATTTGGGGTGGAGAGTTCTGTAGCTGTCTATTAGGTCCACTTGGTGCAGAGCTGAGTTCAATTCCTGGGTATCCTTGCTGACTTTCTGTCTCATTGATCTGTCTAATGTTGACAGTGGGGTGTTAAAGTCTCCCATTATTAATGTGCGGGAGTCTAAGTCTCTTTGTAGGTCACTCAGGACTTGCTTTATGAATCTGGGTGCTCCTGTATTGGGTGCATATATATTTAGGATAGTTAGCTCTTTTTGTTGAATTGATCCCTTTACCATTATGTAATGGCCTTCTTTGTCTCTTTTGATCTTTGTTGGTTTAAAGTCTGTTTTATCAGAGACTAGGATTGCAACCCCTGCCTTTTTTTGTTTTCCATTTTCTTGGTAGATCTTCCTCCATCCTTTTATTTTGAGCCTATGTGTGTCTCTGCACGTGAGATGGGTTTCCTGAATACAGCACACTGATGGGTCTTGACTCTTTATCCAATTTTCCAGTCTGTGTCTTTTAATTGGAGCATTTAGTCCATTTACATTTAAAGTTAATAGTGTTATATGTGAATTTGATCCTGTCATTATGATGTTAGCTGGTTATTTTGCTCGTTAGTTGATGCAGTTTCTTCCTAGTCTCGATGGTCTTTACATTTTGGCATGATTTTGCAGCGGCTGTTACGGTTGTTCCTTTCCATGTTTAGCACTTCCTTCAGGAGCTCTTTTAGGGCAGGCCTGGTGGTGACAACATTTCTCAGCATTTGCTTGTCTGTAAAGTATTTTATTTCTCCTTCACTTATGAAGCTTAGTTTGGCTGGATATGAAATTCTGGGTTGAAAATTCTTTTCTTTAAGAATGTTGAATATTGGCCCCCACTCTCTTCTGGCTTGTAGGGTTTCTGCCGAGAGATCCGGTGTTAGTCTGATGGGCTTCCCTTTGTGGGTAACCCGACCTTTCTCTCTGGCTGCCCTTAACATTTTTTCCTTCATTTCAACTTTGGTGAATCTGACAATTATGTGTCTTGGAGTTGCTCTTCTCGAGGAGTATCTTTGTGACGTTCTCTGTATTTCCTGAATCTGAACATTGGCCTGCCTTGCTAGATTGGGGAAATTCTCCTGGATAATATCCTACAGAGTGTTTTCCAACTTGGTTCCATTCTCCCCATCACTTTCAGGTACACCAATCAGACGTAGATTTGGTCTTTTCACATAGTCCCATATTTCTTGGAGGCTTTGCTCGTTTCTTTTTATTCTTTTTTCTCCAAACTTTCCTTCTCGCTTCATTTCATTCATTTCATCTTCCATTGCTGATACCCTTTCTTCCAGTTGATCGCATCGGCTCCTGAGGCTTCTGCATTCTTCACGTAGTTCTCGAGCCTTGGTTTCCAGCTCCATCAGCTCCTTTAAGCACTTCTCTGCATTGATTATTCTAGTTATACATTCTTCTAAATTTTTTTCAAAGTTTTCAACTTCTTTGCTTTTGGTTTGAATGCCCTCCCGTAGCTCAGGGTAATTTGATCGTCTGAAGCCTTCTTCTCTCAGCTCGTCAAAGTCATTCTCCGTCCAGCTGTGTTCCGTTGCTGGTGAGCTGCGTTCCTTTGGAGGAGGAGAGGTGCTCTGCTTTTTAGAGTTTCCAGTTTTTCTGTTCTGTTTTTTTCCCCATCTTTGTGTTTTTATCTACTTTTGGTCTTTGATGATGGTGATGTACAGATGGGTTTTTGGTGTGGATGTCCTTTCTGTTTGTTAGTTTTCCTTCTAACAGACAGGACCCTCAGCTGCAGGTCTGTTGGAGTACCCTGCCATGTGAGGTGTCAGTGTGCCCCTGCTGGAGGTTGCCTCCCAGTTAGGCTGCTTGGGGGTCAGGGGTCAGGGACCCACTTGAGGAGGCAGTCTGCCCGTTCTCAGATCTCCAGCTGCCTACTGGGGGAACCACTGCTCTCTTCAAAGCTGTCAGACAGGGACATTTAAGTCTGCAGAGGTTGCTGTCTTTTTTTTGGTCTGTGCCCTGCCCCCAGAGGTGGAGCCTACAGAGGCATGCAGGCCTCCTTGAGCTATGGTGGGCTCCACCCAGTTCGAGCTTCCCGGCTGCTTTGTTTACCTAAGCAAGCCTGGGCAATGGTGGGCGCCCCTCCCCCAGCCTGGCTGCCGCCTTGCAGTTTGATCTCAGACTGCTGTGCTAGCAATCAGTGAGACTCCCTGGGGTAGGACCCTCTGAGCCAGGTGTGGGATATAATCTCGTGGTGTGCTGTTTTTTAAGCCCGTTGGAAAAGCGCAGTATTCGGGTGGGAGTGACCCGATTCTCCAGGTGCCATCCGTCACCCCTTTCTTTGATTAGGAAAGGGAACTCCCTGACCCCTTGCGCTTCCCGAGTGAGGCAATGCCTCGCCCTGCTTCGGCTCGTGCAAGGTGCGCTCACCCACTGTCCTGCGCCCACTGTCTGGCACTCCCTAGTGAGATGAACCTGGTACCTCAGATGGAAATGCAGAAATCACCGGTCTTCTGCGTCGCTCAGGCTGGGAGCTGTAGACCAGAGCTGTTCCTATTTGGCCATCTTGGCTCCTCCACCTATTTATTCTTTTATTTGTTGTTTGTTTATCAAGAGAAAGTATTTCTTAGCTTACATATTCAGGTTTTTTTTTTTTTATTATTTTACTTTACGTTCTGGGATACATGTGCAGAATGTGCGCATTTGTTACATACATATACATGTGCCATGGTGGTTTGCTGCACCTATCAACCCATCATCTAGGTTTTAAGCCCCTCATGCATTAGGTATATGTCCTAACGCTCTCCCTACCCTTGCCCCTACCCCATATTCAGGTTTTATAATTTAGAAACACAGGCCAGTGACTAACTTCTAAGTAAGCCAACCCAAATAAATTCTTTATATTCCAAAATCACTTTGCATCCTGAAAGCTATCAGTCTTCCTCATCTCCTCAAAATCTTTAACGGAATCATAATTTCTGTAGAAATCTGCGCATGCCTTTATTCTTGGTTCAGCTACACAAAACTTATAGAGAGCTGCAAGCCCGGGAATACAGTGAGTGTTCCAACAGTGCGAAATCATAGATGCTTGGCCAGAAGGCCACATATGTGAGGTTTCGTTAAAGCACTGGAAGCCATGCTTTACTGTCTTGACAGTTACTGTACTTGACAGATATGTCAACCTCAACACCAATGTCCTTCCTGGCTGGTGGAGAAATATTTTTAATATATGTGCTTTTGTATGTTGTCTTGTAAAATGTACATTCTTGCTTTATATTTTTGTATTTTTAGCTTATGTCAATGGCATTGTATAATATGTCATTCTGTTACTTTTCTTCTTCTTTTTTTTTTGGTCTGTATTATGTTGTTAAGATCCATCCATGTGGCTATGTGTGCATCTAGTCTAATTCTTCCAACTGCTGTATAGGCCTCCACAGTGCATACCTACCAAATTCTACTGAGGTCCCCAGGGATAAGCCTTTCCAGTCCAGCAGCTCCTCACAGTGCACTGGCTGATTGAAGATTTCTTCATCCTGTCTTTGCAAAGAGTGCATTTCTTCTGTTTCTCTGCATTCTTCTTACAGGCCCATTTTATCTCATCCCTACTTAGTTTTGAAAATGTCATGCCCCTACTTTGTCCATCAACTTTCAACACTTAGACTACAGGTTGCAACTAAAATATTGATAGTATGCTCATGTACTTATTCACAAAACAAATATGTGTTCATTGCTTCTATGTGCCAGGGCACTATCCTAGAAAATGGGGATTTAGCAGTGAACAGTACAAGTACAGTTCCTGTTCTCGTGGAGCTTAGATTTTAGAGGGGGCAGATGGATAATAAACAATAAATGTACAAATAAATAAGCAATATCTTTCCAGGGAGGTTCCCCATTTAAGAGGTCGATCTGATATGAGCTCCAAATGATACGAAAGAGTCAGCTTTGCAAACATCTGGGATCTGAGAGGATACTCAGCTGGAATAGCAAGTGCAAATGCCACACAGTGGATACAAGCTTGATCTGTTCAAGAAACAGCAAGATGATCAATGTGGCTAGAGCAGAGTTGGCCAGGGTGAGGAAGAAGGAAGAGTAGGAAGAGATGAGGCTGGAGAGGCTGGAGTGATGGGGCATGATGAGGAGGATGCATTTTATTCTAACTAAATAGAACACCTACAGGAGATTTTAAGCAGGTGTTATAGAATTTATACATGGATAGATATCCCTGTTCTCTTTTACTTTAGTATGTGTTGGAAGATTCTAGTTTGGTGTCTGTACGGGTATGGAGGGATTTATTACTCTAGGCCATCTTTCCCCAAGTTCAGTTGTCCCTGGCATAGGCACCGAACTGTATGTGCCCTGTATCATGACACTGGGTTTGGCAAAACTACATCGTGTCATGTGCCATTCAAAACCAATATCCCTGGACCAAGTTGTCTCATATACTTTTGAATCAGCGACTGGCCCTTAAAGCCATTCAGAGTACAGTGAAGACAAAGGGTGATGCTCTAGAATCTGAAGATTCACCATCATTGGGGCATACCACTGGCCCATCAGGAGAAGATGATGAACCCAGCCTGAGCAGGGTCACAGCACAGAACACTCAGGTGGAGATGTGTAGAGATACGATTGTTCATATGATACTTCAGGCCAAAGTTCCCATAGTTTAGTCAGTTAAGCTAAAGCTTCAAATCATCACAGATCATCCCGCTAAATAGTCTCAGCATTTCCTTCAGGGCATAACAGCTTACTTCTACACCTGTTTTTAAGCCTTAGTATCCACCTTGAATTCAGCCCCAAATACACCTTTATGCTGATGTTGTAAGTTGTGTTGTTATTGTGGACTCTCTCTTCACTGGGTTCCTTCATCTGGCCCACTGTCCCTGCTATCTATCGTCCTACATTAGTGGTTTAAGCCCCACAACCCCGACTTCAGCCTTGGAGTAGCCAGTCCTCCAGTTTGTCTCTCCACATCATAACCTCTCAAGTGGTTAATGGCTTGTAAACAAGTAATGAGCTCTCAGTGTATATTTAAAGGAGTCCATGGTGAATAATTCTTTGTGTTGTGAATAATTACCCAATAATTTATCGCCTTACTAGTATAGATTTGGGGGTTTTATTAAAGCATGTCCTTGCAACGGTATTAAGGGGAATTAAAAGAGTGTTTTGGAAATGATTTGGCTTGGAGTAGAGAAATAAAAAGGGTATTCAGGGTGAGTGTTGTGAGATCATGGGATGTATAAAACTTTGTGAGGGGAACTTTTTTTGTGAACTTAAGGGAATGCATATATTGAGGTAATACTTTGGGGGTAAATATTAGGGAGAGATATTTTTAAGTAGAAAAACTCACAGTGCGCACCTATTCTACTTGCAGCCACTGTGTTTGAGAAAAAGAAACTTAGTTTACAAAAGGTTAAGTGCAACCTGGCAAAATGCTTCTCATATGAGCACCAACAGGACCAGCTACACAATTTGTGGAGACCAGTGCAAAATGAAAAGGCAGAGCTTCTTGTCCATAACTTATGAAGGATTTCCAAACAGTGACCGTGGAGCATTAGACCATGCCTGGGCCTTTCTACGAGTAGGGCCCTATGTAAGATACATGCTCATAAAATCTGCCCTGAGCACAGAGTTGCATTTTCTGGAAATTTGTAGTACAGGCACTCAGTGTGAAGAGGTAATAAGAATACGGGTTCTGCAATGGTACAAACCTGGGTTTTAATCATAAGTATCTGTAATTTAATAATTTTGTGGCCAGTGGCAAATCACATAACCTCTTCGAGCTTTGATCTTTCCATCTAAAATGGAGATGTTATCTTTAGCTTGCAGTATTTCTGAAAGGATTAGTGATACTTCACCTACAGTGCCTTGTGAGGAGATAGTGTTCAATAAGTAGTGGCTGTGATGACTGAACGAGTTCAAAAGCTGGAGCTCCTGAATGAACATCATCTTTGTTTCCTTGTACTTGTTCCTCCAAAAGGCCTTAAGACACTTATAGACTTTAGGCTTCTTTGAGATCAATCCTAGGCATGTCATTATAGAGCTGTTTCTACTTATAGGGAGTAGGAGTAGAAAACTAAAAAACTTGAGTATGAGAATTTCTTCTTTCTTGAGATGCTCATAATCTAGTTAATGGGATAAGATATGAATGCAAGTAGCTTCAGTATAATGTAGATTGAGATACAAGAGGGGTACTTGATGTTGAAGGAATCTAAAGAAAATTGTTAAAGAATTACTATTTTATCGTGGTGGTCTCTTTATTGCTGCAGAAGGTGAAGCTATTAAAGTTGAAAGAATGAGGGCTGCTACAACTTGAATTGTCTCGAATGTCTTTATGAGCATCATTTATTGGTAGGGTAACTTGTTAGTTTGGTGGCACCAATGAATCATGTCTCTCAGTATTCATGTACTTGGATATATCCTAACTTTGTTTTCATGCTATAAAATTATTTAAGCATCAACATGAATTATCTTATTCTAACTTTTTGATGATATTAAAGCTCATCAAGATTATATAGCTGCCTGGGTGCAGTGGCTCATGCCCGTAATCCCAGCAGTTTGGGAGGCCGAGGTAGGTGGATCACATGAGGCCAGGAGTTCCAGACCAGCCCAGCCAACATGGTGAAACCCCATCTCTACTAAAAATACAAAAATTAGCCAGGCATGGTGGTGCACATCTATAATCCCAACTACTCAGGAGGCTGAGGCATGAGAATTGCTTGAACCTGGGAGGTGGAGGCTGCAATGAGCCAAGATCATGCCACTGCACTCCAGCCTGGGCAACAGAGCAAGGCCCCCCCCCCCAAAAAAAAAGTGATGTTGTCAATACTCAAATATTAATCTGTCTCATTCTACAGCTGATTTTTACCCCACCAAACCATATGCAACAAAGATGTTGGGTTTGCATGAAATATATACTGTGTTGTATTGCAAGTTGCTTTGGCCTTCAGGAATCTCCTACACATAAATATAGACATGGTGTCTGCCTCAGGCACTCAAATGCACAGAGTATCAACTTGGCAAGAGGAAGAATCCATCTAGTCACCAGCCTGGAGTCTTCTGATTTATTCTGAACAATTGGCAAGAAATTTTTATTCTTTTATTTCCTGCTTTGCTGCACTTCACCATGGAGTGATTGTCTTTAGCTGTTGGCAAAAACTTTATTGGCCATGCTTTTCCACTTCAGGATCTACATTAAATAGGGTTTGCTTTTGGCTGTGCATCATAGCAACCCCAAACATCAGCAGTTTTATCTCAAGGAGTTTATTTCTCCTTCTTATAAAAAATACTTAATTCATTTGATCCATAAAGTTGTGAAAGTCCATTCTCTCTCTTTTTTTGCTTTCCTCTTTAAATTGTTTTTGACAAACAAAAATTGTATATATTTATAGTATACAACATTTTTGATATATGTATACATTGTAGAATGGCTAAATCAAACTAATGCACATATTTATTACCTCACACACTTATCTTTTTTTTTTTTGTGGTGAGAACATTCTACCACATCCCTGGTGCGGTTTTCATTTTCAAGATCACAAGATAGATCCTCTATCTTCTAGGCAACACACTCACATTCCAGACAGGGAAAAGGGGGTAGGAAAACAGAGGAAAAATTCAGTAGACTCTGTCTCAACATCTCAAATGACTCTATCCTTTAAAAACAAAAAACAAAAAACAAAAACATTACTCTTTCAGTGGTCAGGAAAGTGACACAGGGTCATTTCAATCTGGGAGACTGAATATTTTAACTGGACACCTTGATTCTTCATACAAAATAGATTTTTGTAATGAAGGAAGAACAGGAGAGAGGATAATGCATAGGCAGTGACTGGCGCTTGTCCCAGTCTACCCTTGGGTAAGCAACATTGATACCTACCCTTCTTTTCAGGCATAGGCTGACATCCCCAAAGTCTCATTCAATTATAGGATTCAGCTCAAAGTCACCAAGTATTTGTCAGTTTCTTGAGTTCCCATAATGAATAAATTTAATATTTTTTTGTCTGTCTCCTACACATGCCAATATACAGTGGTGGAGGAGGAAGAGGATAACAGCAATAAAACTACAATTCAGAACAGAGGTGAATTAGAGACACATCAGTCCAGAACAATCATCAAATCTTCTGGGCAGTAAGAAAGACACCTTCTTGCCCTAGCGGTGGACTCCATGCCTTGGTAGCTGACTGGCAGCCCTGGCTCTGCTCTCTGGGCCTGTAGTTCTTATATATTATTCCCCAAGGCTGAATATGAGAAGGGCATTGAGAAAGATGTAACCCTGTGGGACTGCCGTGATTCCACAACCTGCTTCTTGTTGGTGGAAATCAAGACCCTGGAGTTCTTAGGGCTTGAAAATCTTAGACCATTGGTGGCCGGGCCTGGAGTTATTTTGGGCAAAATTTCTCTCTAAATTCTGGGCAGGCATCCAGCCTATTTATTACCTGTGAGAGTGATGCCAGCACACATCTTGTTTAGATGTTGATTTTAAACCTGAAGATCTTTCCCTTTTACGGCTTGCTCTTTGTACACCTTCCTGCCTCTTCACTTCACTGCTTCTGTTTTGAGACAATTCTGAATAGTGGGCTTCAGTGGCAGGACAACCTCCTAATCTTATTGGCACCAGGTTAGCCTGCTCTCCCTGCAGAGAATTTTTAATGGGAGGTGTTTGGTGTTTTGGAAAGGCTTGCAGCTTTGTGGCTGCCTCTTTAATCAGTTTTACTTTGAGGTTATAAGCCTGGCTTTTTTTTTTTTCTCCTCAAATGAGTCTTGCTCTGTCACCAGGCTAGAGTGCAGTGTCATGATCTCAGCTCACTGCAACCTCCGACTCCCTGGTTCAAGCAATTCTGCCTCAGCCTCCTGAGTAGCTGGGATTACAGGGATGTGCCATCATGCCCAGCTAATTTTTGTATTTTTAGTGGAGATGAGGTTTCACCATGTTGGCCAGAGCCTGGCTTTTTAAACTGCAAGACTGCAAACTGTGGGAATCCTCCCACTTAAATTGCAAGATGTTGGCTGATATAGTTTGGATGTTTGTCCCCTCCAAATCTCATTGAAATGTAACCCCCAGTGTTGGAGGGGGAGCCTGGCAGGAGGTATTTGGGTCATGGGGGTGCATCCCTTATGAATCCCTCTCTGCAGCAGTGAGTTCACATGAGAGCTGGTTGTTTAAAAGACCCTGGAAACTCCTCCTGTCTCTTTTACTTCCTCTCTCTCCATGTGACACTCTGGCTCTGCTTCACTTTCTACCATGACTGTAAGCTCCCTGAGGTCCCCACCAAAAGCTGAGCAGATGCTGACACTATGCTTGTACAACCTGCAGAACTGTGAGCCAAATAAACCTACTTTCCTTATAAATCACCTAGTGTCAGGTATTCCTTTACAGTAATGCAGGATGGACTAACACACTGACAGAGAGTCCTTCCCTTAACAATTGGCATTTTCTTCTCTCTCTCCTTATAGTGTTAATATAATCAGGCAAATTTTATCTATCTCATTCAGACATTGCTGAAAGTGGTAAGAAGGTGCCTGCACACTGCCACTGTGTAAGACATACCTGATGTACCATCTCAGATGTGTCATCTCTGACCTCCCAGACCCTTAGTGGCTACCTCAATATCAGCTACCTCCACAGTGGCCAACCAGTCACAAGTCAAGAGTCTCTGACTTCTCTTGACACTTTGTATTGGCTTGAAATGCCAAACTGTAGGGTGTGAGATTTGGCTTCTTGGGTGTCCACTAGAGGATATGATATATCCAGAAAAATGGGGAGGGAACTTTTAATGAGGTGAACTTTGTCCCAGGAGGCAGTGGGGAGAAAGACACATACATTACCTCTCTTTCCTGCTTCCATCCGATGCTTCCAAGCCACAATTTCGTCATATAGCCTGACTGGGGAAGTCCCCATTGCTTAGTAGATGTACTTACCTAGATACCAGCAATGTATCTGTGACTGTTTATGCTGCAGTCACAGCCATGGAAATTGAGTACCTTGAGTATTCTTTCCTAAGCTTCTCTCACTTTGCTTTTCCTTCTCTCTGTACTGGGATTCTACTTCTCAAATAAAGTAGCAGAACCCAATCCCTGTCTAATTTTGTTTTCTAGATAAGCCTAGAAAGCCCTAGCATTGTGATTTTTTTTTCTTACCATTTCCCATACAACAGAAGACCTGGTTTGACAACTGGTCTGCAGCCCAAAGTGTGGTCATTAGAAGTTTGACCAAATGGTTTGCCATTTCATAGCAAAGATCATTGGCTTTTTAGCCAGCAAAATATGGGCCCTCAATTCTCAAGGACCCTTTAAGCCTCTCCTCAGCCAAAGGGATGGCTACATTATTTGCAAGACCCCCTCATTCAAAAAGTGGGGGAGGCCAGGCATGGTGGCTCACACCTGTAATCCCAGCACTTTAGGAGGCCGAGGCAGGTGGAACACCTGAGGTCAGGAGTTTGAGACCATCCTGGCCAAGATGGTGAAACCCCATCTTTACTGAAAATACAAAAAAATTAGCTGAGCATGATGGCGGGAGCCTGTAATCTCAGCTACTCAGGAGGCCGAGACAGAGAATTGCTTGAACCCAGGAGGTGGAGACTGCAGTGAGCTGAGATTGTGCCGCTGCATTCCAGCCTGGTGACAGAGTGAGACTCCACGTCAAAAAAAAAAAAAAAAAAAAAAAAAATTAGCTGGGTGTGGTGGTGCACACCTGTAATCCCAACCACTGGGGAGGTGGAGACAGGAGAATTATTTGAACCCAGGAGGTGGAGGTTGCAGTGAGCCAAGATTGTGCCACTACACTCCAACTTGGGTGACAGAGCAAGACTCTGTCACAAAAAAAAAAAAAAAGAAAAAGTGGGGGAAAATGCTGTTAAAAACACTAAAATGCAAGGCTTTTGTCTTTCTTGCATAGTCTTTGTCATGACATGCAATGCTGGTTGTAAATGCCAATATAGGAAAATTTAACTTATTTATGTGGAGTCTCTGTAATGACACCATTTGGATTTCATTGCTTGTATATATTTTTGTGTTTCCTTCTTACCATAACAGTAGAAATGCAGAACAATAGCAATCCAACTGTTTTTAATTTACTTCTACTTCTATGAGTACTCTGTCCTTTTGCCTTCCTGATGAGTAAAGAAGGACTGAAGGAAAAGGACCTATCAGTTGCCCTATATTTCCTTTTCATTCTATGTGTTAACTATCTCAAGTTGTCATAACCAAATATCATAGACTGGACAGCTTAAACAACAGAAATTGATTTTCTTACAGTTCTGGAGGCTGGAAGTCTGAGATTGGATGCTAGCATAGTAGGGCTCTGTTGTGGGCTCTCTTCCTGGCTTGCAAGACAGCCACCTTCTCACTGTGTCCTTACATGGTGGTGAGAAAGAGAGAGATATTTCTGTCTTCCTCTTGTTACTGCGGTCTCTTCTTAACAGATCACAATCCTGTTAATGACGAACTTCCCCTCCACCCCTTTCCCAGTCCATGGCCTCATTTAACCTTAATTACCTCTTAAAGACCCTGTCTTCAGATGCAGTCACATTAGAGGTTAGGACTTCAACACAGGACTTTTGGGAGGGACACAATTCAATCTACAGCTCTCTGTGTCACCATTTCAGCATAAACCTAAGTGGTAAGCTATTACAGGAAGGTAACATGAATAAGAAATGAAATAATAGAGATCCTTGGTCATTGAGTTTTCTCAAAATGCATTGCCTTGTTTCCGCATCCAAAGCAAATTCTGGTTTGAATAGAAAGAGTGGCCTTTTGGAGCTTTCATTGCCTCCCTCTCATCCCACTTATCCAGTCTGAGATATAGTACATTTACCTTGTGCATCGTGCATGTCTTCCTGAACGTCCGTGCATTATGGACCCATTGGAATCTCGTGCTCATGGGGGCATTGTGAACATTATATACAAATGAGAGGCAAAGAAAAACAGACACACTCATTATGTCTATTTCCCCTGATCATATGCATGCTCCATTGTCTCACTGGACTTCACTTATACTACCATAAATTCAAATATCAAATTATTAGAAATTTCAAGACAAGGATAGCAGAGCATTGAATGAAATATCAGACCCTTTGAAGCCCCACGAAGCCAGTCCTGCCCAGCCAATTCAACAAAATCTATTTAGGTGCTGTTACTTGCTGTGCCACCTTTTTGAGGTTATGTTTGGCAGCATGTGGCAGAACATGCTAACCAAAGGTTGCTTAAACGTGGAGGACATCTTATATAACAGGAAGTTCAAGGTGGACAGTTCAGCCTGGTGTGATGCCTCCACAAGGTCATCATGAAATCAGTGTATTTCCATCACTTCATGCCACCATTTCTAGACTGGTTTTCTACCTCCCCGTGACAAGGTGGCCCCTTCCCTTCTGGGCATCAAAACTGCAAGTGAGGCAGAAAAGATACAGAGAGAAAAAAAAAGACAAAAGGCCATAGAAAGTAGCCATTTCCTCTGTCTCCTAAAAAAGCTTTAATTTATTTTTTATTTTTAGAAACTCCAACTGGCAACTTCTACTTACTTCCTGTTAGTTATGATTGTGTTAATTGGCCATACTTTGCTACAAGGAAAGCTAGGCTATTTAGTATTTTTAACAGAGGTCTCTAAACAAAATCAGGATTCTATTGGCAAGGAAGAAGGGCAGGATGGATAATGAGTAGGAGACAAGTAGTATCTGTCTATTAAACAATCCCAAAATTTAGCAGCTTGCAACAACAACCATTTTATGATGCTCCTGGAATCCACAGGTCTGAAATTCAGACATGGCACCATGGGTCTGGCTTATCTTGGCTCCACACTGTCTGGGGCCTCAAGCTGGGAAGACTGAAATACCCAAGGGTGACTGCAGCAGTTGGAAGATCGAACTCTTTGGAATTCCCAGTTGGGATGGAATGACTCAAAGCTGGCCTTGTCTAGGACTGCCAACTGGACAGAGAGCCAGTCTGTGTAGCTCGCTGTGTGGTTTGGGTTTCTCTCAGTATGGAAGCTGGGTTCTGAGAGAAAATGCTCTGAAAGACTTGGCCAGAAACTGGATGACGTTTTCTGATATTGCCTGTGAGTTTGTGTATGTTATCAGTTATAAGGGAGTCACTAGTCCAGACCAGGTTCAAGGGAAGGGGAACTTCACCACTGTTGAGTAGGTGGCAAGGTCACATTGCAGAGGACAGCATGTGGAGTGGAAGATATTGTGGCAGCCGTCTGCCACAGTCAGCTATAAGGTTCAAGGATCAATGAGGTGCTTATAAAGGCACATTATTGTCTGTGCTTTTATGTGATTCTGATCTATCTCTGGAGGGAAAAGCAGAGCTGGGATGGAAATGAGGTTTTTTAATTTAAAATAGAATTTTTTACATGATCAGAAAATAAAATGCCCAGTGTATAACTAACTACTTTTTAGGTTCTTTTTTTGTTTGTTTTCATAAAATTTTAAAACTTTACATATTGTAATCATTAGTTTTGGTTTGTATAGTTGTACTAGTTTTAACATTTGGGTAAATTCTTGTTGCCACTACTACTGTCCCACAGAATTCTCTTATACTGCCCTGGGATTTAGACCCTCTCCCACTTCTCATTCCCGACATTTAGACCCTCTCCCACTTCTCATTCTCAACAACCTCTTATCTCTAGGTAAAAATTTCTTTATTTAGTGGTGTTCAAAATGAGTCATACATATCACAGAGGGTACATGAGATGATGCAAAGAGGAGAACAGAAATCAAAATTTATATTTTTTATCTTATATGTTTACATTTTAATTTTTGTTTATATTTTAAAATGCACATAATATATTAGCACTGTGGCACACACATAATTTGTAAATAAATAAACATATATTGGCAAGGTTCTTCAAAACTGATTACTGATAAAAATAAGTGATCAAACAAATTTTAAGACTATGGACTTAGATTAGTACCAAAACCAATATCCTCTGGGGTGAAAGTGGCATGGTTGGTTACGTCTGGACTTTTCCTTAGCCAAAAGGACTAGTGAATGAAGGACAAGGCTATGGCAAAAGTATAGCTTTCTGGCCGGGCACGGTGGCTCATGCCTGTAATCCCAGCACTTTGGGAGGCTGAGGTGGGCAGATCACGAGGTCAGGAGATTGAGACCATCCTGGCTAACACGGTGAAACCCCGTCTCTACTAAAAATACAAAAAAATTGGCTGGGCGTGGTAGTGGGCGCCTGTAGTCCTAGCTACTCAGAAGGCTCAGGCAGGAGAATAGCGTGAACCCAGGAGGCAGAGCTTGCAGTGAGCTGAGATCGCGCTACTGCATTCCAGCCTGGGCAACAGCGCAAGACTCCGTCTCAAAAAAAAAAAAAAAAAAAAAGTATAGCTTTCTGAGTTGGAATTCTGATTCTCCAAATGAGGCTGTAAAAGATTCTGCAATTACTTACTGTAGTTTTGCCCTGCTAGATTGTTTGCTCCATGGAAACATGGGCCATTTCTGTCATTCATTCAAGTTTATGCCTGGCATGGTTGTAGGATCTGCGAACACAGGAGTGAGCAAGACAGTCAACATCTTGGCTCCCTGAAGTGTACTTTCAAGAGCAAGAATGAAATACTAAACAAGTAAATAAATAAATTAAGAATTTTTCAGATCGTGCTAGGTTCTATTAAGAAATAAAGATGGGCTGGGAGTGGTGGCTCACGCCTGTTATCCTAGCATTTTGGGAGGCTGAGGCGGGCAGATCACCTGAGGTCAGGAGTTCGAGAGTAGCCTGGCCAACATGGCAAAACCCTGTCTTTACTAAAAATACAAAAATTAGCCAGGCATGGTGGTGGGTGCCTGTAATCCCAGCTACCTGAGAGGCTGAGGGAAGGAGAATTGCTTGAACCAGGGAGGCAGAGCTTGCAATGAGCCGAGATTGTGCCACTGCACTCCAGCCTGGGTGTGCAGCGAGACTCCATCTCAAAAAAACAAAACAAACAAACAAACAAAAAAAGAAATAAAGAAGGTCACGGGATACATGGGTACAAATCAGATTAGATATCCATGGAAGATCTCTCTCAGAAATTCACATTTGAGTTGAAACCTGAATGATAACACAGGGTCAGCCGTATAAATATTACATAGGTTTGATAATTTGATAGGAGATGGGAATAATGCATGGATTTTTATTTGTTTTATTGATTGATTTTTTTTTTCTTTGAGACAGAGTTTCACTGTTGTCACCCAGGCTGGAGTGCAATGGCACGTTCTTGGCTCACTGCAACCTCCACCTCTGGGGTTCAAGCGACTCTCTGCCTCAGCCTCCTGAGTTGCTGGGATTATAGGCACACACCACCACACCCTGCTAATTTTTGTATTTTTAGTAGAGATGGGGTTTCACCATGTTGGCCAAGCTGGTCTTGATTTCTGACCTCAGGTGATCTGCCCTCCTCAGCCTTCCAAAGTGCTGGGATTACAGGCATGAGCCACCGCACCAGGCCCTGATTGATTTTTTTTTTTAAATATACACAACTGAAAAGTTATGACAAATCTTACAGAAAGTCTCCATGTGCAGAAATATGCGAATCAGTAGAGGAGAATGAGCAGTGGCATAGTGTGTAGACAGAGAGGGCATGAAACTGCTGTGTAGGCTTTACCATGGCCCCAGTATAGTGGGAAGGTGTCCAACATTGTTCACCCCCTTCTAAAAGGGACCTGGAAGTAACTGATGAAGAGGACTTAAGGTCACTACATGGATGACTCTGTGACCTGGGTGGCTTGATCACTGGAGACCAGATGGGAACTCATGTCTCAATGGATGCCATTGTGGCATCCACATGATTCTATACCTGAGCTTGTGTCCACAAATGTTCTATTCATTCCCCTGGGCAGTGAGGATAAAATGGTAAATGAGCCTTTCCTCTTGATAGAATTTGGATATTTGTCCCTGCCAAAATCTCATGCTGAGTTGTAATCCCCAGTGTTGTGGGTGGGGCCTGGTGGGAGGTGATTGGAACATAGGGGAAGATCTCTCATGGCTTGGTGCTGTCCTCAAGATGGTGAGTCATGAGATCTGGTCATTTAAACACATATGGCACCTCCCTCCTCCCACTCTCTTTCCCTCTCTTGCTCCCGTTCTCACCATGTGAAGTGTCTGCTCCTGCTTCACCTTGTCATGAGTAAGAGCTCCCAGACGCCTCCCCAGAATCTAAACAGATATCAGCACCATGCTTCCTGTACATATAGCCTGCAGAACCGTGAGCCAATTAAACCTCTTTTCTTTATAAATTACCCAATCTCAGATATTTCTTTAAAGCAAGGCGAGAACGGTGTAACACATTCCTGTTAGCCTTTCTAGTTTTCTTCTTATTGCAGAGACTCAACACTTTCTTGCATGTTAGTTTGAGACCTACAGGAAGCAGATACAGAGCCAGGAAGAATTAAAAATACAAAAGAGAGGTGAAGCCCAGGAAGATAAACGAGAAGAGGGTGTAGAAAAAGTCAGAGAAAGTCCTCAGACCATGATGCAGTTCTGATAGCTGTGAATGAAGTGGGGAGAGGAACACTGGGTTTGTAGATCCTCAGACTTCAGCGCAACTCTGAGAAAGTCTCAGCCCAAAGGGGAGCTGTAGGCAGTGATTACTTTTTAGAAGTACTCTGTGATAAGCAGAAATTGCCAGGTTCTAGAGACCCACTGTGCTTAGGGAGAGCATGTCCATGGTCCAAACCCTTCAGTAGATCACAAAGGCGATGCGGCTGGGGTCTTTCAGTTAATTGCACTTTTCACAGCAGGTTCTTCTTGAAAGGGGAGCTGAGTGGCACATTTCCATGGCTGCTGTGCCTTGTCCTTGGCAAGCATCCCCCTTGCCAGCTTCTGAGCATATTTTTATATGGAGAATGCCACCCCTGGGCCCCCGCTCCTCCTCCAAATTAATTTAATGAGCTCCTTACAAAGGAAGCATGGAGCAGTTTTGTTCCTATTGATACTCTTTTCAAGGTATGTCATTAATTACCAAGACAAAATTCATGGCCATTAACTTTTGTTAGTGAATTAAGATGTGTGTGTGTGTGTGTGTATGTGTTTGGTTTGGAATCCCAGTGGGTGGAGATTCTGACTATGAACTCAGCAAATATAGACTGTGATTAATGTGAATGGCTGGCAACTTCTGTGATGGGAGCTTAGGGCCAAAGATGGTAAAGGGAAATAGATGCATGTGCTGTAGGGGACAGCGGGAATGAAGGCACCTGGGATCACCTGGAAGTGTTTACATTCTTGGGAGTTAAGCAAATAGGAAGAGAGTTAGGGTTGGGGTTAGTGTTAGAGTCTTGTAGCTGGACCGAGCCTGTGGAAGGAAGCAAACTAGCCTGGGTTGTGGATCAGGAATAGTGGCATGTCCTTAACCTCTTCCCAGAAACCATCACCCATTCTGGAGTACAGCACACATGCCTCTCCTATGTGTCCAGGTAAACTCTCCCTGTTGCAAATGTTTCTTAAAGTTACTGCATTCTCAAGATGCACTCTTAGTTCCTGATTACTCTGGTTTGACTTTCTTTTTGTCTTTCCTTTCCCTTGAAATCAATGGTCAAGTTATTACTTACTCTTTTCTCCTTCTTCAGATGCCATTAGTGATTCTCTGAAGCAACACATGCTTGACCCAATGGTGACCAGAAGTTTCCAACCAGCTTTCTGACCTTGCTTGAGAAGTATAGAGATTTTTCAAATAGTGTGAGATAAGTCACCAGGGTGGCACTGGAAAGGAAAAAGAAAGGTAGAAAATAAATTGAGTTTGAACGATGGCAAAACAAATGTCATGTTAACTCAGGCATTCAATATATAGAAGAAGTTGTCTGATTCTTTGGTAATTAAACTTTAAAGAGAGTCTTGTCTGGCCCGAAGTAAACAAACATAATGATCTTTCACCCACAATAGGACTAGTGCATGTGATTTCTCACTGAGACTTTTAGTTTTAAGCTGTCATTAAGTCCTGAGCAGGGAAATTTGGTTCCTGTTTAATTCATCTTGTATTGGAAGAGAGTGGGAGTGATTTGGAAGGGAATGTTAGTGTTTGCAGTAATAAGGGATGGGTCTGAGCTAGGTTGGGATACTGCTAAAAGGAAGATAAATCATAGAATTAGAGCTGTTAACAATCTTAGATAGCATCTACTTCAACCTTTCATTTAGCAGATGGGGAACCTGAGACTCAGAGAAACTAAGCAGAAAAACATTGGGATCAAAAGATCGAGGTTCAAGTACCAACTATGACTGAAACAATCTCTGTGAATTAGGTAAATAACTTTGATACCAGCACCCTTCCCCTATGACCTGGCCTTCCTGGGTTGTGGAAGCAATGTGGAATACTCAAAAGCCAAATGTGACTTCCAGAACAAAATTCCTAATACTTGTTGGCATTTTGAATGTAAACATAGATGAAGGTTAAGGCTCCCTTTCATGTCACAATATCCCTTGTTGTCCAGTCCTTCGGATTCCCATCACAACCCTCATCACCTAAAACACAGTTCTAATGAGAGCCAGGCAGAGGAAAATTTCAGATTCGATCATTATTCTTGCTTGAAAATGTTTCTCTGAATGTTCTCATTTGGTGATTCTTGGATGTCGATACACATAGATCAATTAACATTTGAAGGCTTCTATCTGGATTCTTGGCTTTTAAATCCTAAGTTCTTCCCCCACATCTACATCTAATACCAATATGTAGGACTACATACCAAATATTGGGATGATAAAAAAAATTAGATTCACTATGAAGAAGGTAATGTATCATGAAAGAATGGGAAACATATTAGATTGATAACAGCATCATGGGAAACAAAAAAGAGGGACAGCAGCCTAGTACAGAATGACCTTGGACCTTCTACTCTGTAAGGACAACAACTGCTGCTTATCTCAATGACATTAAAATCCTCAGAATTTTAAGCTTCTTCTGCATACATAACCTCTTGTTACATTTCTTCATTTCCTAGATGGCAACCACCTCCATATTGTCTCTTAAGAATGTTGGGAGGATCAAATTAAGTGGTGTCAAGACACGAATGCCATCACCATTCCTATTCAACATAGCATTGAAGTCCTAGCCAGAGCAATCAGGCAAGAGAAAGAAATAAAGCCCATTCAGATACGAAGAGAGGAAGTGAAACTATCTCTATTTGTAGATGACACGATTCTATATCTAGAAAACCCCATAGTCTTGGCCCAAAAGGTCCTTCAGTTGATAAACAACTTCAGCAAAGTTTCAGGATACAAAATCAATGTACAAAAATCACTAGCATTCCTGTATACCAACAACAGCCAAACCTAGAGTCAAATCAAAAAGGCAATCCCATTCAGAATTGCTGCAAAAAGAATAAAATACCTAGGAATACAGCTAACCAGGGAGGTTATAGATCTCTATGATGAGAATTACAAAACACTGCTCAAAGAAATTAGAGATGACACAAGCAAATGGAAAAACATTCTATGCTCATGGGTAGGAAGAATCAATAGCATTAAAATGGGCATACTGCCCAAAGCAATTTACATATTCAATGCCATTCCTATTAAATTACCAATGACATTCTTCACAGAACTAGAAAAAACTATTTTAAAATTCACATAGTACCAAAAACCAGCCCGAATAACAAAGGCAATCCTAAGCAAAAAGAAAGAAGCTGGAGGCATCATGTTACCTGAGTTCAAACTATACTACAGGGCTACAGTAGCTAAAGCATCATGATACTGGTACAAAAACAGGCACACAGACCAATGAAACAGAATAGAGAACCCAGAAATAAGGCCACACACCTATGACCACCTGATCTTTGACAAAGCTGACAAAAACAAGCAATGGGGAAAAGACTCTCTAGTCAATAAATGGTGCTGGGATAACTGGCTAACCATAACTGAAGCTGGACCTCTTTCTTACACCATATCCCAAAATAAACTCAAGATGGATTAAAGACTGAAGTGTAAAACCCCCAGACTATAAAAACCCTGAAAGACAATCTAGGCAGTACCATCCTGGACAGAGAAACAGGTAAAAATTTTGACAAAGACACTGAAAGCAATCAGAAGAAGAGCAAAAATTGACAAGTGGAATTGAATTAAACTTAAGAGCTTCTGCACCACAAAAGAAACTATCAACAGAGTTAGCAGACAACCTACAGAATGGGAGAAAATATTTGCAAATTATGCATTGGACAAAGGTCTAATATCCAACATCTATTAATATAAGGAACTTAAGCAAATTTATAAGAGAAAAACAACCCCATTAAAAAGTAGGCAAAGGATATGAACACTTTTCAGAAGACATATATGCGACCAATAAACATATGAAAAAACCTCAATATCACTGATCATTAGATAAAATGCAAATCAGAACTACAATGAGATACCATCTCACACCAGTCAGAAATGCCACTATTAAAAAGTCAAAAAATAACAGATGCTGGCGAGGTTGCAGAGAAAAGGAAACATACACTGTTGGTTGGGAATGTAAATTAGTTCAACCATTGTGGGTAGCAGTATGGCATTTCTTCAAAGAGCTAAAAGCAGAACTACCATTCGACCTAGTAATCCTGTTAATGGGTATATATCCAGAGGAATATACATCATTCTACCATAAAGACACATTCATGCAAATGTTCATGCAGCACTATTCACAACAGCAAAGTCATGGAATCAAGGTAAATGCCTATCAATGATAGATTGGATAAAGAAAATGTGGTACATATACACCATGGAATACCACACAGCCATAAAAAGAATGAGATCCTGTCTTTTGTGGGAACACGGATCAAGCTGGAGGCTATTATCCTCAGCAAACTGACACAGAAACAAAAAACCAAATACTGCGTGTTCTCACTTATAAGTGGGAGCTAAATAATGAGAACTTATGAACACAAAGAAGGAAACAACAGAAACTGGGGTCTACTTCAGGGTGGAGGGTTGGAGGAGGGAGAGGAGCAGAAGGGATAACTATCAGGTACTGGGTTTAATTCCTGGGTGATGAAATAATCTGTATAAGGAACCCCTGTGATATGGTTTGACTCTGTGTCCCCACCCAAATCTCATCTCTAATTGTAATTCAAATTGTAATCCCCATGTGTCAAGGGAGGGACCTGGTGGGAGGTGATTGGATCATGGGGGTGGTCTCCCCCATGCTGTTCTCATGATAGTGAGTGAGTTCTCGTGAGATCTGATGGTTTTATAAATGGTGGTTTCCCCTGCTCTCTCCTCTCTCCTGTCACCTTGTGAAGAAGTTGCCTGCTTTCCCTTTACCTTCCACCATGATTGTAAGTTTCCTGAGGCCTCCCCAGACATGTAGAACTGTGAGTAAATTAAACTTCTTTTGTTTATAAATTACCCAGTCTCATTTATTCTTTATAGTAGTGTGAAAACGGACTAATACACCCCATAACATGAGTTTACTTATGTAACAAACCTTCACATATACCCCAAAACCTAAAATACAAGTTAAAAAAATTAAATGGTGGCTTTATAAGGTTTGAAAGTGCTATTAAAATATTAAATGGTTTACTAGCTATAATAGTTTGTAGCATTGTTTAGACTGGAACTGGGGATTCCTGACAGCTAATTTAGCTTCTTTTCATAGTTCTGGAGAGAAAGTTGTGACTAACAGCAAGAAGTAGAGAAGATAACTAATGTTTGGACACAAAAGGAAGCCAGCACAAGCACCATCACATCCTTCTTGGAAAGACAATTAAAAATTTTACCATATACTCATGGAGTGTTATTCAAGTCGTAGTTCAGGGCTTAGAAAGCAAAGGATTCTGTGGTCTAAAGGGGAAGGACAGTAGTCAAGCTGAGCTGTTTCTTTTTTCTTTTCTTTCTTTTTCTTTTTTATTTTCTGAGACAGAGTCTTGCTGTCTTGCCCAGGCTGGAGTGCAGTGGCATGACCTTGGCTCACTGCAACTTCTGCCCCCCAGATTTAAGTAATTCTCCTGCCTCAGCCTCCAAAGTAGCTGGGATTACAGGCACACACCACCATGCATGGCTAATTTTTGTATTTGTAGTAGAGACGGGTTTCTACTACAGGCTGGTTGGTGAACTCCTGACCTCGTGATCCACCTGTCTGTTTCTTTTGAGTGGAGATGTTCACCAAGTCTAGGTGCAGAGCTGATTTATTTCTCCTCTTTCTCCCAAGTGAAGGCGAGATGGGGGAGATCAGGGAGTAACTTAAAGGCTGGGGATTTTAAAGTATGGATATTCTTAGATGGAGCTTAAAGATTTTCTGAGAACAGGGAGCAAGAATAACCTGCAGAAGAAAAACAACAGCCTAGGAAATTGGTCTCATTCCTAATGCCTTTGTGCTAAGTAATATTTCCTCAACTATCATTCAGATAGTATCATATTTCATTTTTCCGCTTCAACCTCCTAATTCTTTAGAGAGGACCCTGGAAATCCATTTGCCTTTCTTGGAGATGGAACCCAGGACGTGCTCATTATTATTATTATCATCATCACTGAAGATAAAAGAAATCTATCAATTTCACTATTTCCTGCTGCGTACGTAATAACTCAAGCTCTGTCTTGGTCATCTACTTTAAGGGACAATATAATGGCATTACTGGCAGTTACTTATATCCACTCACTTGGAAGCTAGCAGCTCTTGATTCAGTTTCAATAGATCAAATTCTATTCGAGAAAGTTATGAGAACAATGATTATTTCTTTTGGGAGTTTGGGAGTCTTTATCTCTACACAAGTGGGTCTAAAAAGTTCATTGCTCTGTGAGTACCAGTTTTCTTCTGGGGAATGTCATGTGAGTTTTGAATGGTACTCTATCTTATAAAACTTTAGCAAAGTATTTTTAGTCATTATGTAATGACCCAAAGGCATGCCAAAAATTGATCTGCCCCATGTTTCCTTATTTGGAACTGTGAGAGCACAGTTCTCACATCATGATTTCACCTCCCGAAGTTCATTCACCCCACACTCACTGACTACCTTCTGTATGCAAGACACCAGGTCCAGTGATGAGTGTACAAAATAAATAAGATGTTTTCTTCACATTTGAGCATGTCTAACAGGTAACCAAGAGTCAATTCTTTTCTTCAGGAAATAACCAGTGTTTTTATGTATGACGCTATACTCCCAGAAATCTTGTGTTAATATTTGGCTGCTTATCAATGCCTTTAAGTCATTTTTAAGTATCCAGACAGAATGATGCTAGATTGTGTCTGTTTGTGTGCCATCTGGGTATAGCTATTGAATCTAGAGGCCTGCAATGAGTAGTTGAGTGCGTATAACATTATGTGGTGAATACTATCAGAGATTGATATGGTTTGGCTGTGTCTCCACTCAAATATCAGCTTGAGTTGTATCTCCCAGAATTCCCATGTATTGTGGGAGGGACCCGGGGGAGGTAATTGAATCATGGGGGCCAGTCTTTCCCATGCTATTCTCATGATAGTGAATAAGTCTCACGAGATCTGATGGGTTTATTAGGGGTTTCTGCTTTTGCTTCTTCCTCATTTTCTCTTGCCACCACCATGTAAGAAGTGCCTTTCACCTCCCACCATGATTCTGAGGCTTCCTCAGCCATCTGGGAGGAAACCTCTTTTTCTTCCCAATCTCAGGTATGTCTTTATCAGCAGCATGAAAACAGACTAATACAGAGATATATCTACAAAGACCTATGGAAGCACAGAAGACAGTTTGTTAATAGATGAAGTAATAGTTGATCCTGGCCCTAAAAGGTGAGTTATATTTTTCCAAGTAAAAATGTGGATAAAGGTATCCAGGGACAAACAGCCTGTGTGAAAGTACAGAAGGGTGAGAGTATAGCACATTTGTGCATTTCCATAGTTGATGTAGCTGTAACATAGGATAGTGGGAGGAGCTGGCACTGGTTGAGTAGGCTGGGCCAGTTTGTGGAGAGGATGCTATTTCTATATTAATCTGTCACTGTCTTATTCAATCTATTCATACCTTTTTGGTTGATGAGCAAATTAAGGAATTTTTATGATCTTGTTCAAATTCCTCTTCTGGTATTGTAACTTAAAACAAACATGGTTCTAAGTTTCAGTGTGTTTGAAATTTCAGATAGAACCTGACTTCCCCACTCTGTTTTCCACCCTCCACCTCAATACCATAGAAACTCTTTTTACAATGCCTGTCACATGCTATTCAAAATTGTTTTCATTTACTCATGGGCACTGCTTTTGTCAGGAATCACAGTTCAAGTTAAAATTGTATCCTATAAATTAAAGTACCAAAGCAGGAAAAATTAATAAACTTACCAAATTCTTTACTTACAGCCTTTTCTACTTAATGACCATAAGTTGAAATAAAAGTTATCAAAATATTGTTAAACAGGATTTGAGGAATCAGGTTAAAACAAGACTGATGACACATGTAGAGAAATTCTTCAAAGGGAAGTGCTGTTTCCTAACCAAACCTGGAAAAGCCCTACCCCAATTCTTGTTTGCCACGATGCTAAAAAGGTGTTGTGCCTTTATTCTCACTGGTTTCAAAGAACATCTTTATTTCTGCCTGAATTTCGTTATTTACCCAGTAGTCATTCAGGAACAGGTTGTTCAGTTTCCATGTAGTTGTGCAGTTTTGAGTGAGTTTCTTAATCCTGACAGCTTCTAATTTGATTGCACTCTGGTCTGAGAGACTGTTACGATTTCTGTTCTTTTGCATTTGCTGAGGAGTGTTTTATTTCCAATTATGTGGTCAATTTTAGAATAACTTCAATGTGGTGCTGAGAAGAATGTATATTCTGTTGATTTGGGGTGGAGAGTTCTGTAGATGTCTATTAGGTCCGCTTCATCCAGAGCTGAGTTCAAGTCCTGACTATCCTTGTTAATTTTCTGTGTTGTTGATCTAATAGTGACAGTGGGGTTTTAAAGTCTCTAACTATTATTGTGTGGGAGCATAAGTCTCATTGTAGGTCTCTAAGAACCTGTTTTATGCATCTGGGTGCTCCTGTATTGGGTGCATATATATTTAGGATAGTTAGCTCTTCTTGTTGCATTGATCCCTTTACCATTATGTAATGCCCTTCTTTGTCCTTTTTTGATCTCTGTTGGTTTAAAGTCTGTTTTACCAGAGACTAGGATTGCAACCACGGCTTTTTTTTGGCTTTCCATTTGCTTGGTAAATATTCCTTCATCCCTTTATTTTGAGCCTATTTGTGTCTTTGCACATGAGATGGGTCTCTTGAATACAGCACACCAATGGGTCTTGGCTCTTTATCCAATTTGCCAGTCTGTGTCTTTCAATAGGGGCATTTAGCCCATTTACAGTTAAAGGTAATATTGTTATGTGTGAATTTGATCCTGTCATTAATATGCTAGCTGATTATTTTGCCTGTTAGTTGATGCAGTTTCTTCATAGTGTCAATAGTCTTTACAATTTGGTATGTTTTTGCAGTGGCTGGTACCAGCTTTTACTTTCCATATTTAGTGATTCCTTCAGGAGCTCTTGTAAGGCAGGCCTGGGGATGAAAAAATCTCTCAGCATTTGCTTGTCTGTAAAGGATTTTATTTCTTGTTCGCTTATGAAGCTTAGTTTGGCTTGAGGAAAATTTATAGGACTAAATTCTCACAGAAGAAAGTGGGAAAGATCTAAAATGGACACCCTAACATCACAATTAAAAGAACTAGAGAAGCAAGGGCAAACAAATTCAAAAGCTAGCAGAAGACAAGTAATAACTAAGATCAGAGCAGAATTGAAGGAGATAGAGACAGGAAAAACCCTTCAAAAAGTCAATGAATCCAGGAGCTGGTTTTTCAAAATGATCAATAAAATAGACTGCTTGCCAGACTAATAAAGGAGAAAAGAGAGAAGAATCAAATAGACACAATAAAAAATGATAAGGGGGTTATCACCACTGATCCCACAGAAATACAAACTACTATCAGAGAATGATATAAACACCTCTATGCAAATAAACTGGAAAATCTAGAAGAAATGGATAAATTCTTGGACACATACACCCTCCCAAGACTAAACCAGGAAGAAGTTGAATCCCTGAATAGACCAATAACAAGTTCTGAAATTGAGGCAGTAATTAATAGCCTGCCAACCAAAAAAAGTCCAGGACCATATGGATTCACAGCCGAATTCTACCAGAGGTACAAAGAGGAGCTGGTATCATTGCTTCTGAAACTATTCCAAACAATAGAAAAATAGGGAATCCTCCCTAACTCATTTTATGAGGCCAGCATCATCCTGATACCAAAACATGGCAAAGACAGAACAAAAAAAAAGAAAAATTCAGGACAATATCCCTGATGAACATTGATGCGAAAATCCTCAATAAAATACTGGCAAACTGAATCCAGCAGCACATTGAAAAAGTTGTCCACCACAATCAAGTCTGCTTCATCCCTGGGATGCAAGGCTGGTTCAACATACACAAATCAATAAATGTAATCCACTACATAAACAGAACCAATGACAAAAACCACCTGATTATCTCAATAGATGTAGAAAAGGCCTTTGATAAAATTCAACACCCTTTCATGCTTGAAACTCTCAATAAACTAGGTATTGATGGAACTTATCTCAAAATAATAAGAGCTATTTATGTCAAACCCACAGCCAATATCATACTGAATGGGCAAAAGCTGGAATAATTCCCTTTGAAAACTTGTACAAGATAAGGATGCCCTCTCTCATCACTCCTATTCAATATAGTATTGGAAGTTCTGGCCAGGGCAATCAGGCAAGAGAAAGAAATAAAGGGTATTCCAATAGGAAGAGAGGAAGTCAAATTGTCTGTGTTTGCAGATGACATGATTGTATATTTAGAAAACCCCATTGTCTCATCCCAAAATCTCCTTAAGCTGATAAGCAACTTCAGCAAAGTCTCAGGATAAAAAATCAATGTGCAAAAATCACAAGCATTCCTATCCACCAACAATAGACAAACAGAGAGCCAAATCATGAGTGAACTCCCATTCACAATTGTTACAAAGAGAATAAAATATCTAGGAATACAACTAACAAGGGATGTGAAGGACCTCTTCAAGGAGAACTACAAACCACTGCTCAAGGAAATAAGAGAGGACACAAACAAGTGGAAAAACATTCCATGCTCATGAATAGGAAGAACCAATATTGTGAAAATGGCCATACTGCCTAAAGTAATTTATAGATTCAATGCTATCCCCATCAAGCTATGTGAACAGATACTTCTCAAAAGAAGACATTTATGTGGCTAACAAACATATGAAAAAAGGCTCATCATTACTGGTCCTTAGAGAATTGCAAATCAAAACCACAATGAGATACCATCTCATGCCAGTTAGAATGATGATCATTAAAAAGTCAGGCAACAACAAATGCTGGAGAGGATGTGGAGAAATAGGAATACTTTTACACTGTTGGTGGGAGTGTAAATTAGTTCAACCATTGTGGAAGACAGTGTGGGGATTCCTCAAGGATCTAGAACCAGAAATACCACCTGACCCAGCAATCCCATTACTGGGTACATACCCAAAGGATTATAAATCATTCTACTATAAAGACACATGCACATGTATGTTTATTGCAGCACTCTTCAGAATAGCAAAGACTGAGAACCAACCCAAATGCCCATCAATAGTAGACTGGATAAAGAAAATGTGGCACCTGTACACCATGAAATACTATGCAGTCATAAAAAAGGATGAGTTCATGTTCTTTGCAGGGACATGGTTGGAGCTGGAAACCGTCATTCTCAGCAGACTAACACAGGAACAGAAAACCAAACACCATGTGTTCTCGCTCTTAAGTGCAAGTTGAACCATGAGAACATATGGACACAGGGAGTGTAACATCACACACCAGGGCCTGTTGAGCAGTGGGGGGCTAGAGGAGGGAAAGCATTAGGAGAAATACCTAATGTAGATGATGGGTTGATGGGTGCAACAAACCACCATGGCACGTGTATACCTATGTAACAAACCTGCACATTCTGCATATGTATCCCAGAACTTAAAGTATATTAAAAAAAATGTGTGTGCCTCTGACATGGGTACAGTATTTTCAGTGAAATGCATGTTTAGCTTTTTAACGCATGTCTGTTTAGTCTTTGCTAAACATGTCAGCCATTTGCAGGATTAATAAGCAAATTTGCTTGTTTATTTCTCTTCACATTGTGTAAATGCACATTCAAGTTATATATAACATGTTTATTCACATGAGTTTATTGCATTTATATGATGCTTTTGTTGCAGAATAATAGTGGAGAAGATGAAAGCTAACTTCTATCTCTGTGTTGTTTATCTTCTGTTGAGGGCATGAAACTGCCATCTGTGAGAGTTGAATATCACAGCCCTCAGTTGGACTTACATAATATGCTACAATATGTAATATATAGTATACTATAACACATAATTGATACAGTTTGGATATTTGTTCCTGCCCAAATCTCATATTGAAACGTAATCCCCAATGTTAGAGGTGGGGCCTGGTGGGGGGTGATTGGATCATGGAGATAGATTCTTCACAAATGGTTTAGTACCATCCCTCTTGGTACTGTACTCATGATAGTGAGTGAGTTCTCATGAGGTCTGGTCATTTAGAAGCGTGTAGCACCCCTCTCGCTCTCTTGCTCCTGCTTTCACCATGGGACGTGCCTGTTACTCCTTAACATTCTGTCATAACTGTAAGCTTCCTGAGGCCTCCCCAGAAGCTGAGCAGATGTCAGCACCATGCTTCCTGTATAGCCTGCAAAACTGTGAGCCAATTAAACCTCTTTTCTTTATAAATCATCCATTCTCAGGTTTTCTTAATAGCAAAGCAAGAATGGACTAATACAATAATGTATTATGAATAATATATAATATACTATTAATATAATACATAATGTATAATACATACGTCATATATGAATATGACATATAATGGTATTTTATATGTCATTTAATCCAATGATGTATTGAATTGTATAATGCTATTATATGATATATTCTATATAATCATCTTTCTCTTTTCACAGCTCATCAGTGCTATTGCTGATCCTAGAGTTGACAGAGTATGGCGTTGTGGACATCCTTGGCCATATCTATTTTTGGTTTCAATTTCATTGCTGCATAAAAATGAAAGGCTCGCTTCCCCTTCTTATGCCCTATTCATTTGGTAACAATCTGAGAGTGGTTAGGTGTTCTGTTTCTGAGCCCACATACACCTAGATGTGAATTTCCTATTCTGCCACTCACTTATTCACTTATATTGATTAAATTACTTCAGTAAATGTCATTTATCTTATCTGGAAAATGAAGAATAATAACTGTTTTAGGGTGAATTACTCAACCTCTATTAAATGAAGATAATCATAATACCTATCTTATAGGAGTGCTGCAAAGAATAATTGAGACAATTTTTATAACATACTTGTCCAGTGCTTAGCATGCAGTAACTGATCAACAAATAGTAGCTGTTATTATTACCGTATATTATGGTGTTTAGTATGTTGCTATTGTTTTATTTTCTGGCATCAGGGTTAGATCATACATCATAAAACATTACAAAACAAATGGGTAGTGATCACTGAGTGCTGGTGATCACTGGATATGGTTAATTCCCTGGGTGCTGTATTGCTTTATCTACTCCTCCTATTTGACCATCTGTAAGTTGATGAACATATTGTTTCTAAATCCTTTGGAAGGAATTCACACAGTAGCAATATTACCTTACTGTTTGTGTGGGTTTGTAATGCTAACTCTCGTATGCCTCCTAAATTCCTCCTAAAAAGTTAGCTTGTGGTTCGGGTGGCTGCTAACAGATTGGTGGAGCAGCTTGGTTATTAACTAAGCCCTGAACTTAAAGGAAAGCTGGATGTTCATGGATAAAGTTAAGAAAAAACACACATTAACAGACATCACAGATCCATATGCCACTTTTTTTGTATGTCATGTATTATCTTTTTTGGTATCAAGTTTCCGAGTATTTGTCACCTTCTTTTGCTTAAGCAACTAAATATTTCAATACATTCATTATGCTTTGTCTTTACAAGGTGAGTTTCTTTTTCAGAGAACACTCAGACTTTCTATGAATGATGCTAAATCTCCTGAAGTCCCATGTTGGGATCTGCCTGCTTTCTCAATACTTTTCTCCATATGCCGCCTAACACAGCACTGAGACAGAATTATCCTTGAAAGGGTTTGTTTGCATGAATGAGAGAGAAAGAGAGAGGATACAGTTTTTGAAGCCAGAGGAGACCTTTCAAAGAGTAATCAAGCTCATCAAACTTATGGCCTTTTGCTGCTGACCCATGTGGGGCAGTCTGCTGTCACCAGAAGGAATTGGAATGTATATATCTCTAGGGGGCTGCAAAGTTTTGGAGAGAAGACCAAAGACTTTGGATGGATTCGGCTCTTCCTCTAGTAGAAGGTGACAACTTTGGGAGACAAAAAAGGAGAATAGAGAAGGAGGAAAAGGAAGAAAAGGAAGGTAGACCCTGAATACCTGTTGACACCTGTTGTCATAGATTCTATTGAAGAATAAGGTGCATTTTTTCTGCTTTGTGATTTCATAATAGCATAATAGTGATCTCTGGGGGTGGGGGGTGGGGGCGTGAAACAGTCACACTATAAAGACAAAGAAGAACATATTTAATTTGAATATTTAGTGGCTTAAGCAAAGGAAGGTGACAAATACTCAGAAACTTGGTACCAATAAGGATAATACATGACACACAAAAACAACAATATATTACCTTGCAGCATGTAGAGAATACCTCAGAGATATTATGGGATTGATTGCAGACCACAGCACTGAAGTGAATGTCACAATAAAGTGAGTCACATAAATGTTTTGGTTTTTCCAGTGCATATAAAACTTATGTTTACACAATAGTTTAATCTATTAAGTGTGCGATAGCATTATGTCTAAAAATGTACATACGTTAATTAAAAACATTTTATTGCTAAAAGATGCTGACCATCATCTGCGTTTTCAGCAAGTCATAATCTTTTTGTGGCCATAGGGTCTTGCCTCGATATGAGTGGCTCCTGACTGACCAGGTGATGGTTGCAACAGATTGGAGTAGCTGTGGCAATTTTTAAAAATAAGATGATAATGAAGTTTGCTGCAACAATTGATACTACCTTTCATGAAAGCTTTCTCTGTAGCATGTGATGCTGTTTGATAGAACTTTTTTAAAAAAATTGAAGTCAATCCTCCCAAATCCTGCCAATGCTTTATCAACTAAGTTTATATAATATTCTAAATCCCTTGTTGTCATTTCAACAATATTCACAGCATCTTCACCAGGAATAGTTTCCATCTCAAGAAACTACTTTCATTGCTCATCCATAAGAAGCAGCTCCTCATCTATCCATGTTTCATCACAAGATTACAGCAATTCAATCACATCTTCAGGCTTCACTTCTAGTTTTCTTGGTTTTTCCACCACATCTTCAGTTTCTTTTCCATGGAAGTCTTGATCTCAAAGTTATTCATGAAGGTTTGGAGCCAACTTCTTCCAAACGCCTGTTAATGTTGATATTTTGAGCTCCTCACATGAATCATGAATGTTCTTGCATGGCATGGGGGTTTGGTGTATACAGATTATGAAATGTATTTCTTAAATAATAATACTTGAGGTAGAAATTATTCCCTGATCCATGGACTGCAGAATGGATGCCTGTTAGCAGGCATGAAAATAAATTAATTTCTTTTTATATCTCAGAGTTCTTGAGTGACTAGGTACCTTGTAAATAAGCAGTAATATTTTGAAAGGAATGTTTTTCTCTGAGCAGTAGGTCTCAACAGCAGGCTTAAAACGTTCAGTAAGCCATACTGTAAACAGATATGCTGTCATCAAGCCTTTGTTGATTCATTTATAGAAGACAGGCACAGTAGATTTAGCATAATTCTTAAGGGCTCTAAGACTTTGGAATTATAAGTGATCATTAGTTTCAACTTAAAGTAACCAGCTACATTAGCCCCTAACAAGAGTCAGCCTGCCCTTTGAAGCTTTGAAGCCAGCCTAGATGATATCTTCTTTCAATATAGGGCTGCTTTGTTTACATTGAAAATATGTTGTGGCCAGGTGCAGTGGCTCACGCCTGTAATCCCAGCACTTTGGGAGGCCAAGGTGGGTGGATCACTTGAGGTCAGGAGTTTGAGACCAGCCTTGGCAACATGGTGAAACCCCGTCTCTACAAAAATACAAAAAATTAGACGGGCATGGTGGTGTGCACCTGTAGTCCCAGCTACTTGGGAGGCCGAGGCAGGAGAATCTCTTGAACCTGGGAGGCGGAGGTAACGGTGAGCCAAGATCGCTCCACTGCACTCCAGCCTGGGTGACAGAGCAAGACTCCATCTCAAAAACAGACAAACCAAAAAACAAAAACAGAAAATATATTGTTTAGTAGAGCCACCTTCATTAATGATCTGAGCTAGATCTTCTGAATAGCTTGCTGTAGCTTCCACATCAGCATTTGTTGCTTCACCTTGCACTTATGTTATGAAGATGGCTTCTTTCCTTAAACCTCATGAACAAACCTCTGTAACTTCCTAACTTTTATCTGCAGCTTTCTCACTTCTCTCATCCATCACAGAATTGAAGAGTTAGGGCATCACCCTGAATTAGGCGTTGGCTTAAGAAAATGTGGCTGGTTTGATCTATTCAGACCACTGAAACTTTCTCTATGTCAGTAATAAGGCTGTTTCACACTCTCATAATTCACGTGTTCACTGGAGTAGCTCCTCTCCCTGACTGAATGTTGCTGTCCACCTGATTCCTAAAGTTGGTGTCCCACATAACTTGAGATCTGGTCTCTCTTGTTCTGTTCAGGCCCAACAGTTTCCTTGCTCAGCGAGGCCTCTCCTTGGCTCTGAAGCATGTGATTGATACTTCTCCACTCCATCTCTGCCACATCCTCCGTCTCGACTGTGGGCCAAGCCTTTGTTGAGGAGTTACCTCACTCACCATCACAGTGGACCCCATCTCAGGCTCGTGGGATTGACGTCCACTGAAGGTGCCCTTGCTTCACAAGAACTAAGGGAGATTCAGGAGTTTTATCCCTCCTCCTCTCTCCCTGATGCTACTCCACCCTCTTAACTATGCTGACCCCGCTTAACTAGCGGTCTCCTCACAGAATCCAAAATGAGAATGATAAGAATCCTCTAAACTTGGTGCTCCCTTCAACTATTAGAAGACATTTTTTTTCCTCCCAGGCTCAATCTTGGAAAAAACTACAGGCCAATTTCCTGAGTGCTTTCTGCCATCGGTTCAGCTGGCCTCTGGCTCTGTTCTTTCCACAATTTCTTAGTCTAGAAAAGTTTGAATTATTTCTTCTCTCACCTTGTTTGATCTTTCCTTTCATGAAACTTTGTTCAGTGACTAGTCCCCCAAGTCTTGCATGGGATCAATGTTTTAAGGAGGAATCTTGAAATTTCATGATAAAATGTTTGTAAGATACTACTTCTATTAAATATATGATTTAAAAATCTCAACCAGGATTTAGCTATGTATTGTTTTCCGACTTTTCCTCATCTGACAATATATCATAGAAATTTTCCTATGTCAGAACATATAGATGAACTTCATTCTTTGTTATGGTTGTGAACTATTTTATGTAATGAACACACCATAATTAATTTAAACTTTAATTAATTTTACATTTCCCTCTAGTAATGGACATTTAGTTTATAGCTTGGATTTTAAAGAGCTCATATGTGGAACACACAGGTAGTGATGTAAATTAAGGGTGGATAACAAAGAGGGAAACAAACTTGCAAAACTATGAAGAGTCCAGTGCAGCTTGTGAACTGTGCCACAGAAAATGCAGTTTTACCTATGTCATATTTAAAGAAAGAAGAACAAGAAAAGGATGGATTCAATGCTTGGGTAGACAGTGTGCAGTTGGCTGGTTAAAGGAAAGAGAATGATTGAATATCTATTCTTCTTCCATCTCCTACATCAAGGAAATGGCCTTTAGATTGAAAAAGGCAAAAAGGCATGGTTACCAACCTGAATTTTTATAGATGTAAACACTTAGGACAGTGTCTGCAACATAGTAAGTGCTCAATAAATATGTTAAATTTTTACTTTTTTAAAGAGTTGCTGGGAATGAAAAAGGTGCTGGATGTTTAAAATGAGAAAATCACTACTTTCTAAAAAGGGGAATGAGATAAATTCTGAAAAGAACACATCAATGAAGAAGACATCAATCCCTCCCCAAATTCAGAATCAAAGTATTTAGAGATGGATTGTGAGCATTCTGGAAGGAAAATGAAATTACTGAAAACAATGAGTTGCAAATCACAGTCTGGCTAGACTAATCTAATTTCCTTTGCTTGGATTTTGTCATTGAATGATTTGATTAGAGAAATTCATTAGAAAAAAATCAAGACTTTTCTTTCTCTGAAGCAGGTTAGAGAAAACAAGGAAAAAAATCAGAATTTTAGTAAGATATTGGACGAAGTGTTCATAAGATAGGTTTTCTCATGCATTTTGTAATGCTGTACTCTCTCTGGAATGTTCTCTCTATCTCCTCGTCTGTCTGCTGATTGCCTGTCATCTGAGGTAGAATAATACTTTCGAAATAATAACCAACATTTTTCTTTTTTCCTTTCCGAACTTGGCCTTCCTTGAGTCAGATAGGTTGTGTGCAAATATTGCTGTAAGTAAGTGATGATGCATCAAAAAACAGTGAAGAAAATAGTCTGTGGTTGGCTTTGGATTTCAAGTCTGAAGTCTTCAGGGAAGCAAAAAGGACTCTTGGCTAGAAAAAAGGTTTAAAAAAACACCGTGATGTAGAAACATAAAGCTTTCCTTCCTAGAGACTAGCCTATTAACTGTACAGGCCTGGGATGAGGGAGTTAGAGCTAGAGAACGCCATACAACACCTGTGGTGTGGAATCGCTACATGACCTGTCCATTGTCCTTTGTGACTTCCTTTCAACAGCAATATGTTCCTCTGATAGCCCAGCCCAACCAGTGATGTCTGGTTGATGCCTATTGGTGCCATATGTGGACCCAGAAAATCTGAGATAGGTCTTAGTTAATTTAGAAAGTTTATTTTGCCAAGGTTGAGGACACACGCCCATGACACAGTTTCAGGAAGTCTTAATGACTTATGCTCAGGGTGGTTGGGGCACACCTTTATTTTATACATTTTAAGGAGACATGAAACATCAATCAATATATGTAAGAAGTACATTGATTCTCTCCAGAAAGGTAGGAAAACTCAAAGCAGGGATAGTTCTTCCAGGTCACAGGTACGTGAGAGACAAATGGTTGCATTCTTTTGAGTTTGTGATAAGCCTTTGCAAAGGAGGCAATGAGAATATGCATCTATCTCTGTGAGCAGAGGGATGACTTTGAATAGAATGGGAGGCAGGTTTGCCCTGAGCAGTTTCCAGCTTGAATTTTCCTTTTAGCTTAGTGATGTTGGGAGTCCAGTATATTTTCCTTTCACACATATATACTTCACCCAACTAGACAACTTCCCCTTTAACGCTTATGACTCTTATAAGCCTCAGAGCTAGAGGATAAGACATCTAGGACCTAGAGGGAAGATAATCATGTGAAATGGGCCTATATTTGGTTGAACCTACACAGAATCAATCTTTTCCATCTACACCACCCTTCCTATCAAGACTACAGTCATCATCTACTTTTGCACATTCTTGAGACAACTCAAAAAAGTGGTAGGGGAAGGGATAAGGGAAAAAAAAACACCTCATACTCTTTTTTTGAAATTTCTTCGACAATTCTGGGTAGCTTCTGGTGCTCCTTTTTGAGCTTGTTTTGGACTCCAAGTCCATTTGTATTGTAGGGTCCATAACTGCTATTTATTTCCAGCATGATCATTTCCCCATTAGACTGTGAGCCTCTTGAGGACAGAGAACAGATTCTAGTATGTTTGTATTTACTGGCACACAGTAGAGGCTAGTAAGTGTTTAGTGGGTTTAACTGAAGGTGGTGAAATGTATGGAAATACTGGAGTTCACAAATAGTAAAACATACTTCAGGAATATTGGCTACTGTATCAGTGTCAGCTTTAAACCGTCTCTCTAAGAGGTATTTCTAGGCTCTGACGTCCATTTTACTATTTTTTATTAATGACTTTGCCAGAGGTGTGTGAACTAGAGCAACTCCATCTTAAACAGGGGCTGGGTAAAATGAGGCTGAAAGCTACTGGGCTGCATTCCCAGATGGTTAAGGCGTTCTAAGTCACAGGATGAGATAAGAGGTCAGCAGAAAATACAGGTCGTAAAGACCTTCCTGATAAAACAGGTTGCAGTAAAGGAACTGGCCAAAACCCACCAAAACCAAAATGGCCACGAGAGTGATAACTGGTCGTCCTCACTGCTACACTCCTGCCAGCGCCACGACAGTTTACAAATGCCATAGCAACATGAGGAAGTTATCCTGTATGGTCTAAAAAGGGAAGGCATAAATAATCCACCCCTTGTTTAGCGTATTATCAAGAAATAACCATAAAAATGGGCAATCAGCAGCCCTCAGGGCTGCTCCGTCTATGGAGTAGCCATTCTTTAATTCCTTTACTTTCTCAATAAACTTACTTTCACTTTGCACTGCGGACTCGCCCTGAATTCTTTCTTGCGCAAGATCCAAGAACCCTCTCTTGGGCCCTGGATCAGGGTCCCTGTCCTGTAACAACTTGAATGAGAATATAACTCGTTGTTTACATTTTAGAGTGACAGGAAGCCAGAAGGTAAAGTCAATAAATTGGATAAGCGTTAGAATCCAAAGAGAGAGGAACAAGTTGAAAGTATGAACCAAATATAATTTAATTGGGAATAAATATAAAATGCTTCATTAGGTTTAAAAAATCAGCTGCATTATAGACTAGGGGAGATATATTTAAAATATGATATTTATTAAATATCTTGCTGTAGCTTTAGTTGAAAAGCTCAATATGAGACAAAATATAATGCAGGTTTTACTATATTATATATTAATGCAATTTTGCATATTATTTATAGAAATAAAAAAAGTGCACAAAGGAAAGGGTCCTACTGTCGGTCTCATTCATAAGATCATGGCTGAAATACTGGGTATAGTTCCATACATAATATTTAAAAAGTATTGCTAGAGAATTTGGAAGAAAATGTTTCTGAAAATTATGTTTTTTAGTCATTTTATTTTTACTGATGTATAATAGGTATACATAGTTTCAGGGTACATGCGATAATTTAATAATTCATATAATTTGTAAAGGTCAAGTCAGTGTACTTGGGATATCATCATCTTTAATATTTTTATTTTCTTTATGTTAGAAACATTCAAATTATTATTCTGTTGCTATTTTGGTAGGTACAATAGATTATTGCAAACTTTCATCACCTTACTGATCTATCCAGCACTAAGCTTGTTTATTTATTTATTTATTTGTTTGTTTGTTTTTTCTTGAGATGGAGTCTTGCTTTGTTGCCCAGGCTGGAGTGCCCTGGGGCAATCTCGGCTCACTGCAACCTCCACCTTTCAGGTTCAAGCAATTCTGCCTCAGCCTCCCAAGTAGCTGGGATTATAGGTGCACAACACCATACCTGGCTAATTTTTGTATTTTTAGTAGAGACAGGTTTCACCATGTTGGCCAGGCTGGTCTCGAACTCCTGACCTCAGTTGATCCACCCTCCTCGGCCTCCCAAGGGGCTGCTATTACAGGTGTGAGCCACCATGCCCAGAATAGCACTAGGCTTTCTTTCTTCTTTCAAACCATATATTTGTACCCATTAATCATCTTTTAATGAAAATTGAGAAGAGATTGGGATAGACTACAGGAGAAATATCCTCATGTGGGAGTCAAGTCATTTTTTTTTAATTCTTGAATGCCTGTTATAGTAAAGGACAATTCAGCTTATGTTTTGCAGCCCAGTAAGTGAAAGTTACAAGGAAGCAGATTCTGGGTCACTATTCATGAGAAATATGTAGCAATTAGGTCTTTCCATCAGTGAAATGACAATTTTGAGGTAGTCACCACTTCACTTCACTGGAAGAGTTTAAACTGAGAACAGAAGGTCTGTCATCACAGAAGATTCCTGATTTGCATAGCTTAGCTGGAGAGTACTTTGTAGATGTGGATGCACATGGAGGACCTTTTGACCAAGTGGCAGAAATTATGAAGAGAACTGCTCAGCTCAACACAGGGTTACCTGGGCTTCCCTTGCCCCTTACTCTGTATTCAGGACACATAGAAGGAAACGATCTGGGCTGCTGGACTGTAATTTATGTGGAAGAGAAGGAAATAACTCCTTGGTGGATGTGAGCTGTGAGGAAGAATGATGATACTACTGTTATGTTCCATGACTCTGTACCTGGAGAAATAATGGGACTTGATCAATAATAATGTTTGGTGTGGGGATCCTGATGATAAAGAGGTAAGTGTGGTTTCATCTGGGAGAATAATGATGTTTTAGCCCCATGTTCTGTGGCTCTAATCCCAGCAAGTGAGTCTGGGACAATTGATGGCTTCTGACACCTTGGCAGTTGCACTATTTCTGAGCCATGTGCCATGGCCAAACAGCTCTCAGTACTGCAGACAGCTTCATTACTGTGGGTCCATCCTTCACTTAGCAGCAGACCATCTTCCATCAGGTAAAGATAAATGGGAAAATCTCCCAGGCTCTACATGTTTTCAATATTCCTGTCTTTCTTCTGTCCAGACCAGGTTTGGTTTATGCATTCTGCTGCCTGCCTTCTGAACTATGGTGCAGAAGGCCTCTGGCACCACCCACCCCTCTAATGACATGTGAAACATGGACAAGAGGATCTGATCTTCTCAATGGACTCTGCAGAGTGGGAACCTCTGTGGCAATCAAAGAATGACAGAGTGTAACCTGGGTTGTCGAGGAACAGGCTGGAGGTTCATTGCTGCTTTTATCATCAAAAGCAATTTCATTCTCATTTCTGAGCAGGAAAGAAATGAATATAACTTCTTCCAAGAACCAGAATGGGCTACTAGCAAGGCTTAATTTCCTGCCAGAAGAAGGTAAAATGTATCCTGGTGTTACAGGTAACATGAAATGGTATACAGTTATGTAGCACTAAATTGAATTCAATGTTCTCCATCTTCAAATTGCAGAGAAGTACGGTCTCTGATGATCTCTGTCACAAAATGTACTGTTTCCTTCTTTGTGAACTGACAGAGCAAAGGCGGTAAGAAACGTATTAAATAAAAACCTTGTGCACTTTTTTTCTGAATTTCAAGAGTGCTGTGTATGACTTAGTATTGAGGTCCTGAGCTAACGGATTCTCACTGTTGTATCAAAACTGAGCTAAGGCGAAAGCTCAAAACAGAAGGCTTTAAATGCCCCACCTTTGGAGAAGAGTCACAGGGAACTGCCTGTCTTCAGGCCAGATACTTCTCTGAAGGGGTTTGAGAGTTTGGAAGGAATAGTCCCCTCTCCACTAGTGACTGTATCCCCACACCCACACTCAAGTCTAAGTGAGAAAGGGACTGGAGTGAGGCCTAATCCTCATGTGGATGACCTTCTGGTGGGAATTGTGCTCTTAGACGGAAGCCTTTTCCCCCTTTCCTCTTGGAGTGCAGAAAAAAGAAGTGAGACAGCTCACAGAGAATCACCCTGGGTTTTTGAGTACCCACTTGTAACTGTTGCACCTTGACTTCTTGTTTCAGAAGGCTCCAGGAAGAAGCTTAGCCCCAGAAAAACAACAAAACTGGTTGGATCCAGAGATACCTGAGTTGGAGATGAACTTTGGCCAACTCTCCTCATTACCATACTAAAAAACCTGCCCAGAGAGGAACTTATTCACAATTTTCTGTACATGCGACATATACAGAGGCATGATGGGCAACAGTGCCTGTGCTGCCTTTACTCCACCACTACATATAACGACTCAGTTAATCAGCCTAATGAAAACCTTGTGTTCAGGGAGGCGTCACTTTGGAGTCCTCCTTACTTGTTGCAAGGAATACAATTCCTTTGTTGAATCTTCCTTGGCTTTGGTCATTGGACTGTCATCTACCAAGTGATTGAACTCACCCATTTTGTGCGTAACACAGTCTTGGAAGGGCTATAGCGAGGCGCGTCTGAGAGAAGTATGAAGCAACTTCCACAACGTTTTGTTCATTTTGCTCCTCTGAGAGTTCAGACCTAATAGTTCCTAGGGCACCCCAGAAGGGGGCTCAGATGGTAGAGAAGGTGTGGCAGCTGAGGGCTGTCCAAATGACCACTAGGCAAAACAAAGGGACGCCCAACCCATAGAAGGGAGAGGAAGCTTGTACAGAAGACAAGGCTTGTGAGAGAAATAGATGCTCTGTTGATCAGGTCCTTGGGGAGAGCCAGAGAGAAGATTAGCATTGTCCCCAAGACAATCATGTGCTGATGTGAAGACCAACAATAAAAGGAAGCTGTAAACACAAATAGAACCTGAATGAACCAGAGTGAGGCCAGACTCATCCTCACAATGACATGTGGACAGTCAACGAAGAAGACTGCATTTCTCTGCTTCCTCACTGACTCCAGCATTAGAGCCCCGACCTAGAGGAGGGAGAGGCTCAGTTATTTTCATGCTCTTTCTCCGCTCTGGAAAGTCAGGGACACCTTTCTGGTGTGTGCTGGGAAAGGAGGTGGGGAAAGCTTTGAATACTGAAGTTTTAAACTAGATTGGCCTGTGTTTTAATAATTAAAAATAGCCATCAGGAGATCGAGACCACGGTGAAACCCGTCTCTACTAAAAATATGAAAAATTAGTCGGGCGCGGTGGCGGGCTCCTGTAGAGCCCGGGCGCAGTCCCAGCTACTCGGGAGGCTGAGGCAGGAGAATGGCGTGAACCCGGGAGGCGGAGCTTGCAGTGAGCTGAGACTGCGCCACTGCACTCCAGCCTGGGCGACAGAGCGAGACTCCGTCTGAAAACAAAAAACAAACAAGCAAAAAAACCCAGAAAGTCATAGAATATGCAAAAATATCACTAAGGGATAGAAAATAATGTAACATAGCACAGTGGACAATCAATGACTGAAAAATATATAACCATTTCCATAAGGGATGTTAAGGGAGGTCCTAGAAGTGGCTTGCCCTTTCTACCTACATCTAACTGGCCAGAACCCAGTCCCATGATCTCAACCAAATTGTACAGGAGGCTTGGGAACTTCTGCCTGTATGTCTAGGAAGAATAATGTTAATGCATGGGACTGTCTGTGTCATTAGTAACTACTTTGAAATCCAGCACATTGAACAACTTAGATAGAAGATGAGAATCTAGTGGTTTTGTAGAAATTATCACATTAATGGTGAAAACTTGTCATGTGATTATACTATTCGGGAGTTATCACAGTGTTTACTCAAACCAACATTTTACAGGTTGGGTCACTGAGAGAGTGTACTCTGATTTGTCTAGGATTAGAATCTATATTTAATCCTGCCAATCCTATGACATGGGTGCTGTGACTCTGAATTTCTAGAGGAAACAAAAGAACTAACAATTTAATGCCACAACTAATAGGTGGTAGATTTATTTTTAGTACCTGGTTCTGTCTTGCTTCAGTAACCCTGGTATTTCTATTATACACATATCATCTGGTCATTTTGACTTCTTAAAATCCAAGGCTTTTCTTCCTCTCTTGGTTCAGGATGAATTTTCTGTGTCTCCTTTTGACGATTCTATGAAGACCCCCTCTTGACTTTCCACATGACATATATTCACTGTGCCAAGGTTCATGCTGCCTAGCATCAGAGTTTATTGTTCCATCTGGCTATAATTATTCCATTTGCACAAGATCCTGATGTGTCTGGTGCTTCCTTGGTATAAGGTTTCTGTTTTAATGGTTTTATGATGTGCTGAGCTGCATTTGGTGTGTTGGATGATTTCCTTAATTTGACTCTGATGTTTGTGAAGATTAAGTATTTATCAGTTCACACAGTTTTGGTTTTTGACTCATAAAACTGGAGCAAATGGGCCTGGGGCTCAATAATTCAATGACTGCTGATAAGTTTCATAATTTTGTTCTTTTATTATTGGGACCACTGCTAGAGAGTCTTTCTCTATAATTTTCTTCTAGTCCCCTAAAACAATTGCCTGATATTAATATATTATCAATTTAATTCTCATGTTATCCTTTTCAGGTTTCATGGTAGGTTAGTAAAAACATTTTTCTAAAAAAATCCATTTAGTTTTTTAAAATAAGCATCACAATATTATAAATAGATGTTGGGGATTTTGGAACCCAAAATATGATGTTTTTTAAATAAGTTAAAAAATAACAACTTATTAAGTTTCCAGCATGGCATGTTCTGATTTGCCAGTTGGGTGCAGCCACCAGAAATAGCTTAAACGCAGGACACATAGGTGATCTTTGGGTGCGATTGTAGTTACTGGATTGAAATTGAGAAATTAGCAAAGTGATTTGGTCTTTCCCTTGGTTGTCCTTAAAGACTGACCTTTGGCAAAGTCCCTTAGAAAGTCGTACACCCAACAGATATGTGTCAATGATATCCTATCTTTATGCCAGTCTCTGTGATCAAACATAATTTATTATTGAATCTTTTGATGTGCTGCTTTTGAAGTGCTCTCAGCCTTCTTGGAGTAGAGGATGTGTGTGTGTGTGTGTGTGTGTGTGTATGTATGTATGTGAAATATATATATATTTCATATATATAAACATAAATAAAAATACATTTTAGCACAAAGTGATAAGTGCAATAATTAATATGCACAATATACAGCTATAGCACAAGTAAAGGAGGACAAATTGGACCAGAAATCAGTTTTTACAAAGGTTTAATTGATATTTAATCTCTCAGTGAACTATTTATATAAACAATCTTTTTCTGAGTATATTTCCATGGTACCCTCCTAATATGTATCTAATGTGTGGTATTTATATGATAGTTTATTTGAAAAACAATGCTAAAAGAAACACAGAGGTTGTGATTTGTTCACTGCCACAGCACCATAGAAAAAGAACATGGAGAGGATTCCTGGCTCAGATGACTTTTGTGAACTCCTTATTGTTTTTAGGTGGGCTTATGGGTAAAACCAACTAAAGGGAGAATAAATTCTGAAGCAGGTAAGCATATTGGTCAGTGGCTCTTCCTTACTGGAAGATGGAAAGGGAAGGTGGTTGGAAATTGTATTAGTCTGTTCTCATGCTGCTATGAAGAAATACCTGAGACTGGGTAATTTATAAAGGAAAGAGGTTTAATTGACTCACAGTTATGCAGGGGAGATCTCAGGAAACCTACAGTCATGGCAGAAGGGGAAGCAAATATGTCCTTCTTCACATGAAGGCAGGAAAGATAAGTGAATGTCGAGCAAAGAAGGAAAAGCCCCTTATAAAACCATCAAATCTCATGCAAACTCATTCACTATTAAGAGAACAGCAGCATGGGGATAACTGACCCCATGATTCAATTGCCTCCCACCAAGTCCCTCCCACGACACGTAGGGATTATGGGAACTACAATTCAAGATGAGATTTGGGAGGGGACACAGCCAAAACATACCAGAAATAAATACCTATATTGACTCTCTTGTGGAAAAGAAGACTGAATTAGGAGATGAGAGACTTGGATCCTAGTCTTAGCTCCTCCAGTAGTTCACTTCATGATCTTAGGCAATCTATTTAATATTTCTGAACCTTCATTAACTGTAGGTTATTTCTCAAGTTTCTTCAAAGTTTGACACTCTCTGATCTGGTCTGCAATTCACTCAGCAAATATTTATATAATACCTATTGTGTATCTGACAGCAGATTCTCTTGATAATGGTTGCTTAAATATTGCATCATGAAAATTAATAATTATGTCATCTGCAAACAGGGACAATTTGACTTCCTCTTTTCCTAATTGAATATCCTTTATTTCTTTCTCCTGCCTGATTGCCCTGGCCAGAACTTCCAACACTATGTTGAATAGGAGTGGTGAGAGAGGGCATCCCTGTCTTGTGCCAGTTTTCAAAGGGAATGCTTCCAGTTTTTGCCCATTCAGTATGATACTGGCTGTCGGTTTGTCATAAATAGCTCTTATTATCTTGAGATACGTCCCATCAATACCTAATTTATTGAGAGTTTTTAGCATGAAGTGCTGTTGAATTTTGTCAAAGGCCTTTTCTGCATCGATTGAGATAATCTAGAAAACCCCATCGTCTCAGCCCAAAATCTCCTTAAGCTGATAAGCAACTTCAGCAAAGTCTCAGGATACAAAATCAATGTGCAAAAATCACAAGCATTCTTATACACCAGTAACAGACAAACAGAGAACCAAATCAGGAGTGAACTCCCGTTCACAATTGCTTCAAAGAGAATAAAATACCTAGGAATCCAACTTACAAGGGACGTGAAGGACCTCTTCAAGGAGAACTACAAACCACTGCTCAATGAAATAAAAGGGGATACAAACAAAGGGAAGATCATTCCATGCTCATGGGTAGGAAGAATCAATATCATGAAAATGGCCATACTGCCGAAGGTAATTTATAGATTCAATGCCATCCCCATCAAGCTACCAATGACTTTCTTCACAGAATTGGAAAAAACTACTTTAAAGTTCATATGGAACCAAAAAGACCCCACATTGCCAAGTCAATCCTAAGCCAAGAGAACAAAGCTGGAGGCATCACGCTACCTGACTTCAAAGTATACTACAAGGCTACAGTAACCAAAACAGCATGGTACTGGTACCAAAACAGAGATATAAACCAATGGAACAGAACAGAGCCCTCAGAAATAATGCCACATGTCTACAACTATCTGATCTTTGACAAACCTGACAAAAACAAGAAATGGGGAAAGGATTCCCTATTTAATAAATGGTGCTGGGAAAACTGGCTAGCCATATGTAGAAAGCTGAAACTGGATTCCTTCCTTACACCTTAAACTAAAATTAATTCAAGATGGATTAAAGATTTAAATGTTAGACCTAAAACCATAAAAACCCTAGAAGAAAACCTAGGCAATACCATTCAGGACATAGGCATGGGCGAGGACTTCATGTCTAAAACACCAAAAGCAGTAGTGGGATGGCTGGGTCAAATGGTATTTCTAGTTCTAGATCCCTGAGGAATTGCCACACTGACTTCCACAATGGTTGAACTAGCAGTCCCACTGACAGTGTAAAAGTGTTCCTATTTCTCCACATCCTCTCCAGCACCTGTTGTTTCCTGACTTTTTAATGATTGCCATTCTAACTGGTGTGATATGGTATCTCATTGTGGTTTTGATTTGCATTTCTCTGATGGCCGGTGATGATGAGCATTTTTTCATGTGTATTTTTGGCTGCATAAATGTCTTCTTTTGAGAAGTGTCTGTTTACCCAAAGGACTATAAATCATGCTGCTATAAAGACACATGCACACGTATGTTTATTGCGGCATTATTCACAATAGCAAAGACTTGGAACCAACCCAAGTGTCCAACAATGATAGACTGGATTAAGAAAATGTGGCACATATACACCATGGAATACTATGCAGCCATAAAAAATGATGAGTTCGTGTCCTTTGTAGGGACATGGATGAAATTGGAAATCATCATTCTCAGTAAACTATCGCAAGAACAAAAAACCAAACACCGCATATTCTCACTCATAGGTGGGAATTGAACAATGAGATCACATGGACACAGGAAGGGGAATATCACACTCTGGGGACTGTGGTGGGGTGGGAGGAGGGGGGAGGGATAGCATTGGGAGATATACCTAATGCTAGATGACAAGTTAGTGGGTGCAGTGCACCAGCATGGCACATGTATACATATGTAACTAACCTGCACAATGTGCACATGTACCCTAAAACTTAAAGTATAATAAAAAATAAAATAAAAAAATAAAAAAAAACACCAAAAGCAATGGCAACAAAAGACAAAATTGACAAATGGGTTCTAATTAAACTAAAGAGCTTCTGCACAGCAAAACAAACTACCATCAGAGTGAACAGGCAACCTACAGAATGGGAGAAAATTTTTGCAATCTACTCATCTGACAAAGGGCTAATATCCAGAATCTACAATGGACTCAAACAAATTTACAAGAAAAAATCAAACAACCCCATCAACAAGTGGGTGAAGGATATGAAGAGACACTTCCCAAAAGAAGATATTTATGCAGCCAAAAGACACATGAAAAAATGCTCATCATCACTGGCCATCAGACAAATGCAAATCAAAACCACAATGAGATACCATCTCACACCAGTTAGAATGGCGATCATTAAAAAGTCAGGAAACAACAGGTGCTGGAGAGGATGTGGAGAAACAGGAACACTTTTACACTGTTGGTGGGACTGTAAACTAGTTCAACCATTGTGGAAGTCAGTGTGGCGATTCCTCAGGGATCTAGAACTAGAAATAACATTTGACCCAGCCATCCCATTACTGGGTATATACCCAAAGGATTATAAATCATGCTGCTATAAAGGCACATGCACCGGTATGTTTATTGCGGCACTACTTACAATAGTAAAGACCGGAACCAACCAAAATGTCCAACAATGATAGATTGGATTAAGAAAATGTGGCACATATACACCATGGAATACTATGCAGCCATAAAAAAGGATAAGTTCCTGTCCTTTGTAGGGACATGGATGAAGCTGGAAAACATCATTCTCCGCAAACTATCGCAAGGACAAAAAACCAAACACTGCATGTTCTCACTCATAGGTGGGAATTGAACACTGAGAACACATGGACACAGGAAGGGGAACATCACACACCGGGGCCTGTTGTGGGGTGGGGGGAAGGGGGAGGGATAGCATTAGGAGATATACCTAATGTAAATGACGAGTTAATGGGTGCAGCACACCAACATGGCACATGTATATATATGTAACAAATCTGAACGTTGTGCACATGTACCCTAAAACAAATTATAATAAAAAAAACAAGAAAATAAAAAGAAAATCAATAGCTAGTTTCCTTTCTTTCATCCTTATGTTTTTCTCTGATGCTTGAGGGCTATATCTTGGGGCTTAGATTTAGAGAAGATCATCGGTCTCAGAAGTTTGCTGTGCCTTCGCTATCATGCTACTTATTTTTTTCCCATACTCCAGATGCTAACCATATGTATAGAGTAACTTTTCTCCCTTATAGAGAACAGAGTTCTATTTTATTGAGTGTTGTTGCACATAGATCTCTGAATGTCCAGGAAATGGGAAATAGAGCTCTCTTCAGGGCAATTTGCCATTTTCACAGGTCTTTTGTCAGAGTCTGCAAGCAGATCAGTCCTTGCAAAGAGCGGAGTGTTTTGATTTTTAATTCCTTTTTCTTGTAATTAGAATACATTTTTTATTAAGAGCTGCTAGAAACCACACTTTTTCATCCATAAATTTAGCATCTCATGACAGTGAGAATTACAATGGTAGGAAGAAAGGGGACTGTGCAAACAAAACAAAGACATAAAATGTAATGAGGGAAAGGCAGCCAGCATGCCGCAACTGCAAAGAAGAAAAAACTTCAAGGGGGTCTGATTTATAGGGAATAATTATTATTAACTGATTTAGAAGACTGGGGCAAAGATAGGAAGTCACTGAAGTGGCTGTTTTTGCAAACTGATTTGAAGAATCCTTTTCTTCTAAGTCATTATAAAATAATAATTCTTGGTGAATGTGCCCTCTTTCACTTAAGGATTTGCAAGGACTTGAAAAATACTGCTTCAATAAATTTATGATACCTAAGAAGCACATTCAGACCACTATTTAAATGCAAAAACAAAGGCCAGGAGCAATACATGGATTTGTCAAAAGTTGTCTAAGTGATCAGAACAGGAGAAACAGACCAAATTCTCAGTTTCTGTTATAGCAAATTCAGAAACTGGTTCCCACGGTGGAATTAAATTTTAATTAGAGAAACTTAATCTTCACCATGCCTTTTAATCTAAGAGAGACCACTCACCTACTGATTCATTTATTCACTAATTCATCTGACATTTATTGAGCATCTACTATGTGCTGAGTACAGACTTACATGTTAAGAACACAAGGATGAGTAAGACATGATCCATTCCATCAAAGAGTTTATATATTTAAAAAGTTGAGTTCAAATGAACATGATTAAATAAGATATCCATTTTCCACTGTGAAATACTGATTAATAAAATGCTTAGAATTAGAAACACAGATGTTATGTTTTTATTGTTGGTGGTGCATTTTTTCCCTTAAAATGAAGGGTGACTTTTTTTGCTATTTATACAATTTTAAAAAGTTCCCACCTTAGTAAGATATATTTCAACTGACCCTAAGATGAGGAGAAATTGAAATAGAAACATCAGAGATAACCTATTACAGCTGGAAAAAGCATTGAATTGGGAGACAGAACACCCGGATTGTAATTGTTTACTAATCCATTATATAAATTAATATGAGAGATTATACCTTTTTAGGCTTCATATTCATCATTTCTAAACACTGAATTGGGGGGTAGCTGGAGAGATCTCTAAGATTTTGAAGAAATTTAAAAATATTATGCAAATATGTATTGAGCACCTGCTATTATTTAAGCCAACATTGTTAAAAAAAAAAAACTCGAGCTACAGAGGTGAACAAAATAGATCATACGAAAGAAGGAAAGTCAAGTAAGTATGGCACTCTGGAAGTCAGGTGAGGAAAATATTTCCAGGAAGAAGGAGGAGTCAATTGACAAATGCTGATGGAGCAGATAAAATGAGGATAAGAATCGACAAATGGGTTTAGTAAAATTAGTCATTGGAGACCTCGACAAGAATGGTTTTCAGGGAAATCATGGGGATAAAGATGTGATTAGAGTAGGTGTTAGGTGACAGACTAAATATGCAAATGGACTGTGGCCGCACCATATATAAAAATAGAACTTGGACTCACAATCTACAGCAACCTGTCTAGAGAAACCAACACATTGTTGATTGAAAGCCCAGGAAGCCATCCTACTCTTTACAAGTCATATTTGTAGAAAGTTGGACCACGATCTTCCGCAACAAAGTCCAACAATAACTTCTGTGACAATCAACCCAGAATGGTCAGGATTTGATTAATTACTGACAGTTCCCTAACTTTTTCATCTCTGCCTCCAATTTAAGACCAACAAGAGAAAGCCCCATGAGATGTATACCACTAACAGATCACTTAAAGAAAATGTGAGAAGAGGAATTGGAAATAGGGAATATATATATAAGGGGACATCAAAATGTTTGTGAAAATATAGAACAGAAACATAAAAGTACTCTTGGAGGACAGGGACCACCTCTACAAAAAAAATTAAAAATCAATATCTCCCTCATCTCACACAGTGTCTCAGGACCCTGTAGGGCAGTGGAGGTGCACCAAATAATAATAAATAATAATAATAATAAATAATAAAATAAAAGATGAAAATAAAAAAGATAAACTTTATTTCTTAACATAAACCCCATCAAGTTCAAGACATTTTTGTAAGTGATGATACGAGCCATTTAGTCCATTCCTAAAGAACTGGAGAGGTCTTGGGAATTTAACCATGTCAATTCAGTCTTTTTTACATTATTAACTGAAGAAAAAATGGGTGCCCTTTAAAGACTTTTTAAGATTAGGAAACAAAAAGAAGTTAGAAGGAGCTGAATCAGGACTGTAAGGTGGTTGTCCAATCATTTGCCACTGAAACTCTCACAAAATTGCTCTTGATTGACAAGAGGAATGAGTAGTAGCATTGTTGTTGGGAAAGAAGGGCTCTCTGGTGAAGCTCTCCCAGCTGTTCTTCTGCTGAAGTTTTGGCGTTCTCAAAGCACTCTCATAATAAGCCGATGTTTGAATTCTTTGGCCATCCAGAAAGTCAACAAGTAAAATACCTTGAACATTCCAAAATACTCTTGCTATGACCTTTGCTTTTGGTGAGTCCACTTTTGCTTTCACTAGAGCACTCCCATCTCTTGTTAGCCATTGCTTTGATTGTGGTGTGTCTTTAGGACTGTACTGGTAAAGCCTTATTTCATCCCCTGTTACAATTCTTTAAGAAAATGTCTCAGGATCTTCATCTGATTTGTTTAAAATTTCCATTGAAAGCTCTGCTGTTGTCTGCAACTGATCGTAGTGCAATGGTTTTGACACCCATGATACGGAAATTTTGCTCAACTTTAATTTTTCAGTCAGAATTGTGTAAGCTGAATTAGCTGAGATGTCTATGGTTCTGGCTACTCTTTGTGCTATTAATTGCCAGTCCTCTTCAATTGGGTCATAGACAAGAGGAATATTTTTTGTCACAAATTGATGTGGATGGTCTGACACTGTGGGCTTTATCTTAAAGATGATCTCATCCTTTCTTAAAAGGAGTTATCCATTTGTACACTGCTGATCTTTTGGGGGCATTGCTCCCCATAAACTTTTCATAAAGCATTAATTATTTCACCATTCTTCCACCCAAGCTTCTTAAAATTTGATGTTCTTGCTTCAATTTTAGCAGAGTTCCTGTTGCTCTCATTGGGGCTCTTTTCAAACTAACATCTTATTTTTCTTAGTGCCTCAAACTAGATCTTGTTCATTCACGTTATAACAAGTTAGTACAAGTTTATTTTTGTGCAAAAATTTTTGAACTTCATGTGTAGTTTTTTTCATAGTATGCATTTCCATAAACTTTTTGAAGACCTTTTGTGCAGTTCTGTTTATGAATTTTGCTATAAAGCAAGCAAAACAATGATCAGTACCTGAAGTGAGATATACTTCTTTTTATATTGTACTGGCCAGAACATCAAGTACAATGATTAACAGAAGCAGTATTAGTGGACATGTTTATTGCTTCCTGATATTTAAAAGAAATCTAAAGTTTTACCATTATGATATTTGCTGTGCATTTTTGTAGGACATCCTTTACTAAATACAGGAAATTCTCTTCTATTACTAATCTGGGAAGAGCTTTTTGTTTGTTCGTTGTTTTGTTTGCTTGTTTAATCATGAGTGAGTGTTGGTTTTTTGGCAAATACCCTTGCTGTTTCTAATAAGACTATAATATGGCTTCTCATCTTCAATGTTTGTAGTACAGTGAATTATGTTAGATTTTCAATTGCTTAGCATTTTCGCATTTCTGGGTTAAATTCATATTGGACATGATATATTTAAATGCATTGCTCATTTGGTTTGCTGATAGTGCTTAGGATTATATCATAAGTGAGATTTCCTATGTTTTTCTTTTTCTTCTGCTACCTTATCAGGTTTTGGTATTAATATTTTACATGCTAAGCTCACAAAATGGACTCAGGAATGTTTCCCCTCTCCACCCTGCTCTGAAGAAGTTTGTATAGATCAAAATTATCTATTCTTTATATTTTGATAGAACTTACCTCTAAATGCTCATAGGCCAGGTATTTGAGTGTGTGTTTGTGTAGGTACTGATTTCATTACTATAGTGCAATAAGTAGTACATCTTTAAAATTTCTCTTTGAGTCAGTTTCAGATCATTTCTCTAAAATTTTTATTTTGCTAGCATAATATTTTTATAATAGTTCTTTTTTAAAAAATTCAGCCATGTCATGTTTATAATACTAGACCTTTTTATTCTTTTTTTTCAGAGCAGTAGTGAAAATTTATTAAAAATCTTCAGAACAGTAAGGAAAGGAGGGAAAGGAAAGAAAAGTAGGAAAGTGAAACTTGGGAGAGGGCCATACAGATGATTTGAGAAACCAAGTGCTCAGCTTGACCTCTTGACTTGGGGTTTTTAATATGTTGGCTACTTCTGGGATCTTATTGGGAAGCTGCTGATCAGTTTCAGGTGTTTTCTATCTAGTAGAAGACTGCCTTTCCTGGCGCCAGCTGTGACCAATTATTACTTAAGAGAAACAGTTAACAACCGCCTGAGCATCACCTGATGCTTGCCCAACACTCTGGTGTGTGTGTGTGGGGAGGCCCTCTCCTGTCCTACGCATGCCTGACTAGCTACCCACTGTAACATTTTCCCACTCAAGAGTCCAAGACCCCAAATCTTCGGAAGAAAATGGATGAAGGTCAGTCTTCTCTAACTGCTTCCTGCTGACAGAGGGGTGGTGGTGGCTGTGTGGGTCTTGGCTACTTGCCAGCTGTCAGGGCTGAGTTGTTTCCATGAGTTGGTGAAAGCAGTATCCAGCCAGCCTCAAGGGAGACAGGGGCAGGATTTTATCTCTGTCATGTCCCACTGATGGGCAGTCTAGAGGTCCCCTGTAAAGGATGATTGTTAAATATTAAGAGGACGATATCCTCACTGAGGAGCATCTGGTGCTTGATAGCTTGAAGACCAGAGGGGGAAAAACTGGTTTATTAGATTGGAAGACACAGACCAGAAGGAAATAAGGGGGTGAGGACAGCTTCAAAAATCCTGACGCTGCCAACACACCAGGTAATTGGTGGCTATAGTTATGCCTGCTAAGACTTGAGTGCATGGGGTTTGGCTTTGTTTAGCTCCCTTGTAGACCTTTTTATTTTTATTATTTTATTATCTCGCTTGTACTCACTTTTTTCTTGATCTTGATTTTTTCTTTTGTTTTTGTTTTTTATTTAATTAGATTATGCTTATTTTATCAGTTCCTTTCTTCTTTTTTTTGGTGTAAGTTCTTGTTCTGTTATCTAACATCTTAAACTAATTAACTTTTAGTCTTTTTTTCCTAAGAATTTAAAGTATTTCTCTTTGTATATCATTATAATGGTATTCTTCACATTTGATGCAAAGTATTTTATTATCGTTCAGTTCTAAGTATGTCCTAATGTTTAATTTTGACCTGTAAGTTATTTCTAAAATGCGTTGTTTTATATTTTATAATTTTATTTGATAATTTTATGAAGTTATTGTGACATTAACTTTTGGTTTAGTTAAAATGACTTAAGAAAATACAGTCTACATTATAGTCATTTTTGGGCATTTGGACTTGCTTTATGGCCTAATACATAGTAATCTAAACAAACGTTTAAAAGTTCTTTGTAAAATTGTGCATTTTGTGATTGAATACATTATTCTCTCCTCTATCTTCTATCTGTCTATCATTTATCAAGCTCTCTATTAGCTTGCCTTATAAATTATTCAGAGAAGTAGGTTGACATGTTTTCATATTAATGGTGGATTTGTAAATTCCTTTTTAAGATTTTTGTGGGTACATAGTAGCTGTATATATTGATAGGGTACATAAGATATTTTGATACAGGCATACAATGTGCAATAGTCACAAGAGAGGAAATGGGGTATCCACCACATCAAGCATTTGTCCTTTCTTTGTATTACAAACAACCCAATTATACTCTTCTAGTTATTTTTAAAATTACAATTAAATTATTTTTGACAATAGTTACCCTGTTGGGGTATTAAACACTAGATCTTATTCACTCATTCTACTTTTTGTACCATTAACCATCTCCACTCCCCCTCTATACCCCTAATATGCTTTCCAGCCTCTGGTAACCATCATTTTATTCTCTAGCTCCATGAGTTCAATTGTTTTAATTTTTAGATTCTACAATAAGTGAGAGTATGCAAACTTTGTCTTTCTGTGCTTGGCTTATTTCACTTAACGTAATGACCTCCAGTTTCATCTATGTTTTTGCAAACGACAGGATCTACTTCTTATCAATGGCTGAATAGTACTTCATTAGGTATATGTGCCACATTTTCTTTCTTTATTCATCTGTCGATGGACACTTAGATTGTTTCCAAATCTTAGCTACTGTGAATAGAGCTGCTATAAACATAAGTGTGCAGATCTCTCTTTGACATACTGATTTCCTTTCTCTTGGGTGTATACCTAGCATTGGAATTGCTGGATCTCATGATAGCTCTATTTGTAGTTTTTTGAGGAACTGTTCTCCAAACTGGTCTCCATAGTGGTTGTTGGTTGTACTAATTTACATTCCCACTATCAGTGTATGAGGGTTTCCTTTTCTCCACATCTTCACCAGCATGTGTTATTGCCTGTCTTTTGGATAAAAGCCATTTTAATGGGGGATGAGATGATATCTCATTGTAGTTTTGATTTGCATTTCTCTGATGATCAGTTATGATGAGCACCTTTTCATACAACTATTTTCCATTTGTATGTCTTCTTTTGAGAAATGTGTATTCAGATCTTTTGCCCATTTTAAAATCAGATTATTAGATTGTTTCCTGTAGAGTTGTTTGAGCTACTTATATATTCTGGTTATTAATCTCTTGTCAGATAGGTAGTTTGCAAATATTTTCTCTTCTGTGGGTTGCCTCTGCACTTTGTTGATTGTTTCCTTTGCTATGCAGAGGCTTTTTAACTTGCTGTGATCCTACTTGTCTAGTTTTGTTTGGGTTGCCTGTGCTTTTGAGGTATTATCAATAAATGTTTGTCCATCCCAATGTCCTGGAGAATTTCCCCAATGTTTTCTTGAAGTAGTTTCATAGTTTGAGGTCTTTTTAAGTCTTTAATCCATTTTGATTTGATTTTTGTATATGATGAGAGAGAGGGATCTAGTTTCATTCTTCTGCATCTGGATACACAGTTTTCCCAGCACCGTTTATTGAAAAGACTGTCCTTTCCTCATTGAATGTCCTTGAAATTTTTGTCAGAAATGAATTCACTGTAGATGTATGGATTTGATTCTGGGTTCTATATTCTCTGTTCCATTGTTCTGTGGGTTTGTTTTTATGCCTGGTGCTATGCTGCTTTGGTTACTCTAGCTCAGTACTATAATTTGAAGTCAAGGAATGTGATTCCTCCAGTTTTGTTCTTTTTGCTGAGGATAGCTTTGGCCATTCGGGGTGTTTTCTGGTTCCATATAAATGTTAAGATCGTTTTCTTTCTATTTCTCTGAAGACTGCCGTTGGTATTTTGATAGGGATTATATTAAGTCTGTAGTTTTCTTTGGGTAATATGGACATGTTAAAAATAATGATTCTTCCAATCCGTGAATATTTCCATTTTCTGTGGCCTCTTCAATTTCTTTCATCAATGTTTTATAGCTTTTATTGTAGAGATCTTTCATTTCTTTGGTAAAGCTAATTTCTAGTTATTCAATTCTATTTGTAGCTATTATAAATGGGATTACTTTCTTGATTTCTTTTTCAGATTGTTGTTGGCATATAGACATTCTACTGACTTTTTATGTTGATTTTGTATCTTGCAACTTTACTGAATCTGTTTATCAGTTCTAATAATTTTTGGTGGAGTATTTAGGTTTTTCCAAATCTAAGATTATATCATCTGCAAACAGGGATAATTTGACTTCTCCCTTTCCAATTTGGATGCCCTTCTTTCTCTTGTCTCATTCTTCTAGCTAGGACTTCCAGTACTGTATTGATTAAAAGTGGTGACAGTAGGCATCCTTGTCATGTTCCAGATCTTAAAGGAAAGACTTTCAGTTTTTCCCCATTCAGTTTGATACTAGCGGTGGGCTTGTCATATATAGCTTTTATTGTGTTGAGGTATGTTCCTTCTATAGCCAGTTTTTTTAAGGGTTGTTATCATGAACAGATGTTGAATTTCATTAACTGCTTTTTCAACATTAATTGAAATTATCATATGGTACTTGTCCTTCATCCTGTTCATATGCTGTATCACATTGTTTAATTTGCATATGTTGAACCATCCTTTCATCCCTGGGATAAATCCCACTTGCTTATAGTGAATTATCTTTTTAATGCGTTATTGAATTCAGTTTGTTGGTATTTTTTTGAGGATTTTTGCATCAATGTTCATCAGGGATATTGCCCTGTAGTTTTCTTTTTTCGATGTATCTTTGTCTGGTTTTGGTATCATGGTAATACTATCCTCATAGAGTAAGCTGGAAAGTATTTCTTCCTTTTCTATTTTTTGGAATAGTTTGAGTAGGATTGGTATTAGTTCTTCTTTAAATGTTTGGTGCAATTCAGCAGTGAAACCATCTTCACTGCCAGGTCCTGGGCTTTTCTTTGCTGGGAGACATTTTATTATGGCTTCTATTTTATTACTTGTCATGATCTGTTCAGATTTTGAATTTCATCATGGTCAAATCTTAGCAGGTTGTATTTGTCTAGGAATTTATCCATTTCTTCCTAGGTTTTCCAATTTATTGGCATATAATTTCTCATAGTAGCCTCTAATGATGCTTTGAATTTCTGTGGTATCAGTTGTAATGTCTCCTTTTTCATCTCTGATTTTATTTGAGTCTTCTCTCTTTTTTTTTTTCCTTTGGCTAGAGCTTTGCCAATTTTGTTTATCTTTTCAAAAAACCAACTTTTCATTCATTGACCTTTTATATTGCTTTCTTTGTATCAGTTCATTTATTTCCACTCTGATCTTTATTATTTCTTTTCTTCTACTAATTTTGGATTTGATTTTCTCTTGCTTTCTACTTCTTTCAGATGCATCATTAGGTTGTTTATTTGAAGTTTTTCTTTTTTGATATAGGCATTTATAGCTGTAAACTTCTCTCTTAGTATTGCTTTTGCTGTATCCTATAGGTTTTGGTATGTTGTGATTCCATTATCATTTGTTGCAAGAAAATTTTCAATTACCTTCTTAATTTCTTCTTTGACCCACTGGTCATTCAGGAGCATATTGTTTAATTTCCATGTGTTTTTATGGTTTTCAAAATTCCTTGTGTTATTGATTTGAAATTTCTTACAATTCAGAACCTAGAGTGCTAATCATTTACAAATTTCTTATAAATCATGCAAATTTTATTTTATGTATTTTGAGAGAATACTATGCATTTATTAGTTTGAAACTTTTATATATTCTGGCAAATCGAACTTTTATTATTTTTATTTAAACTATTTTATTGAGGTATGTTTGCCATAAAAAAGCTGTACATATTTGCAATTTGATAAGCTTGAAGATGAGCATGAACCTATGAAACCATCAGTACAATCTATGCCATAAACGTATTCATCACCTCCAAAAATTTCCTCCTACTCTCTCTAGTTTTTATTTTTACAATACATTATTTCATTATAATTAATCTAGTTATGCTTCAGAATTTTGTTTGACTCGTAGTATAATTTATATCACATTAATATAACTACACCAGCTTTCTTTTGACTAATATTGAATTAGTATGCCTTTTGCTGTTTTCTCTTTGTGGTTTCATTTTTAGACAAGTTTTTGTAGGCTATCTTTGTCTTTTGTCTTGTAAATTTAAACCTTTTATAGATATGTGATGAGTTATATTTAGATTTATTTCTACCAGCCTATTTCTTGCTATTTTTAAAATTTGTAGTGTGATTTCGAGCAAACAACTCACATGAAGACTGCTTTTGCTTATGAATTCTCAAAGGTGATTAGAAAAAAAGACAGCTTTATTGAGATATAAATGACATACAATAAATTACAATATTTAATTTGGTAAGTTTTGACATACACACACCCATGACCACAATCAACATAATGAACGTATCTGTCACACCAAAGAATTCATGATAAAACTTTGTAAACCCTCTGTTCTATTTATTCCTGACCTTCTCACCATTCGCATGCCACTGTAGATCTACTTTTAATCAGTATAGATTAGTTTGTATTTTCTAGAATTTTATATGGGTGTATAATATAGTTTTTACTGTTTTCATCTAGTTTATTTCACTTAGCATAGTTATTTTTATATTTATCTGGTTATTAAATGTATCAATAGTTTATTCCTTTTTGTTGTGAGTAGTATTTGTAGGAAGATATTGCTACTTGTTTATCTATTTGCATGTTCATGAATATTTGGGTTATTTCTAAATTTTGGCTATTCCATATAAAGCTGCTCTGAACACTTGTGAAGTCTGAACATATGATTTCTAGTAACTACGTAGGAGTGAACTAGCTACATCATAAGATAGATGTATGTTCAACATTTTAAGAAATTGCCAAAGTATTTTTCAAAGCAGGTGTAGTATTTTACATTTTCACAAGGAGTGTATGAGTTTAAGTTCCTCCACATCCTCATCAAACCTTGGCTTGTAAGAGATTTTAATTTAAATATAAAAGTTGCATGTGTTTTTGTTGTTGTTGTTGTGTTTTAGATTTGCATTTCCCTAATGCTTAATGATATTAAGTACTGGGTATCCTTTCATTGATTTATTTGCTTTCTGTCTATCTTCTTTGATAAGTATCTGTTCAAATCTTTTGCCCATTAGAAAAATTAGTTTGTTTTCTCATTATTGAGTTTTCTATGTTACGTACATATTCTGAACTCAAATCCTTTGTCAGGTAAATGATTTGCAAATATTTTATCCCAATCTTTGGCTTGTTTTGGTGACTTTTAAAATAAGTATCTTTCAAAGAGCAGAAGATTTTTATTTATATGAAGTTCAATGTTTTAATATTTAAAATAGATTGTTCTTTTGGTGTTTTGTACAGTAATTCCTTGCGTAACCCAAATATTTCCTATTGTGTTTTATTCTAGAAGTTTTATAGCTGTAAGTTTTAATTTAGATCTAAGATCCATTTTGAGTTAATATATAACGTGAGGCATGGATTGATATTCACTTTTTTGCATATTGATATCTAATTATTAAAGAACAGTTTGTTGAAAAGACTGTCCTTTCACTGAATAATCTATACACCATTGAACAGTAGTCCATATATGTTTGGTTCTATTTCTGGATTTTATCCGATCCACTGATATATTATCTTTATACAAATACCACACCATGTGGATTATTGTAGCTTTATAGTAAGTCTTAATATCTGGTAGCACTAACACTTTAACTTTGTTCTTCCTTTTCAAAGTTGTTTTGGATATTCAGAGTCTTTTGTATTTCTATATTAATTTTAAAATCAGATTGTCAAAGTCTACCATAAGGCAAGCTGGCAGTTTTCATTGGGGCTTCATTGAATCTACAGATAAATTTGGGGAAAATTGACATCAGAAACTATGGAGTCTTCTATTCCATGAACACATTATATCTCCCCATTTATTTTGGTCTTTAAAATTTTTTCTTAGCAATGTTTTGCTACAGGTCTTGTAAAGATTTCTTCAGATTATTCCTATTTATTTTTACATTTTTTAGGTCTCGAAAATGTTATTACTTTTTCAACTTCAATTTCTGATTGTTCATGACTACTATATAGAAATACAATTTATTTTTGTATATTGGTTTTATATCTGGCAGACTTGCTAAACTAAATTACTAGTTCTAAGAACTTTTGCTGGTGTAAACTCCATTGGGTTTTCTATATAGATAATCACGTTGTTTGTAAGTGTAGACTGTCTTCTTGCTTTTCAAACAGGATGTCTTTTTTTTTCTTTTTCTTGTCTTACTGCAATGGCTAGTAATTACAGTTCAATTAATTGTTATAGTGAGAGTAGACTTCCTTGTCTTCTTCCTAATCTTAGCAGAAAAACAGCCAGTCTTTTACCATTAAGTATGAAGTTAGTTGTAGGTTTTCATAGATGCCCTTTATTAGATTCAGAAAATTCTCTTAATTTATGTTTACTGAGATTTTTCCAAGAATGAACATTGAATTTTGACAGATACTTTTTCTGTATATTCTAAGATAATATGATTTTTTTAGGTTGTTCCTATGGTAAAGTATAATAATAGAGTTTCAAATGTTAAATAAATCTTTCATTCCTGGAGTAAAACTCACTTGGTATTATCAGTTTTATATGTTGTTGGATTTGACTTGCTAATATTTTGTTTAGAATTTTTGCAGCATTTTTCAAGAGGAATATTGATCTTTTAGGTGTTTTTTCCTTTGTAATTTTTGGGAGTTGAGTTTAGTTATAAGGTTAATGCTGAAAGCATTCTAGTCTCTTCGATATTCTGAAAGAGTTTGTCTATGATTAATGCTTTTTTTAAAAAAAATATGCAGTACAATTCCCCCAATGAAGGCATGTGCACCTGGAGTATTTTTTGTGGGAATGTTTTTACCTACAAGTTAGGTTTGTTTAATTTACACTGGTATATTAAGGTTATCTGTATTTACATTTTCTCCCAAAAATATCAGACAGTTTTACAACACAGGGTCCATACTTCACCTGGCCAGAATTAGGCAACACTCAGTAGTAGCTGTCTCTAGTTTGCCATAGTCCCCACAATTCTTTATTAGCCAATATCCTTTATTTATATTAGCTTCTTTGTTACAGTAAGCTTTTGGGTTACTAACTCTTTTTGTTAAACTGTTTTTAATTAGCTGAGCGTTAATTTGCACCAGTTTTGTTATAGATTGTCAGAGCTAGTATAAATCCCAAAGATGATGTATTCAATCTCTTAGTTTAATAGATTAAAAGCTGTAGTGCAAATTACAAGTTCACCCAGAAAGTTATAGGAGAATTAAAAGTAGATGCTAGTGTGTCCAGAATTGGTGGGTTCTTGGTCTCACTGACTTCAAGAATGAAGCCGCGGACCCTTGCGATGAGTGTTACAGCTCTTAAAGTGGCGCATCTGGAGTTTGTTCCTTCTGATGTTCGGATGTGTTCAGAGTTTCTTCCTTCTGGTGGGTTTGTGGTCTCTCTGGCTCAGGAGTGAAGCTGCAGACCTTTGTGGTGAGTATTACAGCTCATAAAAGCAGTGTGGACCCAAAGAGTGAGCAGTAGCAAGATTTATTGCAAAGAGTGAACAAAGCTTCCACAGTGTGGAATGGGACCCGAGTGGGTTGCCACTGTTGGCTCAGGCAGCCTGCTTTTATTCTCTTCTCTGGCCCCACCCACGTCCTGCTGATTGGTAGAGCCGAGTGGTCTATTTTGACAGGGTGCTGATTGATGCATTTACAATCCCTGAGCTAGACACAAAGGTTCTCCATGTCCCCACTTAGATTAGCTAGATACAGAGTATCAACACAAAGGTTCACCAAGGCCCCAGCAGAGTAGCTAGATACAGAGTGTCGATTGGTGCACTCACAAACCCTGAGCTAGACACAGGGTGCTGATTGGTGTGTTTACAAACCTGAAGCTAGAGACAGAGTGCCAATTGGTGTATTTACAATCCCTGAGCTAGACATAAAGGTTCTCCAAGGCCGCGCCAGAGTAGCTAGATACAGAGTGTCGATTGGTGCACTCACAAACCATGAGCTAGACACAGGGTGCTGATTGGTGTGTTTACAAACCTTGAGCTAGATACAGAGTGCTGATTAGTGTATTTACAATCCCTGAGTTAGACATAAAGGTTCTCCAAGGCCCCACCAGAGCAGCTAGATAGAGTGTCAATTGGTGCACTCACAAACCCTGAGGAAGACACAGGGTGCTGATTGGTGTGTTTACAATCCCTGAGCTAGACATAAAGGTTCTCCAAGGCCCCACCAGGGTAGCTAGATACAAAGTGTCCATTGGTGCATTCACAAACCCTGAGCTAGATACTGAGTGCTGATTGGTGTATTTACAATCCCTGGGCTAGACATAAAGGTTCTCCATGTCCCCACCAGACTCAGGAGCCCAGCTGGCTTCACCCAGTGGATCCCGCACTGGGGCTGCAGGTGGAGCTGCCTGCCAGTCCCGCTCCATGTGCTCACACTCCTCTGCCCTTGGGTGGTCTATGGGACTGGGCGCTGTGGAGCAGGGGAAGGCGCTCATCAGGGAGGCTTGGGCCACATGGGAGCCCATGGAGGTGGTGGGAGGCTCAGGCATGGTGGGCTGCAGGTCCCAAGCCCTGCCCCACGGGAAGGCAGCTAAGGCCTGGTGAGAAATCAAGGACAGCGCCGGTGGGCTGGCACTGCTGGGGGACCCAGTACACCCTCCGCAGCCACTGGCCCGGGTGCTAAGCCCCTCATTACCCGGGCCGGCAGCGCCGGCTGGGTGCTCCGAGTGCAGGGCCTGCCAAGCCCACGCCCACCCAGAACTCCACCTGGCCTGCAAGCACTGAACACAGCCCAGGTTCCCGTTCGTGCCTCTCCCTCCACACCTCCCTGCAAGCTGAGGGAGCCGGCTCCGGCCTTGGCTAGCCCAGAAAGGGGCTCCCACAGTGCAGCGGTGGGCTGAAGGGCTCCTCAAGTGCTGCCAAAGTGGTAGCCCAGGCAGAGAAGGTGCTGAGATTGAGCGAGGGCTGTGAGGACTGCCAGCATGCTGTCACCTCTCAATCCCCCCTCTAAACAGGACACCCTAACAGCTGTTGGGAATTTGGTCGTTGACCGCTCTAGCTACTTCCTGCTGGATAGGGGCAAAGAAGGGGCCCTGCAGTTGTAGTGTCCTTCAGAGGGGAACTCTCTAGGCCAGGGGAAGTGCCAGCGGGTCGGTCCAAGGGTCCTCGGTAGAAGTTGTTAGTTGAACTCATTTGGGGTTCCATTTGTAAGACCATCTGTAGCTTAATGGCCTGGATTCTAGAGGAAACAAATTTGACAAGAAGGTTAAAAATACAGGGCCCAAAGGTGAGTAACAGCAAGATGGCTGCCATGGGACCTAGAAAGGGGAGAAGCCATGTTGCCCAACTCCAGAGATTGGTATAAGAATTTGAAAGGCGTTGTCTGATTTCAGAAGCCTTTTCCTGTAAACACTGGGCAGCATCTCCTACTATCCCCGACTGGTTAGTATGAAAACAACATTCTTCCCCTAAGAAGGTGCAGAATCCTCCTTTCTCAGCAGTGAGGAGGTCTAGGCCTCAGTGGTTTTGGAGAATCGCTGCTGCCAAAGAGTCTATTTGGGATTGTAATGTAAGGACAGATTTAGTTATTTCTTGCAAACTGTTTGAGAGGCAGATATGGGTTGAAGATCCACATAAGTAGAATATGCCTTGGCTGGGTAGATAGAAATTTACCCTGGCTTTTAAAGGAATAGGGTACACTATTTTTTTCTTTACTACTTCCATCTCTCTTTGACTTTCTGTGTCTGTCCCTCTTTCTCTCTGACTTCTGTCTCTTTCTTTCCTTTCTGCTGCCTCTGCAAGCTGCTTATGCTGCTGTTCTCCCCTCTCCTTCCCATTTTGATGGCTTTGTCAGTGTAAGATTCCCACCTCTTTGCGTTTTTGCATTGTGTGCAATAACTCTATGATTTCCTTGTGGTATTTAATGGGGGTTCCCCCAGAGGTTAGGTACTCCCTCTCTTTCCATATTGCATCATGGGCATGTAGGATTAGATAAGCATACTTGCTATCTGTATACACATTTATTCTTTTTCCCTTTCCCAGTTCTAAGGCTCGGGTAAGTGCCACTAGTTCTGCTAACTGGGCACTGGCCCCTGGGGGAAGAGGTTTGCTTTCAAGTATGGTTACATCACTAACTATGGTGTAACCTGCCCTTCGTATCCCATTCTCCACAACTAAACTTCCATTGGTATATAGGTTAAGGTCAGGATTAGTTAAGGGGACTTCTAAGAGATCATCTCGGGTGGCATAAGTCTGGACTATAATTTGTTGGCAGTCATGCTCGATTGGTTCCCCATCCTCTGGGAGAAAAGTGGCAGGGTTGAGGGCCATGCACGTGCGTATTTGAAGCACTGGTCCCTCAAGGAGTAGTGCCTGGTATCTAAGTAGGCGGTTGTCTGATAGCCATAAACTTCCTTTGGCACCTAGTATGCCATTTACATCATGAGTAGTCCAGACAGTGAGATCCTTTCCTTGTATTATTTTGATAGCCTCAGACACAAAGATGGCCACTGCTGCAACTACCCTTAAACAGTGAGGCCAGCCTTTTGCTACTACATCAATTTCCTTACTTAGGTATGCCACTGGTTGTGGGGTTGTCCCACGGGTCTGAGTAAGGACTCCAAGAGCTATCCTGGCTCTCTCTGTGACATATAAAAAGAAGTTCTGTCCTGTGGGAAGGCTTAAAGCTGGAGCTTGTACTAGAGACTGCTTTAAGGTTTTGAAGGCTGTTTCTGCCTCTGGTTCCCATTCAACTAGATAAGTATTTGCTCTCTGGGTTTCCTTGATTGGAGTATAGAGGATCCTGCCTATCTCACTGTATCCGGGGATCCATAGTCAGCAAAAGCCGGTAATTCCAAGGAACCCCCGCAACTGTTTTAATGTCTTAGGGTGAGGATAAGCCAGTATAGGTTGTATTCATTCCTTGCTCAGGGCCCTGGTCTCTTTGGCTAAGATAAGGCCTAGATATTTAACCTGCTGTAGGCAAAACTGGGCCTTTGACCTAGACACCTTGTACCCTTGATTAGCTAGAAATTTCAAGAGGTCTAGAGTAGCCTGCTGGCACAAGGCTTCCAAACTGGTAGCCAAAAGTAAATCGTCCACATATTGAAGGACCAGAGTGCCTGGACTTGAGAAATGGCCTAGATCTTGGGCTAGGGCCTGACCAAAGAGATGAGGGCTATCCCTAAACCCTTGGGGCAAGACCATCCATGTAAGTTGGGACATGTGGTCTGTGGGATCCTCAAAGGCAAAGAGGAACTGGGAATCAGAGTGCAGGGGAATACAGAAGAAGGCATCCTGAGGTCCAGAACCATGAACCATTCTGCTTCCTCTGGTATTTGAGAGAGCAGGGTATAGGGGTTGGATACAACTGGATATAGTGGAATTACTGCCTCATTAATGAGTCTAAGGTCTTGAAGTAGTCTCCACTGACTGTTGGGTTTTTGTACTCCCAAAATTGGGATGTTGCAGGGACTACTGCATTTCCTTACTAAGCCTTGAGCTTTCAAATGTTTAACAATATTCTGTAATCCTTTATGAGCTTCAGGCCTTAAGGGATATTGCCTTTGGTAAGAAAAAGTGGTGGGATCTTTTAACCTGATTTGGACTGGGTGAGCATTTTTTGCCCTTCCAAATTGTCCTTCCAATGCCCAGACTTCAGGGTTGATTCCCTCCTCAAGTAGGGGACAACAAATGGGTAACTTGTTCCCTATATTCATGTAGATAATAGCTCCAGCCTTGGCTAATATATCCCTCCCTAATAAGGGTGGGGGACTTTCAGGCATAACAAAAAAGGCATGTGAAAAGAGCAAAGTCTCCCAATTACAACTGAGGAGGTGGGAGAAATACCTGGTTACAGGCTGTCCCAGGATTCCTCGGATGGTAATGGACCTTGAGGACAGTCATCCAGGACAGGAGATTAACACTGAGAAGGCCATGCCAGTGTCCAGGAGGAAGTCAATTTCCTGGCCCTCAGTAGTTAAACATACCTGGGGCTCAGTGAGGGTGATGACATGAGCTGGCACTTGCCCCGGGCACCCTCAGTCCTGTTGTTGGATCATCTGGTTGGAGGCTTCTGACACAGGGAACCTTCATCATCTGGGGCAGTGCACCTTCCAGTGATTGCCTCAGCATAGTGGACATGGACGAGGGGGTAGCTTGTTTCTCATTGGACAATCTTTTTTAAAGTGTCCTAGTAAACCACACTGATAACAAGCCCTACCAGGTGATTGGCCTGCTCCATTTTCTGTCCTCTCTGAACCACCAAGGTTTGTTTGTCTGAGGGCCATGACTAAGGCTGTGGCCTTTCTCTGATCTCGCTTTTCCTTTTGGGCCTGTTCCTCTTGGTCCCTATTATAGAACACCGAGGTTGCCAGGTTTAATAATGCCTCTAGATTTTGTTCAGGGCCCAGGGCTTGCTTTTGGAGCTTTCTCCTGATATCTGCAGCTGATTGGGTAATAAACTTATCTTTTAGAATCAATTGACCCTCAAGTGATTCGGGTGACAGGGGAGTATATTTTCTTAAGGCCTCTCATAGCCGCTCGAGGAAGGCAGGATTTTCTTCCTTTCCCTGAGTTATGGTGGACATCATTGAATAATTCATGGGCTTTTTTCTAATTCTCCTTAGTCCTTCTAGAACACAGGTCAACAGATGTTTATGACTCCAGTCCCCATGATCTGAGTCAAGGTCCCAGTGGGGATCCATACTGGGGATGGCTTGCTGACCAGTAGGGAATTTGTCCCTTTCTTCGGCTGTCATTCTATCATTTACTTGACTAAGATACCAGTTATCTCTGAACTCTTGGGCTGCAGCTAAAGCTGCATTCTTTTCATTAAAGGCCAGGGTTTGATCTAACAGTAGCATGACATCTCTCCAAGCGAGGTCAAAGGTTTGCCCTAGACCCTGTAGGACATCTGTGTACCTATCAGGATCATCTGAAAACTTCCCCAGGTCTGCCTTGATCTGTTTTAAATCAGAGAGGGACAAGGGGACATGTACCCGGGTTGGGCCAAATTCCCCTCCCCCTACAGCTTGAAGGGGACATAACTGATAGCCCGGGGGTTTTGTGGTCCTTTGGTGATTTCTTTGCTTATTTCCTTCTGGGCAGGGGAGATTAGAGGAGGATTACCATTAATAGGAAGGGGAGCTATAGGGAGGCTAGGATATGGGGGTAAGCTGAGAGGTCCTCCTGTGGGATGTAAATTGTAAGCTTTGCATAGTTGTGTATTCTCCCTCAATGAAAAGAAAGCTTGGACATAAGGTATTTCACTCCATTTGCCTTCCCTCTTACAGAAAAGTCAAGCTGCAGGATAGTATTGTAATTTGTACTTCCCTCAGGTGGCCATTTTTTCCCATCAGAGAGAGAATATTGGGGCAAGCCATAGTGCAGAAAAAAATGAGCCACCTCTTTTTCAGGGTTCGTGGGTCAAATTGGTCCCAATGGCTTAGGATGCATTTCAAGGGTGAGCCTGTTGATGCCTGAGTGTTTCCCATCTGAAAGACAAAACCGCCCGTGGTTTTTGTTTGTTTTGTTTCTTCCCCTGCCCAAGAACCCGCAACGGTCCCTGGACCCTGCTGATCAGAATAGTTGTGCTCACCGATGCAGCAGCAGAAACAACCCCTGCCCAAGAACTCGCAACAGTCCCTGGACCCTGCTGATCAGAATAGTTGCGCTCACCAACACAGCAGCAGAAACACTTGTTTTCCTCCCAGACCACATGGAGGACCAAGGAAGGTCAGATTTAGTGGTCCTTACCAACGCATTCTCAAAAACCTGCACCCCTGCCTGTCCTCCTGGACCACAAGGATGACCGACCGAGAAAAATTGGATTTAGTGGCCCTTACCGACGCATTCTCAAAAACCTGTTAGAGTCCTAAGCATTCTCCTGTTAGTATTGGGACTTTAGCCCTGTCCTATAAAGATGTTATGCCCCAAAAGTGAAGTGGAGGGCCACACCCTGAGGGAGGGAAGGGATCTCCAGGGCTGGAAGAGTGACACCTTTTGTCCTCACTTACATGAATAGGAAGGATACAATTTCTGAGGCTCCCCATATCCTAGCTTCAGGAATAGCTTTTGTTAGGCCTATTAGTCTGAGGAGGGATCCTAAAATTCCAGGTAGTCCCCACTATGATGGGGCTTTGGACAAAAATTATGTCTTTCTGATTGGTGAGCCTGGGTGCCTAAAGAAGGTAACAGAGTCCTGGAGTTTATACTAGAAATCATTCTTATAGGAGAAACTAGAAAAGCACCAGAGACAGGTAGCAATTTTTAGAAGCAGGTCTAACCTCAGAGAAGAGAGGCGAGAGGAAATTTGTCTGGCAGGCATTAGGACCCAGGAGGCAAGGGTCAGGATAGATAGGATAGATGGGTGAGTCTCGCCTGGGAGACATGCTTTTGAGAGTTGCGCTCATGGCCGCAGGGTCAACCAACTTGTTGTTGGGACCCTGGAGCTGCATGGCTTTCCTCTCTGTCGACCCTCGGCTCAGCCCAGAAGTACAGGAAAAGCAGAAGCTGGTTCTAGGCAAACCAACGGTCCCATCTCCGAAGAGTCAGGGGTTGTTAGAGAGCCCTTTCCCAGAAAGCCTGACACCCGTGTCTTTAGTCCAGCGGCCGCACTAGTCACTTTTAACTGGCTGACAGGTGCCCGGTATTTAGCCCCCGAATTCTAAGGAAAGATAGGACAGAATAGCAAGCGAAAGGGGTCCGATGGTACTCACTGCTTGGCGATAGGCGATGGTCTCACCGCTCGGCAATTGTCTCACTGCTTGGTGATAGGCAAAAGTCCCTTCGTGGTTGCCAAAATGTGTCCGGAATTGGTGGGTTCTTGGTCTCACTGACTTCAAGAATGAAGCCGTGGACCCTCGCGGTGAGTGTTACAGCTCTTAAAGTGGCGTGTCTGGAGTTTGTTCCTTCTGATGTTCGGATGTGTTTGGAGTTTCTTCCTTCTGGTGGGTTCGTGGTCTCGCTGGCTCAGGAGTGAAGCTGCAGACCTTTGAGGTGAGTGTTACAGCTCTTAAGGCAGCGCTTCTGGAGTTGTTCATTCCTTCTGGTGGGCTCGTGGTCTCGCTGGCTTCAGGAGTGAAGCTGCAGACCTTTGCGGTGAGTGTTACAGCTCATAAAAGCAGCGTGGACCCAAAGAGTGAGCAGTAGCAAGATTTATTGCAAAGAGTGAAAGAACAAAGCTTCCACAGTGTGGAAGGGGACTGAGTGGGTTGCCACTGTTGGCTCAGGCAGCCTGCTTTTATTCTCTTCTCTGGCCCCACCCACTTCCTGCTGATTGGTACAGCCCAGTGGTCTGTTTCGACAGGGCGCTGATTGATGCATTTACAATCCCTGAGCTAGACACAAAGGTTCTCCATGTCCCCACTTAGATTAGCTAGATACAGAGTGTCCACACAAAGGTTCTCCAAGGCCCCACCAGAGTAACTAGATACAGAGTGTCGATTGGTGCACTCAGAAACCCTGAGCTAGACACAGGGTGCTGATTGGTGTGTTTACAAACCTTGAGCTAGATACAGAGTGCCGATTGGTGTATTTACAATCCCTGAGTTAGACATAAAGGTTCTCCAAAGCCCCACCAGAGCAGCTAGATACAGTGTTGATTGGTGCACTCACAAACCATGAGCTAGACACAGGGTGCTGATTGGTGTGTTTACAATCCCTGAGCTAGACATAAAGGTTCTCCAAGGCCCCACCAGGGTAGCTAGATACAGAGTGTCCATTGGTGTATTCACAAACCCTGAGCTAGATACCGAGTGCTGATTGGTGTATTTACAATCCCTGGGCTAGACATAAAGGTTCTCCATGTCCCCACCAGACTCAGGAGCCCAGCTGGCTTCACCCAGTGGATCCTGCACCAGGGCTGCAGGTGGAGCTGCCTGCCAGTCTCGCACCATGCGCCCGCACTACTCAGCCCTTGGGTGGTGGATGGGACTGGGTGCCATGGAGCAGGGGGCGGGGCTCATCGGGGAGGCTTGGGCCACGCTGGAGCCCATGGAAGGGGTGGGAGGCTCAGGCATGGCGGGCTGCAGGTCCTAAGCCCGGTGGGAAGGCAGCTAAGGCCCGGTGAGAAATGGAACACAGCACAGGTGGGCTGGCACTACTGGGGGACCCAGTACACCCTCCGCAGCCACTGGCCCGGGTGCTAAGCCCCTCACTACCCAGGCGGGCAGGGCAGGCCGGGTGCTCCGAGTGCAGGGCCCGCCAAGCCCACGCCCACCCGCAACTCCAGCTGGCCCGCAAGCGGCCCACGCAGCCCCGGTTCTTGTTGGCGCCTCTCTCTCCCACCTCCCTGCAAGCTGAGGGAGCTGGCTCCGGCCTTGGCCAGCCCAGAAAGGGGCTCCCACAGTACAGCAGTGGGCTGAAGGGCTCCTCAAGTGCCACCAAAGTGGAAGCCCAGGCAGAGGAGGCGCTGAGATCGAGTGAGGGCTGTGAGGACTGCCAGCACGCTGTCACCTTTCACTAGGGGGCCAGGCACGGTGGCTCACACCTGTAATTCCAGCACTTTGGGAGGCCGAGGCGGGCGGATCATGAGCTCAGGAGATCGAGACCATCCTGGCTACACGGTGAAACTCCATCTCTACTAAAAATTCAAAATAATTAGCTGGGCATGGTGGTGGGCACCTGTAGTTCCAGCCACTCTGGAGGCTGAGGCAAGAGAATGGCGTGAACCCGGGAGGCGGAGCTTTCAGTGAGCGGAGATTGCACCATTATACTCCAGCCTGGGCGACAGAGCAAGGCTCCATCTCAAAAAAAAAAAAAAAAAGGAGATTCTAGGTTTCTTGTCATTTCCTTCAGTGCTGTTTCGTTGTCCCACCAGAGCCGGAAGGGGGATGGAGTGGAAAGATGACTTTCCCCTGGGGTTTGTCCATCCAGCAGCCTATCTCTTCTCTGCCTACAGACGCTCCTTCTCTTCTCTCTGCTGCGAAGAATATTCTGCTGTTCTTCTGCTATTCTGTTTGTCCTCCTGTCTGCTCATCTGCTTGTCTGCTCATGGTGCCTGGGGTTTGGGGTTTATATGGGTACAGAATGGGGGATGTGGAGGGTCAAAAGGCAACATTTGGCAACAAATGGAAAACAAGAACGCCTGTTCTCATTTAGGGTCCTGGGTTTCCAGGCTTGGGGGTGGGTGTTTTGCTGTAGAGCTGCCCTCTTCTACCCAGTAATTCCCTGTTTCCTGTCTATATCAGTAGCATAGCCATAGAATTCTCTTCCATCACACCTCCATATATTTGACAAATGGGTCAGAATAATCTTGATGCAACATATGAATTTTGTTTATAAGTCTTTTTTATGATCAAATAAGAGGCTGAAAGAGGTTGGGCCAAGGTGTCATATGAGGACATATTTATTAAGTCAGGAACAACTTAATAAGGAGCACCCCCAGGTGCTCTTTTCCTCATCAACCCATTTGTCATATCAGTGTAGTGACTGGGGATAGCATTTGGGCCCTCCTAATTCAGGTTCATTCCCTGACAATAACTACTGCATTTCTTTTGAAGCAGACCTTAATAAAAACCACAAAAATATCATTAGGAAACCTGTGACTAATTCATCACAGTAGACTACATAAAATTTGCTGAAAGTTAACATCATAGCCATATGTTTCTTGTTACGAAGTTATGGTTAGCTACCACTGTGTCCTTATCAGATTTTTGGTGGATCTTTAGGGCGGGTGGTAAGGTAATATTTTTGGGCATGTCTGATCACGGTCTTCTAGCCACACCTTCTCCATTTTTGAGCCTCATCATTGCCCAGGGTACTCATTATTTTTCTTTATGTTAATTACAGAGATCTACGTCTCTGCTGTCAATATATCTTTCACGTTCAGTTCTTCATGAACAGGGTTTCTACTTAGCTAGAGCTCAGAAAGATTGTTTGCATTGCCCCTGTCTTTTTGAAACTGTTAATTACTAACTTAGGGCTCTGAGCTGTTTGAGAACTGCAAGAGATAGGATTCCCTGTTTTGCTTCAGATTGTCTTTTTTATTTCTAGGGAGAGTGTTATCTATGATCAGAACAAGAACCAAATAATGGTTTATACTAGGTTCCATCCCAAGACTCTGGAGGGAATGTCTCCTTGTTGCTGGCAGAACTTTAGGGGGCTAAATCTAGAGCTATAAAACAATAGTGATGTTTGTAGGAACAAAGTTTAACAGTAAGAATTTCTGGATACTTCTCTATGCTGTTTTGATGACAGCTATGACATTTACTGCTTCATTTGGTCTAAGGGGTTATTTTGTATGACTTTATTATTTCTTTCTAGTCTTTCTAAGCCACTAGGCTTTTCATTTGGGCATCTATTTGAATATCTCTTTGGAGAGAAAGATGATCTTGGATCACATCTCTGTAGTCATGCCAGTGGTTCCCAAATGCTTATTTGTGTGTTTAATACCAACTGCACTATATCAGAATCCTTTGGGAGAACTTACTAAAAATATCCATTATCCCAAGATGCTTCCCTGAGTTTTTGATAAGTTATAAATGGGACAAGGTCAAGGAGTCCGTGCTTCTAAAAAGCTCTTTGGGATATTCTTATATGAAGTTGTGTTAGGAAACACTGACCTGGATGGTGAGCATCCTATTTAGGTTTGATGGAGTTTTGTATTTCAACACAAAATAATATTTAATGATAGTAACATTCATTGGATACTTATTATATACGAGGCATTATGATAAGTATCTTTCTGTGGAGTATACATGTCACTTTTATGAAGATTAACGTTATCAGGTAAACCCAATTATTGTTCTTATATGGGGAAACTGAGGCCTTCCCCAAGATCATATAGCTAATGACTGGTACAGATAGGATTCAAACCTCGAGGCTCTAAGTCTATATATAAAACCACTTGATGGTGAATATTGTGCTACCTAAACTTGGAGTTCAGCCCCTCCCTATCTCTAGCAGGGTGACCTTTGATAAGACATTCAAATATGCCAGAAAAATCTGCATATTTTTAAAATGAAAAAAAAATCCATTTTCTCATTTGTAAAATGAGAGGGTTAAACTAGGTAATTTTCAAGTTCTTTCTAACTAAAAAAAATGCTTTTCCTATGCAAATTCAATTATCTTTAAAGAAGCATAACAATGAACTAATCTCTGACATATGAAATATTTATATACAATTTAGAGCAATATTCATGGAAATATAACAACTTAAGCACAATTTGGCACTTTTCGCACCAATTTTCCATTTTATCAACACTTAATATATGCATTTTCTGCTCTAAATATCGATCTGTGATTTTTTTCTTTAGTCATAATGTAGGTATTTAGCTCTTGAGCTTATCTATAGCTCAGTCATTCCTGGAATTAAATACCCCTTTGGGTTTTCTTTTCTCATTTCTAACTCTCCTAGTAAAGAAAACTTTCTGGAATTATTGTTATTTTTAAAAAATATGAGTTTCAGAAGGAGTCCTAACTGGTTTTATCCTCTACTGTGTTCACTGTCTTCTGAGGATCAAAAACAGATGGGAGTGATCAGCCCTTAGGCACTACCCGTCCCAGCGTGATTGTTTTTGTTTGGTTTAATCAGCAGAATCTTTTTGTTTTTAATACCCGATTTGTTGTTTCTGCCAAGCTTCCTACCCTCATAGAAGGTGGGGCTTGACAAAATAAGGGTAATTACTAACAGTTCTTTATTAACCTCTGAAGATTTTGTTGAAATCTAGTTCTGTCTTAAAGGTGGAAATCCCTTTTCCCAGGATTTCTATTTTAAGGCATTTATTTAGAAAACCATACAGTAGTAGGCCAGGTGCAGTGGCTCAAGCCTGTAATCCCAGCACTTTGGGAGGCAGGTGGATCACCTGAGGCTGGGAGTTTGAGACTAGCCTGACCAACATGGAGAAACCCTGTCTCTTCTAAAATATATATATATATATATATATATAATATAATATAAACTATATATATATTATACAAAATTAGCTGGGTGTGGTAGCACATTACTGTAATCCCAGCTACTTGGGAGGCTGAGGCAGGAGAATCGCTTGAACCCGGGAGGCAGAGGTTGCAATGAGCCAAGATTGCGCTATTGCACTCCAGCCTAGGCAACAAGAGCAAAACTCCATCTCAAAAAAAAACAGAAAAGAAAAACATATAGTAGCTTATAGGCTTTGGCTTACATACTTTCATATTGAATTATATAATATAAATTAACTAATATGAGTAATAAATACAGAGCTCACTCATACAGTAGTATAGGTGAGCATACTGAAATCATACAGGTACATATAGATTATATATATAAATTATATATTACATGTTATGTATCTTATATGTGATTTACTGTTACTATTAACTACTAATAATTTTTACCTCTAATAAGCTCATGGAACAAATTTTCAGGACTATTTTGACCATCACACAAATAATCTTACTGCTTTCTGTTCTCTGTTCCAGGAGACAGGCTTTCTTTATGGCTCCAAATTTCATGAAACGATATGACGCAGAATATATTTATCTGCAACAGACCGTGTTGAATATTGCTTTCCATTGAGTGATCATGAAAACACAGGAAGGAGAGTAAAGAGAGCCAAAGTAACATTTAAAATTCTGTTACAGTTTTTGCCTAATTTTCTTAAAAAAAACCCTTAGCATACAAAAAGTTAAATCTTACCTAGTCAAATAAAGATTATTTGATTATTTTGATGATAAAAGGCCTTGTCAATCATTCCTTTAAAATACTGCTACACATAGTTATCAGATTTGGAGTTGTATGTGCAATCATCAATAATTTAAAGGGTCATTGGGACCCTGAAGCTTACATAGATATATCATCAGAGAAGCTTTGTGAAAATAAATTTCTTCTCCAACTCACAGTATCATAAACCTCTGTATCTTCCTCATTTGTGAACATTATCTATGTAACATTATTTTCTGACCAATTAAATAGGGGACTTGAAGAGACACAATTAGCATAGGAAAGAACATCTGATTTAAAATCTAGCGATGGGTGTTACTATTTACTTCATTCCTTTCTTAAGAATAGGGCTTCATTCATAAAAGTTTTGTGAATGTCCTATGTTGAGCATCACAGGTGAGCTCAAAAGGAAAGCTGGACACTATCCCCAAGGAGGTTACAGTTCATATGTGTGCAGTGACCTTGTGGTTTGAGGTTTTAAAAGAGTTCTGATTTCAACTGATCTGTACCATATTTCTTAAAAAAATCAAGATATTTTAGAAACATGTATTTATCACATCTAAACTACTTCTCTGATACTTTCTTATATAATTGATACAGACTCAAAAATCCTTTGGAAAACCCATTGCAGTTTTGGGTTCAAAAATTATGCTTGATGAAAATGTAATTACTCAGTAATGTATAAAGTTATAAATACCTTAAAGGGGGCACAATTGAAATGGTGCTGCTGTTCAGAAATAACTTATATCTTGTAGGATTAGGGAGGACCTCATGGAAGGAATAGTATTTGAAGTAGACATTAAATAGCTTTGATAGTGACAGTTAATTACCTAGCACCGGTTTTCTGTCTAACTTTATATATGCACGCTCTCTCTTTCTCTCTCTCCCCTCCCTCTCTTTTTCCCTCTCTCTCTTTCTCTTTCGTCTTACGCAAACCCTCCTGCATGGGGATTGGGGGGATCCATCTCTCTCAGCAGTCCATCTTTGTATCCTTAATGGGGCTTTGCACTAGCTGTGTTGGTGATTTGTGTGGGGACTAATGTGCCTAGCTTTGTTCATAGGAAGGCTCCAAGGCAATATGAAGGAGTAAAGATATGCCTATGATTATTTTTATTTATTTATCTTAATTGACAAATAAAAACTGTATATATTTATTGTGTATAACATGTTTTGAAATATGTATACATGTGGAGTGACTAAATCAAGCTAGCTACCACATACGTTACCTCACATACATATCATTATTTTTTGTGGTGAGAACACTTGAAATCTACTCTTAGTAATTTTCAAGAATGCATTACATTTTTATTAACTATAGTCACCATTTTGTAAAATAGATACCTTGCACTTAGTCTTCCTGTCTAACTGAAATTTAGTGTTCTTTGCCCAACATTTCCTCAGCTCCTTCATATGTTATCTTAATTTGTTCTTAGAATCCTATGAAGTAGTTTCTATTATTTTTCCTGTTTAAGTGAAGAAAAGATAAATTAAAAATATATTATATACATAATTAGGGACAGAGTTAGGGTTTAAACTCATGTGTGTTTGGCTCCAAATATTGTGTTTAAATTCACCATATTATATTTTGTCTTGGGTCTCTGCACAAGTGTCTCTGCACTCAATGTGCAGAGATGAGGATGGGAGAAAGGATATTTGATACATTCAGAGCAACATAAACAAAGACACAGAGATTCGAAAATGCATGGAAACAGTCCACAGAGAGCAGCTGATTTTGTTGGAGCTATTGGTATATGAGAAATGTGAAATACATTTGGAAACACCAACTGGGGTCAGACTGTAAAAAGCTCCAAATGCCAAATTCAAGATGCTGACTCTTATCTTGGATGACAGAAAGGGTTACTGGTAATTAGGGCTAATGAGGAACTGGGAGCTAGTGTATAAGGTGCTAAAGACTGATAGGTTAATTACAAGGTAAGGACTCTGATCCAGGAAAGCTACAATGAGGATCTGAACTGTAGAAGCGGATGGAACATGTCAGGATGTGGAATAAACCATCAAGGTACAAAGATGAAGCCATGCTACCTAGCAAGCAGATGTAGGTTTCTTAGGAAAAGAAGCTGGTTTGAGATGGGATATTATGATTTTGGACACACCGATGGGGACATCCAGGTGGACATTTCCAGGAGGTATTTGGAAGATTTTGCTTGTAGCCGTTGTATTGGTCCATTTTCACACTGCTATAAAGATATTACCTGGGACTGGGTAATTTGTAAAGGAAAGAGGTTTAATCGACCCACAGTTCCACATGTCTGGGGAGGCCTCAGGAACCTTACAATCATGGCGGAAGGTGAAGGGGAGACAGGTATCTTCTTCACAAGGCGGCAGTAGAGGAGAGAAGCAAGGAAGTGTCACACTTTAAAACCATCAGCTCTCATGAGAATGCTCTCACTATCATGAGAACGGCATGGGGAAAACCACCCAGATGATCCCATCACCTCCCACCAGGTCCCTCCCTCCACATGCGGGGATTATAGTTTGGATTCTGATTTGAAATGAGATTTTGGTGGGGACACAGAGCCAAACCATATCAACCATCAACCACCCATTGGATTAGAAGGAGAGGAGTGCTGTACCAAGCATTAAGAGTGAATGAATATAAGGTGAAGATAGAGTCAACATTATTTTTTTCTAGGACAGATACTATTCTAGATATTTTACTACAGTAATCCTGTGAGATAAGTAGTATCATCTCCATTTCAAAAATAAAGAAATGGCCTAAAAGAAGTTGTGATTCGACCAAAGTCAAATTATTAGTAAGTTGCAGAGCTAAGATTCAAATTTAGGTCTGTTCCACTGAGGGGTCTGAAATCATTCATGTTTGAAATTATTCATTCATTATTTATTTATTTATCAGACTTCTATTTTACACAAGGTACTGCTTAATCTCCTAGAAAAAATTGTTGTGTGAAAAAGGCAGAAATCCAGGATAAGGTTATTTATGTATATTTATATACATTTAAAAACCCATAAATTAATGATATATGGTTTCTATAAATTCATATAAAAAGAATCTGGAAAGACTCACAATAAATTGATAATGGTGGTTACATCTGAGGAAGGAATCAAGATGGGCATAGAAGTTAAAGAAAATTTATGTGTAATGTTTTAATCATTCATCCAAAGAATATATTCATATATTATTTGTATAATTAAAATTTATTTTTAAAATGAATTTTTCTGCCCACAAAATGACTTTCCACACAGACATGAGTATGATACAAGGAATGTGAACTAAGTAAATGAGGAAACAGCTTGAGTTGATATAAATTATTTAAAACAAGTTTGTGTTGAGTGAGAAACATAGGCTTTTTTTTGTTTTCATGGTTTGTTGCTAGTCTCTTCTGAAGAAAGTAGGTGAGTTTCCATTAACAACTCCATGAAACACAACAATTGGGAAGCCTTTGTTTTTCTGAGGGATGTAGCATGCTATAGGTGGGTAGCCCAAGGGAGAAGTTCCCCAGGAGCAGATTAGATATAACTTACTCATTTTTCCGGTTAAAATAATTAGAAGCCACTGAGTTTTTTGTTGCCCAAAGGTATAAGAGGGTTCAGACATGAGTTTGGGACCCCTTCTGCTGAACTTTCCCATAGGAGACCTCCTTTAGTCACCAGAAACCCTCCCCATGCCTCACAGTGAATAAAAGCTCCATTCCTGATTATCCTCTGCCAGGTATTCTTATGTAGGCCTGAGGGTTTTAAAATATGCTATATATTTTTTTTTACTGTGTTTCATCTTAGCTACTTAACCCTCTTCATCCTTGAAGTCTCAGCTTTAATTCAATGTCTACCAAAAAAGTCATCTGCTTCTCACCACCCCACATGCTAGATTGGGCATTCCTCTCTGTGCTCCCATAACCGTCTACTGTCTATGCCACAGCACTTCTCTCCTTCATCTAAGGCAGCTCTCCACCCTGGCTAGACATCAAAGTCACAATGAATAATTTTAAAAATATAAATGTTTGGGCTCATTTCAGATGCATTGCATCAGAAGCTTCAGAATTATATCTAGGTATTTATTTTTATATATAGTATCCTTCATATAATTGCAGTTAGTATTTCTTGACTAAGTAAATTAAACAGGGTTCTGATAATCCGCAGCTGTTTGTTTTATTGTATTTTATTTTTTAAATTATTTAATTTTTTTTGAGATGGAGTCTTGTTCTGTCACCCAGGCTGGAGTACAGTGGTGCAATCTCCACTCACTGCAACCTCTGCCTCCTGGGTTCAGGTGAGTCTCCTGCCTCAGCCTCCTGAGTAGCTGGGACTACAGGTGTGCACCACCACTCCTGGTTCATTTTTGTATTTTTAGTAGAGATGGGGTTTCGCCATGTTGGCCAGGCTGGTCTCGAAATCCTGACCTCAGTTGATCTACCTGCCTCGGCCTCCCAAAGTGCTGGGATTACAAGCATGAGCCACCGCGGCTGGCCTGTTTGTTTTATTGATACCGCATATTTTTTTTCACCCTCCTCAGTAGTTCTGGCTTTATTAGAATCACCAGGATAATGTTGTAAAGACAGATATCATTTTGCTCAATCTAAGGAAAGTTTTTGACATGGGGGGTCCTAAGTGATGTTTGCTGTGTCCTGGATGTAGACTATGGGACATCTCAAATGAAGTTCAACAAAGTAAACATTCACAATGACATGTTCAAAGCAATCTTTCACTGCAAGATCTTTTGCTGTTCATTTGAGTTCAGCATCTTCCCATCGCCATACCAACACATATCTGATAATAGCAGTAGGATGGTGATGGGGAAATAAGTAAAATATTCACTTTTGTCCTCTGGCGTCTCATTCTTGACTACATGGGCTCTTAATTTCAGTATCAACCAATACTAGCATTTGACCAGGTGTTTTTAGCCCCACACACTTAAGATAACTGCTCAAAATCATGTGTATCCTCCCAACACTCAACATCCATAAATCAAAGAGAAGCAGAAGAGCATCATGTTTAACAGCCCATGTTCTGGAGCCTGGTTCTCGTTCACAGACAGACTCTGCCATTTTGACTAGTTGTGAGCCTCTTTATGTGTCAGTGTTCCTAGCTGTAAAACATAGAAAATATAGTATGGTATCTACTTTACAAAATATTTGCAACATTAAATGACTTCATACACATAAAGAACTTAGAAGATTGCCCAGCACATTGCTTTAAAAATATTAGCAATTTTATTCTCAAAGATTAGGCATTCACTCAGATTAAATAGATATTATAGAAAAGATATGGGGAAGATAAAGAATGAACTAATCACAGAAAATATAAAATGACTAAAGATAAAACAGGTACAAAATGTCATTGCATACATTGTAGAAGATTTAAAAATGCAATTTGCTGGAGAGCAATATCAACAAGAGCAGATTTACCACTTTCACTGGCCCCTTGCTGGGTCCTGGGAAGTTCTTAGTGATTTTGTATTTGTAATTTTGTATTTATTTCCTTAAAGAGTTTACTTGGAGTTGCATAAAATGGGTTTCATAAAACCTGGGCCTTCTACATCAAAGTGAAAAACACTATTCAGGAAAACAAAACAGATGAGGAATTGAGGCCAGATTGGTGAGGTGGGTCTAAAATATCCACTGACTGCTGATTTTTGCCTTTTAAGCTGGGGGCTTAGAATAACTTATTACATTTTCATATGACCTTTTTCTTTCAGGCTCTTTTAACAATTTCCTAAAGAAATCAGGTTGCCCCAAGTATGGACATGTTAACTCTTATTTTTTTCCCCTTAATTGCTATAATCTTAAAATATAAAGAAGAATTAATTAACTATCCTGACGGGGGAAGGAAAGTTAATAGCAATTTTAATGAGTGTAACCTTAGCAGAATTTGTAATAACCCTGAAAAGATGGTGAAGTCACTTCTTTCTCCACTTGACTCTCTCATCTTCTGTGAATGGCCATAAATGCTGATTATAAGTGATTAATTACCTACCAGAAGGCTTGTTTCTAGCGCATCTCCTTATCCTAAAGCCAACTGCAGTCTGAACACTATAGTGAGAATTCCAAATGTAAAAAAGCTAAAACGGGCTTTCTACCATATAAAGTGCTTAAAAGACAAAATGTGATGATGAGCATCTGGCTAGAGCTTTTACATAAGCACAGGAAAAAGCCAACAAGTTGTATTAGGCTGGCCTTGGACATTTCATCTAAAATGACAGAGAATATGGTAGTCATGCCATAGATAAGTCATTTATATCACATACAAGGCAGTGGATTTCTGTGTGGAAATGCTCTTCAAATGCCAGTGCAGGAAGGAAAAGCCTAAATAGAACCTAGGGGTCCCAATGAACTGAGTATTCAGAGTTTATAGTTTGGGGGTAATAAGGCAATTAGAATTTGTGAGGTGATGGGGTACTGGGCAGGACAGCTTTATATGGGAAAGGAGGATCAGAAATTTGCATAGGGGAACACTTGATTCATTGGCCAAATACTAATCTATACGTGTGCAGAGTGGGATTTCATATAGCCCAGCAAAGAACAGCTACTAAAGGATGAACAACAGCCAGGGAGCTGTGAGCTGATCTGAGCTTTCGCAGTGCTGATGGGCATTCAAGTTCAAGCCACTCAGAGTGGAAAAACCTTGTTGAATACCCTAGAAATTCAGCAGAGAACCTAGAGGGGCCATGCTCCAGAAGTAGCACTGTTTAGCTTTAGAGAAAATGTTACTCTAGAACCACTCTGATATATCGCAAAATAAGACTCAAAGAACCAAGTAGTCAACAAGGAAATGTAGTGCCTGCTGGAACAAACTCAGTATTTTATTCAGGAATACAGCAACGTTCAGTCAACAACGCAGCATCCGTTATATCCATAATACAACCAAAATATATGAGAGATGTGAAGAGGCAGAAAAATATGTCCTATAACCAGGGGAAAAATAATTTAATAGAAACTGATCATCTAATTATAGGTATAGTAGAATTATCAGAAAAGGACTTTAAAATAGTTATAAAAATAGTTATAAATATATTCAAGTGTATAAAGGTAAATATATATTCCTATGATTAGGAAAAATAATTTCAACAGAGAAATAAAATATATAAAAAGGGCCCTATTGAGTCTAGAGGGTCTAGAAATGGAAGACATGAAAAGAATCTCAATGATCCTATTTAGTATAGAGATGAAAAATGTAATATCTGAAAAAAAGTACTAGATAGGATTAACAGCGGATTATTCACTGCAGAATGAAATATTAGTAAATTAGTGGAAAGGGGCAAAATAAACTATGGAAACTGATGCCAAAAGATGAAAAGCTGAATCTAAATAAACAGAGTTTTAGTGACTTGTCAAACTTTATCACCTGGTCCTATCTGTATGTAATTTGGAGTCAAAGGAGGAATGGAGAGGGTGGTATTGGGGCAGAAAAAAAATCTTAGATATCAGGGTTGAAAAAAATTCCAAAACTGAAAAAAATATGGAACACATATTTGTGAATTTCAAGAAACAGCATGCAGGATGAACTCAAAACCACATCAAAGCACATTATAATCAAACTGCTAAAAAGTTGATAGAAAGAAAATATTAAAATCAGTCAGACAAAAATAGCACATTATATTCAGGGGAACAGTAATGTTTCTATTTACTTATCAAAAAAAATACAAGGCAAAAGACAATGAAATGATAACTTTAAATTACTGAAGGAGAAAAATATGTAACTTAGAATTTTATGTAGAGAAAATTTCTTCAAATATGAAGGAAGCTAACAAAAGACATTTTCAGGAAAACAAGAGTTAAAAGAATTTGCCACTGGCAGATCCGCACTACATGATATGTTAAAGGAGGTCCTTCAGGTTGAAGGTAAATAATACCAGATGGAAATTAAGACCTATATAAAGGAAATAAATTAAATATTTGTGTCTTATTTTGAAATTAATTTAAATGATATTTCACTATAAAATATAAATAATAAAAATGTATTTGTGGTTATAAACTGTGCATCCTTATAATATGTGCAGAAATAAAACTTATAAGCAAACCAACATGGCACATGTATACCTATGTAACAAACTTGCACCTTGTGCACATGTACCCCAGAACTTAAAGAATAATTAAAAAAAAAAAAAGAAAAACAGAAAGAATGGAAGGTTGACAATAGAAGCATACGTTGTAAAATTCTTGTAACTGAAGTGGTATAATATTATTTGAAGGTAGAATGTGATACATTAAAGAAATACATTTTAAACTCTAAAGAAACCACTAAAAAAACCCGTAAGTTATAACTAACAAAACAAAGACAAAATACGTTGCTAAAATAATGCTTAACAAAAGAAATACAGGAAGGGTAGAAATAATGAAAAAGTAATAATCAGGACCAAAAAAACCACATCCAGCATATTAAAGTCACCATATAAATAATGATATTAAATACAAATCACTTCACCTAAAAAAGCAGAGATTTAGGACTGATGAAAGAAGTAAAAACCAACCATATGCTGTATTCAGGAGGTGCATATTAAATGCAAAGATATACATTGTTTAAAATTAAAAGGATGAAAGAAGTTATACTATATAAATACTAAAAATAAGAAAGCTGGAGTGGCTATATTCATATTATACATTCCCTCGGTGTAAAGATTATTACCAGAGATAAAGAGGAATATTAATCATAAAATGGTGATTTTTTTCAGACAAAACAATCCAAAATGTGTATGGACCTAATCACAGTGTTTCAAAATACATTAAATTAAACAGGGAAATAAAAGGAGAAATAGAGGATTTCAGAATTACAGTTTCAGACTTCAATATATCTCTCTTAGTAAGTGGTACAGTAAGAATATAAAGGACTTGATTAGCACTAGAAACTCATTCAGTATACCTGACAATTGCAGAATACACATTATTTTCATTTTCACAGGAAACATTCACCAAAATGATCATATGCTGAACCATAAAATGAGTTTAAATAGATTTAAAGTGATTAAAATAATTCAGAGTATGCTATCTAACTACAACTGAATGGAGGCTGAGTGAATATGACGATTAATATTAGAAAGATATCTGGAAAATCTCTAGATATTTGGAAATGAAATATTCACTTTTAAATAACTCATGGATCAAAGACGCAATCACAAGGAAAATGAGAAAATGCTTTTAATTGAATGAGAATTAAACACAACATATCAAAATTTGTGGGTTGCAGATAACAATGTTTATGAGCGAGAATTTATAGTTCTAAATGCTTATAGTAGAACGAAAGAAATGTTAGTGATAAAAACTTTCTCCCTTTAAAACTTCAAATTAAACACAAAAATTATAAGAAGTAAATAAAGACAAGGGTAAGTATCATGTTAGTCAAGGAATACAAAGTTTCAGTTATGTAGCATACGTATATTTTAGAAAGTTAATATACACAATGATGACAATAGTTAATAGTGCTTTATTGTATACTGAACTTGTAATCTGCCAAGGGCGTAGGGTTTTGTTTTTTGATTTTGTTTGTTTTTTTGAGACGGAGTCTTGCTCTGTCACCCAGGCTGGAGAGCAGTAGTGCGATCTTGGCTCACTGTAACCTCTGCCTCCCGAGTTCAAGTGATTCTCCTGCTTTAGCCTCCTGAGTAGCTGGGACTACAGGTGCTTGTCACCACATCCAGCTAATTTTGATATTTTTAGTAGAAACAGGGTTTCGCCATGTTGGCCAAGCTGGTCTTAAACTCCTGGCCTCAAGTGATCCCACCCGCCTTGGCCTCCCAAAGTACTGGGAATACAGGCATGAGCCACAGTACCCAGCCAAGGGAGTAGATCTTAAATGTTCTTACCACATACACACAGGCACACACACAAAAGGTAACTATGCAAAGTGATGAATATGTTAATTACTCTGATAGTTGTAATCATTTCATAATGTATATGTCTATCAAACCATCACATTATACACTTAAATATATACAAATTTTATTACACCCTAATAAAGCTGGAAAAAAGAGTAAATATACATGAAATAGACAACAATGGAGAAACTCACTGAAAACAAAAGTTGTTTCTTGGAAAAGGTGAATAAAATTAATAAACCTGTAGCTATAATGATCAAAAAAATTAGAGAAAAATCACATTACAAATATGAATTATAAAGGAGCAATAATTAAAGAACATATGATAATAAATAATAGAAGAATAACATGAACAACTTTATGCCAATATATTCAACAATAGAGACAAAGTAGACAAATTTTTTGAAAATTGTAAATTACTAAAATTGATACAAAAAGAAATAGAAAATTGGACTATAGTAAAATTATTACAGTTATAATTTAAAATATTTCCATAAAGAAAATTTTAAGTCTAGATAATTTTATAAATATTTAAAGAAGAAATAATATCAATCTTCCACAAACTTGTTTTGTGAGGGTAGTATAACACTGAGATACTAAAGCATATACAACAATATTATAAGAGAATAATATTATAGGTCAATATCCTTCAAAAAATAGATGCAAAAACCCTTAGAATACATTAGCAAATTTTAAATGAGTTAAAAGTCTCAGATTCCCCCCTTATGATCAGAAACAAATACATGTGTCTTCTCTCTCCTAAGTTCTATAAAACATTGTACTATACCTAGCATTACATACATGAAGATGAGCCAAAAAAGGTCATCTATATTGGAAAATAAGTAACAGATTATTTGATGTTTAGAAAATCTTAAGGAATTGTAAAAATAGCTATTAGAATTAATAAATGAATTTAGCAAGTTTTCTGGATTCATGATCTATATACAATAATTAGATATATTTCTATATGCTATCATGAATAATTAAAAATGAGACAAAAAGTTAACATTATCTCAAAAGCATAACAAATATTTAAGAATAAATTTAATAAAATATGTTAAAAACCTCTACATTGAAAACTACAACACATTGCTGAACGTAACTAAAGAAAAGCTAAATAAATGAGGAGACATCATATCATGGATTGGAAGCTTCAATTTTTATAAAGTCAATTCTTCCAAATTTTATATAAATCCTAGCAGGATTTTGTTCTGGTAAGCATCTACATGCTATTTCTTGAAAAACAAGATATACATTTCCTAATTTCAAGACTTATTATAAAGTGACAATAATCAAGAGCATGTATTACTGAAATGAAGATAAACAAAAAGATCAATGAAACAGAATAGATCAGCAATAGATCTACCCTTATATAATTAATTTCAATCAAATTGCCAAAACAATCTAAGAAGTAAAGGTCTCTCCAATAAATGCTACCAGAATAACAGGCTACATATAAAAGTTGTTTCTTAACCTATACCTCCTTCCATACAAAAAATTTAATATGAGATGGATTATCAATCTAAGTTTAAAAGCTAAAACTATAAAGCTTCTAGAGGAAAATATAAAAGAGTATTTTATAATCTCAGGATTGGCAAAGATTTCTTAAACAGAAGACCTTACGAATGAAATTGTAAGCCATAAAACAAAAAAACCATAAAAGAAAAAAGAATGACAAAAAGATTTCATCAAAGTTAAAAGCTTCTGCTCATCAGACGGAAGAGAAGAGCCATAATTTGGAAAACATTTACAATACATACATCTGATAAATTATTTGTACTCATATAAACACATTGTACAAGTCAATAATAAAAAGGCAGGTATCAAATTAAAACATAGACAAAAGACTTGCATAGGTAATGCACAAAGTAAGATTAATAGATGGCCACTAGGTACATGAAGTATTCAAGATAATTTTTCACCAGGAAAATGCAAATGAATTATTAGGGGAATTCAACTTGAAAGAACAATGAGATGCCACTAAATACCACCACCTGAGTGGCTAAAATTAAAAAGACTAACCATGCTAAATATTGTTGAGAATATGGAGCAACAGGAACTCTCACACATTGCTAATGAGACTGTAAAATGGTACAATTACCTTGTTAAACAATCTGGCAATTTCTCATAAACAAACGCCCACTCTGTGACCCATAAATTCCACTTTTAGATATTTACCCAAGAAAATGAAAGCATATACAGTCATCCCTTGGTGTCTGTAGGGGACTGGTTTCAGGACCTCCCTCGGATGCCAAAATCTGCAGATGCTCAAGTCCCTGATAGAAAATGACACAGTATTTGCACATAACCCATTCACATCTTCTCATATACTTTAATCTCTAGATTACTTATAACTAATGCAATGTAAATGCTATGTAAATAGTCATTATAATGTATTGTTTAGGGAATAATAAGAAAAAAGTCTGTCCATGTACAGTACAGATGCAATTTATAAAATATTTTTAGTCCACAGTTATTTGAATTCACAGATGGGGAACCTATGGACACAGAGGAACCTACTGACAAAGGACTGACTGTATATACAAAAAGACTTTGACCAATAATGTTAATAGTAGCTTCATTCATTAAAACCTCAAACTGGAAAAAACCTACGTGCCTATCAACAGAAGAAAGGATAAACAAATTGTGGTATATCTGTGTCGTGGAACACCTATCATAAATAAAAAGGAACAAACTGCTGATACATGCAACATCATGGATAAACATTAAAATATTATGCTGAGTAAAAGAAGTGAGGTATGAGTGCATACTACACGATTCACTTTATGTGAAGTTATAGAACAGACAAAACTAATCAGACCTTTCTCAAGCTTCTTCTGTATTCCAGGTGTCCTCTCCTTTTCTTCTGACTGAATCCTACCTGCAGAGAGTTAGGGGGAATTTTGTTACTCAGCTCCTGACCCACTATCATTATCAGTCCATGCCAGACTCTTTTCTCATTTGATATTTAATCCATCCCCCTTTATTACTGATATTCATACTTCTCTTTTCCAATAGGTCCTTACTTGATTGTCTTTTTACATGTTAGCTTATTGAGATAAATGATGTTTTCTTTCTACATATTTTAAAAGTTTATATAAAAGTTTTACCGTAGATTTTGTTTCCTAAAATGAACACTACATTGTTACACTGTTGCATAGTATTCCTTAGTATATATGCATCATTTTCTGTTTGTTCATTTCTCTGGTGATGCAAACATCTAGATTGCCTTCAACTCTCTAGTCCCATCAACACCGCTGTAAAGCAGGTCCTTGTTTTTGTCCCATATTGATTTATACTAGAATTTCTCTGGGCTGCCTACCCAGGAGTAGGTGATAGGATTTAGGCATACTTATTTTCATCGACCATTGCCAGCCTGCCCTCCAAAATGATTTTAGCAATTTACATTTTCTCCAGCAATGTATGAGGTGGCCTGTTTTCCGTCAATCATACCAACACTTGCATTATCAACCTTTCTATTTTTTTTTAACATTCTAATGGTTATAAAGTAGAAGTGGCTTGTTTTATGTTGCATTTTTTTATATCACTAGTGAGTTTGAGCATCTCTTTTTATATGTGTTAGTTATTTGGACTTCCCCTTTATATGAATAACCTATTAATATATTTTGTTTATTGTTAAAATCTGGGATTCCTCTCTTTTTGTTGATTTGCAACAGTTCCTTGTGTATTCTAGTTATTAATTTATCAGTTTTTTGTTTTATTAGTAAAATAAAAATTATCATTTTGATTGTTTATTTTGAAAAATCCTGTAAATGACTTTATTGTGTAGTCAAATCCATCAATTTTGGTGGGTCTTGCTTAAGAAATATTTTTTAACCCTTAAGTCACAAAGATAATTAAAATTATTTTTCCTCTTAGCTTTGTAGCTTTCCTTTCATATTTAGGGCCTTACTTCATTTGGAATCTACCTTTTTATATAGTATAAGATAGGCAGTGACTGTATTATTTTCTTTTTAAAAAATTTTAGTAAAACTATATTCTTAATTTTGTTAACTAAAATATTAATGATCACTTCAGAGATTTACAGGGATACTTTTATCATATATCAAGTCTCCATACACATGTGTTGTTTCAATATTGTATTTATTTGTTCCTACACAAATGATATACTTTAACATTTTTAATAGAAATGTTCTTTAAAATAAAAGAATCTTTAAGTCAAATAAATAATTAAAAGTCCAATAGTTTTATGGGCAAATATTACAAAATGCCTCCTGTTAGACTTCCAATTCACATTACCCAGAGGCAAACATTTTTCTCTTTTAGCTGTTTCTTTTGTTGTAACCTTATTTATGTATTTGTTTGCTACATTTTCTTGCTTTTCTCCCGTGCCAGGTACTTTTCCCATCATCCTCTCAACTCCTTACAAGAAATATATTATTATTCCTACTTTCCTCTCTTATAGCGAAGATAGATAAATTGAAGCTCAGAGACACAGGTTGCAAGAGTAAAATTAGAATCCAGGTTTGTTTAACTTCAAAGCTAGACTCTTCCCACTAAATCAGGGGTTGACAACCTTTTTCTGTGAATGGATAAACAGTAAATATTTTAGGCTTTATGGTTTGTATAGTTTCTGTTACAACTCAACTCTGTCATCACAGTGTGAAAGCAGTCATAGATAACACATAAATGTATGGCTATAGCTGTGTTCCAATAAAATTTTATTTACAGAAATAGGCAGTAGGTTGGATTTGACCCATGGTCAATTAATTGTAGTTGACCAGCTTCTTAAGTGAACCATATTGCCTGTCTTTAAAAATGTGTTTTTCAAAATGAAGACATGTTATTTATATATAAGCATCTTTTTAAAAAAGTATCTTCTGTCTGTAGATGTAAGTGATATATGAAAATCCATAATTAATAGTTAATGATGCTGGTCAGTAATATCACTAGATTCTTTAATGACTAATTTCTTTGTGCATTTGGTTTTGACTTAGATTCAAGATACTAGAATAGAATAGCACAAGACACTAAATAGGTCTGGGCACCCAATTTTTGTTTCAACACTTTCATTTCTGTTTTCCAGAATTAATTGTTAACAGTTTTATGTTAACATTCAGTGTCCTTCAACAAATTAGTTACATACACCCCAAAGGAGATGATGCTGTGTATGTGTTCTGCAGCCTTCCTCCCTCCCTTCCTTCCTTCTTTTCTTATTCAATATTTTTTCTGCTTCTCTCTTCTCTCTTGGAATTCCTATATTTCATACCAGAACAAACAAATTTAATTGAAAGAATATGAATAGCATTTTCTTCATGAAGACCATGTTACTTAACATAAAAGTAGCATCCCAAACATACTTTAGTTTTAAAAAAATACTTTAAGTTGCCAATTTCAATTTGTATGAGATCAGTTCACTAGAAAATTAAATATATTTTCTATTAAATATAATAATGAATCATTATCTGTGCCACTCAAGCATAGCTATAGTATAATTATATTTAATACAATTAAATATATTTCTTATTAAAAGTCAACAACAGAATTCATTGTTACATTACTTGGGCAGAAGTGCCATACAATTAGGGCTCTGTAGCTAAGTGAGTTGTAGAAAGAACCAGACTCATTACTACTTCATTAAAACATTCCATTACATTCCAGTTGTTGACTGGAGGCTTTTCCTTTTCATTGTGTTCTCACTTCTTCTGGAAACTGATGACTAGCAGACGTGTCAGACCCTATTCTGGGGATCCTTTATCAGTGTAAAAACTCAATTCTTTCTTAAGTAGTATTAATCATTCCACAAATGTTAATTTGGACTTTTCCCCAGTATATTCAATTAGCAATTCTACTTATTTGTTTCAGGTTGAGAACTCAAGAAATGATAAAAGAAACTTTTTAGGGCCGGGCGTGGTGGCTCACGCCTGTAATCCCAGCACCTTGGGAGGCCAGAGGGGGGTGGATCACTTGGGGTCAGGAGTTCGGAACCAGCCTGGCCAATATGGTGAAACCCCGTCTCTACTAAAAATACAAAAATTAGCCGGGTGTGTCGGTGTGTGCCTGTAATCCCAGCTACTCAGGAGGCTGAGGCGGGAGAATCGCTTGAACCTGGGAAGTGGAGGTTGCAGTGAACTGAGATCGTGCCATTGCACTCCAGCCTGGGTGTCACAGTGAGACTCCGTCTCAAAAAAACAAAACAAAAACAAAAAGCAGCAAAACTTTTTGGCCTTAGCACATTTTGACTTCATTATCAGGTTCTTCTTGATTATGATGTCTTGTATCTCTTTTCCTGGCTCTCTCTTCTCCATTGGTCGCTACCTCGCTCTCTGCCTGCCTTGTTGCATTTCTCAGTACTCTAGGTTATCCTTGCGATAATCTGTTGCAAACTTCTTATAGCTTCTTGTAATGCATTTGTTTCCCTTTCTCTGTACACCTATTCTTGATCTTTCTCCCAATATTCTTAACCCTCTGCTACCCATAGTACTGAGATTATCACTCATGATAATGAAGAGGTTTAAAAAATAACCAAGCAGAGTAAACTCTGAAGTTACCTGTATGTAGGTTATGTAGTGTGTGTATATACGCATGGATTATTTCTGTAAGTACATTAATTCACTGTCGCCAAAGTAGATGTGCATGCTAGATTGATTACACCAACATCCCCCAAATAATGGCTTCCCTATATCCATACTTTTGCCCTGCAATTTAAAAAGTTTTGTAGAACCTTTCCACTCTGACTCTGAGGTTGGTTGTGTGATTTGGTTAACCCCATAAGATACTAGCAAATGTCACACAAGCAGAAGCTTTACAAGTAAATGTGCCTTTATTTTACCTTTTGCATGATTGGGATTACCCAGTTGTAGACCTCTCCTTTGTCATGAGAACAAGCCCAGGTTAGCCTGCTAGGAGAGGAAGGAGAGGAAAGACCTCACAGAGCAAAGCTAGGCCACCCGAGCTGAAGCAATCCTAGGTTAGCTAGCCCTAAACTGACTTACCAATTAACTGCATATACATGAGTGAGCCCATCAACTTCAGTCAAGAATGGCTTACAATAGTAGAATTAATTATCTAGATGAACTGTATCCAATAGAAATAATAACTAGTTGCTTTAAGCCATTAAGTTTTGATGTGATTTATTACTCAGCAGCAGCTGACACAATTATAGTGTATTAGTTAACTGGTACAGTAAAATTACCCATCCGCATTTCAATCAACTAAAAAAAAAAATAAGAAAACAAGTCCTATACTTGCCTCCATATTTAGTATTTTTAGTGTTCTTCATTACTTTGTGTAGATCCAGATTTTCATTTAGTATCATTTTCTTTCTGCAAAAAGAACCTCCTTTAACATTTCTTATAGTGATGATCTGTTAATAATTTTTAAGCTTTCATTATGTTTGAAAAAAATCTTCATTTTGTTTTTTATTACTGAGAGATATCTTTGCTAATTGACAATTTTCTTATTAAAAGTCAACAACAGGATTCATTGTTACATTACTTGGGCAGAAGTGGCATGCAATTAGGGCTCTGTAGCTAAGTGAGTTGTAGAAAGAACCAAACTCGTTACTACTTCATTAAAACATTCCATTATATTCCAGTTGTTGACTGGAGGCTTTTCCTTTTCATTTGTTCTCACTTTTTCTAGAAACTGATGACTGGCAGAAGGGTCAGACCCTACTTCAGTACTTTAAAGCCATGGCTTCATTGTCTCTTAGATTGTATTGTTTCTGATGAGAAGTCTGCCATTTTATCCTCTGTACCTAATGTGTCTTTTTTCCTCCAGGAGCTTTTAAGATTTTCTTTTTATCACTTATTTACAACAATTTCGATATGATAGGTTTTAGTGTAAATTCCTTCATGTTTTTTACTAGGGGTTTATTGAGCTTCTTGGATCTGTGGATTTGTAATTTCCATTAAATTATGAATTTTTTGGTATGTTATTTCTTCAACATTTTTTTTCTGTTTTTTTTTCTCCTTCTTCTTTCCCTTTGGGTTTTGATTACATGTATTTTAGTCTACTTTTACCTCTTTGTACAGCTCACTGATTCTCTGTTCATTTATTTTCAGTATTTTTCCCCTCTGTATTTCATTTCAGATAGTTTCTATTGCCAGGTCTTCAAGTGCACTAATCATTCTTCTATATTGTCAAAATGCTATTAATCCTATCATGTGTATTGTTTATGTAAGATATTGAATTTTCATTTCTAGAAGATTGGTTTTGAAATATATGTCATGTCTCTCCTCAGGATGTTCACATTTTGCTCAACCTTCAAGAATATTTAAGACATATTTTTAATAGCTGTTTTATTGTCATTGTTATTTATAAGTCTTTTATGGGTGTGTCTGTAGTGATTTGTTGTTCTCCTCATTATGACCAATGTTTTCCTGCTTGTTGCATACCTGGCAATTGATTAGATACCATACATTGTAAATTTTACCTTGTTATGTAATAGAGTTTTTGTGTTTTTTTTTTTTTTTGACTTTTACTTTAAGTTCAGGGGTACATGTGCAGGTTTGTTACATAAGTCAACTTCTGTCATGGGGGTTTGTTGTACAGATTATTTCATCACCCAGGTATTAGCCTAGTACCCACTAGTTATTTTTCCTGATTCTCTCTCCTCCCACCTTCCACCCTCCAAAACCACCCAGTCAGTGTCTGTTGTTTTCCTCTAAGTGTCCATGAGTTCTCATTTAGCTCCCACTTATAAGTGAGAATATGTGGGTATTTGGTTTTCTGTTTCAGTGTTAGTTTGCTAAGGATAATGGCCTCCAGATCCATCTACATTTTCTTAAGTACCTTAGGAGCTTTGTTATGGAATGCAGCAATTAAGTTACTTGAAAGCAATTTGATCCTTGCTTGCTTTTGAACTGTGAGGCTGTTCATTCAAGGCTAATCTGGCCACATATTGAGACAATACTCCTCTGGGGACTCTGGAATATATGTTTGATATTCCATATGTTAGAAGTCTTCACTCTGGCTTGTGTGGATGAATACTATTTTTGGCCTTGTATGAGCTCCAAAAACTATTCCATTTGATCCTTCTGATGATTCTTCCCCATGCCTTGGGTAGTTTTCTTACATGTAGTTGCTGATCATTACTCAGATGAAGACTCAGAAGAAACCCTCTGCAAATCTCCGGAGTTCATTCGTTCTCTCTCATTCTCTCTCTCTCTCTCTCTGCAAATCTCTTTTCTCTGATTATACACCACTTTATCCCCCTTGAATTCTAAACTGAACTCAGGAAGTTTTCCAGGCTTTATTACCGCCAGGCAGTAAACTTGAACAAGAGTTGAATAGTTGGTTTCACCTTATTTGTTTTCCTTTTTTCAGGGATCAGTGATCTACCCTGCCTATTGTTCAATGTGTAAAAATTGTCTCATATATTTTGTCTACTTTTTAAAAAAAGTTTTTGAAGGTAGAAAGATAATTCTGTTTCCTGTTGCTCCTTCATGGATAGAAGCAAAAATCCCTTCCAATTGAATTTTATTGAGCACATGCAAATTCATTGTAATAAAAACCTTGTTTTGAGCCCTGATATATAGAAGGTTGATGTTAACTATGAAAAGATATAAGAAGTCAGGAATTTTCAAATCTGATATTTTTCCCTCAATCTCTTCCTTAGCTTTTATTGATTTGAATGGTATAAAGTTTTTAATTTTTTAAAAAATACTGGCCATTAAATTAAAATACTACTGTTGAGCAAAATTCATTATTCCTTCTATTTGCTATGTAGGGTGATGATTTTTGAAGATTCTTGGGACACAAAGGGACCTTGTTTGACCTTTTTGGGAAATTAGAGGATTAAAAAAAGGTTTCCAACATGAAGAATAAAGATTACTTTCTTTTTCAGTAAGAATTTTCTCAGCCCACCTTCTCCCATTATGAATATAGTTCTCTTCAATTGGAAGGACAGTAAAATCAGTGGTGAGAGACTTTGGAAGTTTTGTCACTCATCAAATCTTTTTGAAAGCCTTTTTCTCTCTAAGTCACTCTTGGCCTGGCATATTGTTTAACTCCTCATGATGGAGGATACCATGAGGCCAACAAAATCTCTTAATGTTTTGACAAATAGTTTCATTTTTTATTTTGTTCTTCATGAATTCTAGGGATTAGGGTTATATCAGAAAATAAGTCTTGGTTAGCCATAATTATAACGATAAAATTATATACTCTCAAGCCAAACAATAATGACTAGCATTTTCTGCAATTTAAAATGATCCTTATCTCTTTTCTTTTCGCTGACAGGGGAAAAACAAGTACTGTGTTTATCAAGTCTTCCTAAAGAAAAGGTTTAAAAGTCAAAGATAAGGCCTTTGGTGTGGTCCTTCCATGATAGAGTGGAGAAAACAGAAGAAAAGAAATTAGAGTGTTTTTCCTGAAATTGCATTTTTCATTTCTCAGCTAGAGAGAAGACATCTTTTAGACATTGCTTTAGATCTCTGTGAATGATTATGTTTTAACTCTTCAAATGTGTGTGTGTTTTTTTTAAATCCCCCTAAAAGGTTTTGGGTAAGTGTAAGCAATCTGATAGCATTCTCATATATTCACATCCCAAACTTTCCCTAACTTTAGAAGTAGGCTGTCTTTCTGACACTTTTCACAGCCCTTAAACAACTGATGATCTGAGAGACGATGAAAAGAAGCAACTGTGCGTGCAGACAAAGACTTTGGACTGCAGGCATTGACTGTCTGCTTTCAGCACCTCTTTTCAATCTTTCCATCTTTCAGGGTTTTGTTTGGTGTTTGATACAGCTTTTCAGAGAAACTTAATAACCTTCCAGTATCCAGTGGAAGAAAAGAAACATAGCCAGGATTGATTGTGTGTGTGCTGGCTGGACTCAAAACTTCCTGCCTTACTTAGTAGTTTAACCCTTAGTAGTAGAAATACCGTGGTCTCCTGTTGGAAATCAAAGTAACATCTATAACCAATTCCACATCCTGTTAAAAAGGAACTTGGTAGGATTTTTGGTAATCCATTCTGACCATCGTCACTTTTCTCTGTGATATTTGGGAAAAGCTGAGAGAATTCAGAGAAACTAGAAATCACAGTGTGGTAAATTCAGAAGGAGCTATCATATCAGTACTTTAATTTCATCCTTCCCTGAGCTCCAGGTTCTTCATTTAGACCTTGTTTAGCGACATTGACACCTTTCCCTTCCCTACAGCCCTTTTGCTTATGACAGCCTTCTTTCTAACAGCTCTGCCAACTTCTCCCCCATCTTAATCACCCAGAACACCAACTGATAAATTGAGAGAGGCTAGCTAATTTTTTCTCTTAATTTTTCTCCTTGGGAAATGAAACAACAGTTACCTAGGACAGATTTTGGTAATAGTTTTTCATAGTCCTTTATCTATTTTAGATATTGAGATTTGATGGTTTGCTGTAGGGTACACAACTAGACAAATCCATGTAGCTACTATGTATGTTGAGTAACATTCCTTTGTTGGTAATAATTTCTTACGATATTATGGAAGAATAATAGTAACACCAGCAGCACCAAGCTCATATACAGATAACAGTGGTCTGCAGTCTATGATTTTTACAGAAAAGCACAATAATATCTTAAAACAAAGAGGAACCTGCATTGAGATTTGTAAAGAGGTGTCACCCATCAGGACAGGGAAGAAGATACTATGTGGAAAAAGGAGAAACATTTTCTTTCAATGATTGCGCTGCTGAAATTCATAGTTCATGTAAAATACGTTCTTGTGTTCAATGAGTACAGCAGTGTAAGAGTAATCACCTTCTTCAGAATGCAAATCAGTAAGAATACAGAGTATGAAGAAAACATTAAAACTCAAGAACATGAAGGAGATTAAAATACGGCATTAAACACAGGCTAATAATCCTGTTTGAAAAAGCAATCATTGTAGAGAATAGAAATAAACAATGTGAACTTATGCAGGGCCTCTAGTTGTCCCTGCTTAAAAAAAGCCTTTCATTTTCTTTTAAAAATCTTTTTAGATGAATTATTAACTATTGGCTTCATATGTGTGAATATATGCTCATGAATTTGTAGTGGGGTCAAAAATCTCTACACATTACTGCTTAGATATACAACAACATTTACTTTTCTTGATTTTCTAAAACAAATCTTCCTTGTAAATCCTGTCTCACTAGGTAGAGGGATACACGTGTTTACGTGTGTGTAGAGGTTTGGAGGGCTTTATAGTTACTAGATAGCTGGGGCAGGGGAATCAGAAATAGGTAAACTAGTGATGGTAATTCAATCTCTTCCAGTTTAAACAGTGCCTTTTGGATGTCTGATTTTGTTGGCTATGTGGTCACTCAGATTTCCTCTACCTTTCTTTACTTCCCTCCAAGTTGGTGTCTGGAAATTAAGAGGAGGTTTATGTCACCCTGTGGAACTGGGGGGGAAAGATGGTCTGATATTTATTAGATATCCCATGGACTCCTGCTGATCTTGACAATGTAGTGGTTGTTCTGGTCTCCCACTGATAGTGTCTGGTCTTTGAGACATTGTGCTGGTACATGCTAATGGGGTCCACAGTTGTGGCCATTCGCCTCCATTTACAATGACTATTCACTATGAAATTTTTGTTACAGCCTAGCCTTTGATATTTTGCCTGCCTGTTCAGCACCTTTGTATTTCCTCAGTGGGACACCTGGCTATTTCTGTATCACTTGCATGTTACACACAGGCTAGGAAATCCAATGGTGCTGCCTCAAATTCATGTACCCAGCATAATATACCTGCTTCTGCTGTACTACATCTTGGAACACGGTGGATATGGCTGGGGTTTACCTAGGGACTTACAGCCTCCCTCAAACTATTTATTCTCATACTTTATATGACTATAATAGGTTGTAAAGGACTTGAGAGTAGGTACTTTAATTCTTCTTTGCAATAGTGCTTTATACATACAAGGCTCCCAATAACTGTTTGCCGAACCATGGGATAAATTCTGTTGAGGTTCATTCTGCCACTATAATTCTTATTTTTTGGTCCTGATTTTGCTTTTCAATGCTATAGTTTGGTAATCCTTCAGATACCTGTAAATGGATATGTTTTCACTTAAGCACATTTTGTGCAGGCCAATTATCTCTATTTCCTTCAGTTGTGCTCAAGATGATTTCCAAAACATTCTGTTCACTTTCATTTGAATCCTTTCAAGAGAAAAGCAGAGCACAGGCCTGTGATCATATCAAGTGCTTGATCTATTACCAGCAGAACATAGCGACGAGTTTAAAATAGAAGAAGAAAAGTTTCACATATACCCTATAGCACTAAAGAAAAAGGCTTGAAAAAGAATGAGTTCACTAGTAAATAAAGAAGGGCATTAAATTAATCACGACTCTAGAATGTGTATTTGGTCATTCACTAAGAATTTGATGTAGCCTTTTGTGAAATTTTACATGCAAATTTGAATAAAATTGGCTTGGCTAAGAACAAAATCTCAAAAAGGCCCTTGGAAGACTGTTAACAAAGGATAATGGATTAGGGCAGTACCCAGAAACCACAGGGTAGGGTGTGAGGGAGAGAAGAGGAAGCCCTGTGTACAGTTTTGTGAAAGTTTGGAAGGAGGAAGTAATGAGCAAATAGATTCTGCTTAAAGATTCAGAGCTGCAAATATGAGCAAAGACTGAAGTGAAAGAGCAAGGATGCTAATAAAACATAAGACAAGTAGATAGCCATAAATTAAAATGCCCAAAATGACAATTCAAATCTGACTCAAGATTTTACCAAATACTGGGATTCAGCACTTCCCACTCTGGTTTGTATAGTTCAGAGGAATAATCTGTTCAGTGAGGAGTATAAGCTTGAGTATTACAGTCTGGTTCAGGCTAATCAGAATCTGCAAAATGGTGAAATCTAGACACTTACATTTGTTTTAACTCACTTCTTATAGTATTTGATCCAGTGCCTTTAGTAATCTTAAGACTCCTTCTAAAAAATTGAAATCAATAATAATACTTTTAAAAAAAAAACTAGAGTTCTCTTCACTAGACCTTAATGTGTTCTTTAGAGTCTAATAAAATCTTTACAGCCTTGATTTACTTTGTTAATGTGGACTGAAAGCTCAGAATATATGTCTAAGCTATTTTTTTTTTTTTTTGAGACAGTCTTGCCCTATTGCCCAGGCTGGAGTGCAGTGGTGCAATCTCGGCTCACTGCATCCTCCGCCTCCTGGGTTCAAATGATTCTCCTGCCTCCGCCTCCTGTGTAGTTGAGACTACAGGCGCACACCACCATGCCCAGCTAATGTTTGTATTTTTAGTAGAGACAGGGCTTCATCATTTTGGCCAGGATGGTCTCAATCTCCTGACCTCGTGATCCACCCTCCTCGGCCTCCCAAAGTGCTGGGATTACAGGTGTGAGCCACCGCGTCTGGCCTCTCAGCTCTTATTTCTAATGTTTCCCAGTCCTAGCATTAAAAGGCAGTTGCCTTCTTTATACTTGTTTGTCTCTGAATGCACTATTGATACTTGAAATTTTCACATTTCTTTCTTAGAAGTGCTGGCTTCCATTAACTCACGTTCTGGAGAACTGTTCCTTCACAACAATAGTTATATGATTTTAAAGCTAGTTAAAAAGTTCGAGAACAATTTCAAGCATTTAGCTGGCTGGAAGATTTTTGATACTTTTTGTCTGAGATGACCAAGTAATTTATTGTTCAAATTAGAAGACATTTGCGAGTGAAAGGGGATGCTAAATTGGAGCACCGAGATAATTGAACAACCGGTGTTAACTAGCATTATCTTGGGAAAATGAAGACGTATGGTCACCTACCTTCGGCTAACTGAATGGATCCTTTTAGATGCTTTGGTGGTTGTGTAGGTAAATATAGTTTCTTTTGTATTGAGGAAAGATCACAAATTTTCCTCTGTCATTTGTCTTTGCCTTTTATCCAGTAAACTGCTTCTGTTTTGAAAAATTCTTTCTCAGTTTTGAGCACTCAAGTATTCTTCGGTTGCCATAGAACTTAAATTGCATAACTGAACTGTGCATCGTGGCACGATGGGGTCCAGCAGGCTTCCGTAGCTGGGTTGCCGAACTGAAGAAATATAGCATTACAAAGATATCTGGGAAATGGATTACTGAATTAAAGGGATGTAGAATGGGGTACATTTTGGCAAGTAAGATGTAAGAAATAAGACTTAAAGTCAGGCTAAAAATGAACTCCCTGTGTGTTGCAACGTAAGAGGGTCTTGCCTTAGGATTGCATGTATGAGAGTAGTGTAGAAAACTGTTAAACTCAAATCATAATGCAGAGCCTAAGGACAACCAACTAAAGCAATGACACTACATTTTCTTTCATTTTGGAATATATATATATATATATATATATATATATATATATTTTTTTTTTTTTTTTTTAAACTGGCATTTACATTTCAGTCCCTCTGAGTGTGCCTCCAAAAATCCTATCCTAGTATTTGAAAGTCATAAAGACAATAGGGCAGAGAAGCAGGAATTAGATTATTTAACTCCTAGAGTCAACCCCATCAACAAACGGAGAGGTTGAAGACTGTAAGAGTATTTGAGGTTAGGGCTTACTGTGTCTTTTGGCAAAGTTAAGATTATGTGACTTGTGCCTTTTGACTAGGAGATAAACAAGCAGGATCTTCAGGGAGACACAAGTCTATCAGATACCTTAGAGTTTCATAGGGAACACAGTGATATTTGCTAATGCGGGAAGTGTATTGAGCATTAATTAAATGGCCTGCTATATGTACTTAGGCTAATGCAGATATTCTCACCCTGCAGAAGAGAACATATGCTGTGCGGGAACCGTAGGGAGACAGCCTGGGCTGATGGTCTTTGAAGACACAAAGGGACAGTCAATCTGCTCAGGCAGCTGCTTCCACCATAGTTAGTGTAGACATGACTTGTGCTATTGGCTAGATTTGGAGAAGCCCAGGAATTGACAAGAGAATAATTGAATCTCAAGCTTGGAAGTCCCCCACTGCCTTGTGATGCTTACACTCTTTCCAGAACTTTAAACCTATATCCCTTCTATTTTCTGGTCTCTCTTCTTTCCTAATAGCTAAGCTTGTTGTATGTCTTTAAATCTGGTTTCTGTCTTTTATCTCTATAATTCTTCGAAAGATCTCTTAACAAATGTATTTAATTACATGTTTCTCTCTGAATTATTTCCTAGAAAGTAACCTCCATGCAGGTAGAGCCTGGGTTGTCTTGTTTTTCATTGTGTTCCCACATAGCACAATGCCTGGCTCATAGTAAGCACAATATAAAGATTGATTGAATGAGTGAATAAATGAATTATCTGAAGGTCAAAGACCATAAATACTAAGTAGTTTTTAATTCTTTTCATTGAAACATCTTCTTTCTGTTCCCTTCACTTCTTTTTCCACTTGGCCCTTAAATATTAGCGTTTATAGTGTTTGATCCTCTGCCTTTGTATCTAACTCTATGTACTTTTCTGAGGTGACTTATCCTTGGATAGATCCTTTGTTAGGTGGCTTCACGATGCTATGTCCGGTTAAGAGCTCAGACTTTTATCTCCTGAACATTGAATCAGTTTACCCAACTATCTGCTGAACACTTCCATCTGAATAAGTGGTTCTCCAGCTTATGTTTGGAAATATCTGTGATGGAGAACTCTGGATTCTTCAGGCTTCTACATATTTCAGTAAACTAAATACACCTTCCTGTGCCATGTATTTTTCATTCTAGTTTTCCTTAGGACTATTCTACATAATCTTAATCCTTTGTCCCTTTTTCCCAGCACAGTTTCATATGTTCTGCTTATTAAATAACCATTTAGGATTTAGATTCATGAAAAATGCAAAAGAGAGAGTTGGAGAGTCTTAGAACACATGAGTTTTCCCATGACACATGGGATTTATGGGAGCTACAATTAAAGATGAGATTTGGGTGGGGACACAACCAAACCATATCAGTGATATTGGCATGTTTGTTAGCAATGTTTTTTCTTTGATGAAGCCTCCCTTCCTCTCTGACTCTACCACTCCTGCTTGCTCCTTCTCTCTCTGAATCTTCTGCTTGTTCTGGCTCTCCCCCTCGAGATCCTGGCATGACTAATTGAACAACCCTGTTTCAGAGCCAGCAAATTTTCCATTTCAAGGACTCTTGGTTCATCCCTGAAGTGGTAAATGGGAAGCCTCCAACAAGAATATGAGCTCCTTGGGATGGAAAGTAAATGAGTCTGTTCTGATATAGCCAGGTTGTGCTTTTCTATTATCCTGGACTGGAGGAAGCTTGGGGCGAGGGTCGGGAGATAGAAGGCTGAGAGATGACATTCAAGGTCACAAATATGAAAGAGAAGAAAACATTGTTGAATTTTTGGAAAGACACATCACTGGCCTAGTTTTTTGCTTATGGGATGGGCCACTCTCACTCTCATCTCAGGAGACATAAATTTTTATGAAAAGAGGGAATCAGGAGAAGAGAACTTTGAGCAGCTAAAGAGAACTACTGAGCTTGAGGTGAAAAGTCAAGAGAAGGGCTTCAGATGCTTCCGTATTGCTGTTCCTTTGAAGCTTCATCTTAAAATGGAATAGGACTGTTTAGGAAGCAGGGAGTTAGAAACAAAAGGTTGTTATTATTATTGTTAAGTGCTTTCTCTGTGACAGGCACATCACTAAGATCATCATATCCATATCTCATTGATTCTTACAACTCCTTTGGAGAGTATAAGTTCTCCTATTTTGAAGTTGAGGAAACTGAGGCTTGGAGATGTTAAATGCTTTGCTTAAAGAGCAGCAAGAAAGTGACAGAGCCACAGAGAGCTTCCACTGCATTGTACTTTCCTGATAGTTTCCTTAGAGTATGCACTGACTTGGGCCCTTAAATGCTTCACAAGACCTGCAAGGATCATTTAGATATTCTCTTGCTTTTTCTTGGCTTTTTGCTGGAAAGCTGGGACTTCCAGAGGCACTGAAGGCTGATGTGTGCCCACCCACATTCACACACGAGGATGTTACCTTGCTCTCCCCGGCTGATTAATAGAGGATACATTATCAGAGCTAATAGGACTCAAATGAAGAAAACTGGTCAAGTGAAACCCCGTAAATTGGCTTGTGTGCTTCCTCTGTCTCTTTTAATACCCGATGCTGGGGATTTTCATCATTGTCCAGCCAGGCTACAGGGGAAAGGATTAGCGTAAATAACTCCCATGGCAGTGATAAGAGTGCAGCCAGCTGCTTTGATGGCCCATTTATTAGCATGACAAGAATTCAAATCTACAACAGAAGGAGCTTTTATTTTCTCTGAAAACATGGCTTTGCTTCAGAAAAATGACTGAAAATACAGACTCCTCTCTCTCCCTGTCTTCCTCTCTCCATTTTTTCTTTTCTTACCATTTCTGATATTAGTCTGTTCTGGCTGCTATAACGAAATATCACAGACCAGGTGGTTTATAAACATCAGAAAGTTATTTCTCACAGTTCTCAAGGCTGGGAAATCCAAGATCTAGGCCAATTGAGTGTCTGGTCAGGGCTTGCTTCTTAGAGCCATAGGTGGCTTCTTCACACTGTGTCCTCACAGGTGGGAGAATGAAGGGTCTTTCTTGGGCCTCTTTTATACGGGCACTAATCCCATTCATGAGGGCTCTTTCCCCACAGCCTAATAGCCCTCCAAAGACCTTATTTCCTAACACCATCACACTGATGATTAGATTTCAAAATATGAATTTTGGGGGGACACAGATATTCAGACCATAGTAGTTCCCTTCTGTCAGGGTGAGTTTTCCTCCCTTTTGCTTGGCAATGAATGAAGTGTGAAGCACAAGGACAAAATATCCCTGGAATGCTTGGTTGCTCAAGCAGCAGCCGTAGTAGCAGCAGCATGGAGAAGTGGGCACCAGGAAGTCTGGGTTTTCATCCCACCTTCTCTATTTATTACCTGGGTGGTCTTCGGTCTATTACTTAACCCTTTTGTGCCTAATTTCTTCCCAGCCCCCACCCCAAAGTGGGGATAATAAAAACACCTTGTAATAATAATAAAAAAATCTTGTAGGCTTTTGGTGGAAATTAAACATAAAAGGTTGAGAAGAAAGCCTGCTAGAGACTAGGTGGTTAATTCATGTTAATCATTATTAGTAGTGAGAGGGCATAAACTCATAGAAGGGAGAAAATGGTATGAGTGACGCCTCTGTGACAGTTCGTCTATTTTGTTTCTGTTCCCTGTCAGATGCCTCACTTGTTTCACTCTGACTGCAAGAGCCGATTTTGTTTGAGCTGCCCTAGCCGCAGGGTTACTGAGTGAGCTCTACGTGGGACAGGCACCACAGAAGAGCCACCAGGTTGTTTGTGTGTGATAGAGACGTGGCTCACTTGGAGAATAAGCAGCTAAAAGTAGAGCTCAAGGGCAGCTTTACAAAAGCTACATTCCCTGTGTTCCTGAGGTTTCTAAAAGAATATATTTTCATGGTAGTTACGGAGGGGTCAAGGTTCTTGGACATCTGAGTCCTGTCCTGCCTTAGTCATGTCCTGGGGAGGTGCTCAGCAAAGATCAAAGTCCAATAAATGCACATTTTTTCTGGCAATGTTTGATGCTTTTGTTCCATATTCCATGTAGTCTCCTGATGTTGGATCATAAGGAAGTTTCTTTCATTTTGGCTAGAGATAGGCTTTTCCTGGGTCCTCACTCATTACCCCTTCTGTGAAGGAAGCAGTCCTTCCTGGAGAAAGCTACTTAAAGGAAGATCATGTCAATGAAGGAAGAATTTTGTCTCTCTGCCTAGAGCAGAATTAGTGTGGGCCATTCATTCAAGGTCTTTAGGGGTGGTGGTGAGCTAGGGAAGAGTAGGAGGATGGCTTTGGCCTAAATAACTTTTTAAATGTTGTGAATGATAAATAATATTATAACACACATACACACACACACACACACACACACACACAATCTTAAGAGAGAGAGCCTGACCCCAGGTCAGGGGTCTATTGAATATCCTTAGCCTTTACAGATCCCATCATTAACCCTCCTTGGGGATAAGTAAGTGGGAGGCCAAGGGCAGAAAGGAGGAGTGAGCAGGGTTTGCAGGAAGAGAAACAAATTACCTGTAGAGCAAGAAAGGGAAGTAGAAGGTAGACGCTAGGATAGAGCTGTATTTCTCAAACTGAGAGATGAAGATGCATTCTCAGGGGCCCATGGCTTCTTTTTAAGAGTTGTTTAATTTTGTGTCTTTTAACTAGGTAATCCAAAAAGAGCATATAGGCATATTCTAGACCAATTTTATAACCCTTTGAGAATCCCCATTTGCATTTTTGTGCTGACATTAAAGACCACTTTTTAAGATTATCAAGTTATGTTGATAAAGAACAGAGGTAAACATCATACATGTGACTACTTTATAATGACAGTCTGTGCAGGGGGTCGAATAAAAAAGTGGCACGAGGAATAAACAATTACATGATATATAAAGTTTAGGAAAAGCTGCTAGAGTCAAAATAACTAACTCTGGAACAATCCGAGCTGCTTTTGTGAGCACTGGTTTTGTTTATTAAAAAGCACATTACCCATCACATTAAATTGATGTTGATAACTTGAATTTGTTGGTTTGTAGTTTAAATTTAATGTGTAGCTATATCTTGGTTGCTCAAGCAGCAGCAGCGTGGAGTAGTGGGCACCAGGCAGCCTGGGTTGTCAACCCACCTTCTCTATTTATTACCTGGGTGGGTCTTGATTTTAAAGATTTATAAGAGATACAAACATACAATATTTCACCTAGTATATGTTGTATGCATTCAAATAACATTGTTTTATTTAGCTATGTAGATAGTTCTTATACTGAGCCTAATACTGTTCCAATGGTTTTAGATATGTTAACTCATTTAGTCCGCAGAAATTACCCCAAGAAGTTGGGATCACTATTCGCCTCCAATGAAGAAATGAAGATGTAGAGGGATTAATTTGCCCAAGGACCAGTAGAAACTAGAGATGAGATTTGGACACACGTTTTCAGAGTCTAGAGCCTATACTTTTAATCACTTTATATACGGTCTTTTAATTATCTAAGTTTTATTCTTTAGATTAAATGTGGCCTCCTCACTACTCAAGTTTCAAAAACACTAGGAGGGTGTTGCTAAGATTGTCCAAAGCATTTATTATTGTTCCTTCAATTTCTCATCTCGTGCATCTTCTCTTATTTTCTGTTTACTTCCCTTGAACCTTACCTGTTACCTTAGCTATGACTCTATGTTCCTCCTTTTCTATCACATTAGGCCTCATGCCTTGCAAATCCTAGTAGTAACTTCAAGGCTGGATAAATTTTGGGCTAGTATCTTTCCAACACCCCTTCTACCTCTTCTCGTTGCGTAGCATCAATATAATTTGGAAAGGACAGACACGGCCTTTCTGTTCCACAAATAAGACCTGATAGTTTTAATCTGATCAAGATAATCCCATCTCCCTTCATGTAGTGACTGGTTCAGCTAGTTCAATCTATGCCAGTAGGCACATAGCATTACTTTGCCTAAAGCAGTTGATTTAGGAATGGATTTGTAACACAGAATGAGCCAATAAGAGGTGAGAGCAGATCTGAAGGATCTGCCAGAGGCCAGGGTTCTCTCTTTCTGGTTATTGTGTTGTGAGGATATGAAACCGCCACTTTTCCACCACAAAGAAAGCCAACCTTGAACTGAGACTGAGTGCAAAAGGTAGAGCAAAGAGACTGAAGAACAGGGCCACTGCCAACATTGATAAACCATGGAGCCAACAATTTTGAAGGCTTCCCTTTCTTGAAACTCTATATTACACGAGCCAGAAATTTTGTGTTAGTTTAGCCAGTTGGCTCAAAATCAAGTTCTGAGATATGTTTCATAGTTGGACGAATTTGCAATGGATTCTGATTGTCTCATCCACTTCTAGTTCCGGAGGCTTTCCACTTAACTGTATTTGACAGTAGGTTGTAGTGTGATTGCAGTATTCTTTCTCCATTATCTATGTATGACTAAAGCCCATATTAAAATGAATTAATTTATAACGTGTATGAGTTTTCTGTCACTGCATAACAAATTACCACAAAATTAGTGGCTTAAAACAGTACAACTTCATTATCTTACTATAGTCAGAAGTTTGCTATAGATATTACTGGGCTAAGATCAAGGTGTTGGCATGGCTGCCTCAGTTTCTGTAGACCCTAAGGAAAAAGTCTGTTTCCTCATTTTTCCCAGCTTCTATAGGCTGCTCACATTCCTTTGCTGTTTGCTTTCTTCCTGTGTCTTCACAGTCACCAATGGTTAATTGAGTCCTCACACTGCATTTATCTGACTCATCTTCACTGTTCTATCTTTCTCTGATTATAGCCAGAGAAAGGGTTCTCTACCTTATATGGTTCAGCTCTGTGTCCCCACCCAAATCTCGTCTTGAATTGCAATCCCTATGTGTCCAGGGAGGGACTTGGCGTGAGGTGATTGGATCATGGGGCTGGTTTCCCTCATGCTGTTCTCATGATAGAGAATGAGTCCTCATGAGATCTGATGGTTTAAAAGTGTGGCAGTTCCCCCTTCTCTCTCTCTCTCCTGCTGCCTTGTGAAGAAGGTGCTTGCTTCTCCTTTGCCTTCTGCCATGATTGTAAGTTTCCTGATACCTCCTCAGCCATGTGGAACTGTGAGTCAATTATATCTTTTTTCTTTATAAATTACCCAGTCTCAGGTAGTCTTTATAGCAGTGTGAAAATGGACTAATACACTAATTTTAAGAACTCATATAAATAGATTGGATCCACTCACATAATACAGAATAATCATATCTCAAAATCATTTTTGCCACATAAGGTAACATTTTCACAGGTTCCGAGAATTATGACATGGACATCTTTGGGGGCCATTATTCTGCCTAGTACATTGTGTGACAGAAGTAACCCCTAACATGTTTGGCTCTATAGCAGCAGACCAAAACATATGACGGATTCTATACTTAAATAATAATTGTCTTGTCCTAGTAAATTATTACTACCAGCCAACATTAACTGAGTAGTTACTATATGCCAGGCATGGTTCTAAATGCTTTGTATTTATTAATGCCATTTAATCTTCATAACACCTCCATGATTTAGATGTACTATTATTACTCTAGTAACTGGAAGCTAAGACCCAGACAGGTGAGGTGACTTGCTCACTAGTGAGTAGTGGATCTGGATTTTCAACTTAGGCAGTTTTGTTCCATGTTCTCAACCACTGTGCCATAGTCTCTTTCAAAATAGCTTCAATGGAAGTTGTATTAACATAGTAGCTTATCAGTATAATTATTTCCTATGTTAGAGCTCCTACTATGTAGCTAGAGGCAGCTTCTTCCTTTAAACCCAGAACAATGAGCAATTCTCTTACAAGGCCTATCTAAGGAGTCATATTGTTTAGGAGGACAGAACCCCTTTTCCTACAGCCACAAGAGTGGGCTCACAACTAATTCTGCAATGCTGGCTATCACTGTTCTCCTCTATTAGTCCTGCCATATTTTGTCCCCGAAAAATTTCCCTAATTTCTGTGGAACTCAGGTGTATGGAGGATCCACTTGGCAATAAACTTTGGGCTAAAAGTTTCAGAGTTGGATATATGTATATCTAAACATCTGCTTATTTTGGTCAATTGGAGGGATGGGTGATTCAATTCAAGAAAAAATTTAGGATCGCCTACGATGAAGTGAATTGTGTCCCCACCAAATTCGTATGTTGAAGCCCTGACCCCCAGTGTGACTGTTTTTGGAGATAGGGCTTTTAGGAGATAATTAAGGTGAAATAAGGCATAAGGGTGGAGTCTTAATCTCATAAGACTGGTGTGTGTGTGAGAGAGAGAGAGAGAGAGAGAGAGAGAGAGAGCGCCATGTGTGCACGCCAAGGAAAGGCCATGTGAAGACATAGAGGAAATATGGCTGCCCACAAGCCAGGAAGAAAGCCCTCACCAGAAACTGAATCAGCTGGCACCCTGACCTTCAATTTCCCAGCCTCAGGACTGTGAAATCTATATTTCTGTTGTTGTGATGGCATCCTGAGCTGACCAAGACAGAGCCAATCATTTGGCATTACACCAGTATCCTATAGTGGCTGTGGAGAGAAATGGAAAATGAGTGAGTTTTCACGTTGGTATTTTCATTAGTTTCCTATTCTTTTTGTATTCTGATGGCATGGAAAGGGTTTGGAATCTGAAGCCTCTAGACTAGCTTCTGAGCGTGAATAAATTATTTCAAACAAATTGTCAAAATACCTGCTGCTTGCTCTGCTCCTGACACATCATTTCCCTTGCTCTTATTAGAACCCACCAGGAATGCCCTGGCTTGAGGTTTTTGCACTGGTTTTTCTCTTTGCCTAAAATACCTTTCTCCCATTTCACATGCACGGGGTTCACAATGGAGTTCATGTGACTCCCTCCTTTATCTCCTTCAGGCTCTTACAAGGATCATTTTAAAATCACCCACTCAATTTAAAATTACCAGTCTCACCCCCATCTACTCTTTCTTCTCTTCCCCATGACCTATTAATTTTAATAGCTCTTATCTCTACCTAACATGCTGCATATTTTTCTTTCTTCTGTTGTTTATTATCTGTTTTCCCTCAGTAGAATGTATGCTCCATTGGGGTGGGATTTTTGTTTATTTTGTCTGCTGTTCTAGTCCTTGTACCTAGAACAGGATGTAGTGATGCATTCAATATTTCTTGAATGAAGTAATGTGTTGAGTTACAGGTTCATTTTTTTCCCATGTGGATTGTCTCATTAAACCCTCTTAACATATTTTTGTAGTAAATTTATTTTTATTATTATGCTAATTTTATGAATTAGAAAACCAAGGCCTAGAGAAATTAAGTAGCTGATCTAACCTCCTACTGCTCAAAAAGGCAGGTTCAATTTTTCAGAACTAGGTGGTCTGTTTCCAGAACCCCCATTTTTATTCAGTGTACTCCTTCCTAGTCTTTCTTTTTTTGATTATTTGCTGATAAATAACTGGTTACATTGGCTGCATAAGTGAAATTCATCTATAAGGGTGTATTAGTCCGTTTTCACACTGCTGATAAAGACATACATGAGACTTGGCAAATTACAAAAGAAAGAGGTTTAATGAACTCAGTTCCACGTGGCTAGGGAGGCCTCACCATCATGGCGGAAGGTGAAAGGCACGTCTCACATGGTGACAGACAAGATAATTTGTGTAAGGAAATTCCCCTTTAAAAAACCATCAGATCTTGTGAGACTTATTCACTATCACGAGAATAGCATGGAAAAGACCCACTCCCCATGATTCAGTTACCTCCCACCAGGTCCCTTCCATAACATGTGGGAATTGTGGGAACTACAATTCAAAATGAAATTTGAGTGGGGATACAGCCAAACCATATCAAGGGGCTTATCTAAGCAGGAGTTTCTTTTCCTCATTTGCGAAGAAAGTCTGGAAGGAGGGCTTTTAGGAAGAGCATAACTGGTCAGGGATGGCATCAAGAATTCAGATTCCTTCTGGTTTATAGCTCTGCCACCCTGAGCACATTGAATGCACTATGTATGAGCATTTAATCTACATATCAGGCCCAGAGAGAGAAACGGCAAAGGACAAAGGGCACTGAGAGACACTTTTCCTTTTTAAATTATTTTAATAAGACAATAGCGTCTCATGAGGCTGAAGAATGGTCATCCATATATATTTTATTGTCTAAAATGACTGTGTATCTATAACTGACCTACTTTAAACAAAATGAAGAGTAATATTAGTAAGGTAGAAAGGGAGAATAGACATCAGATCATTTATAGTAGTGTCCACCATGCTCTTGTTTTTCTCTTTGAGACCTTTGTGTTAGGATGATCTGTCCTGCCGTAATCAGAAAGCTCAACTCAAATTTGCCTAAGCAATTAGGAAACACACTAATCTCATACCAGGATGTCCAGAGGTAGGACAGATGACAGAGTTGGTTGACGCTGTGATTCAAGGATGTCCTCAAGGATTAGGCTCTTGTTATCTCTCTTTTTTACCATCCTTAGCACTGTCTTCATTCTCACACTGGAAGCAAGGTGGTTGCAGCAGTTCCAGGTGTAGAGTTAGGACAACATCTGTAAGAAAAAAAGGGACTGACTCTTCTTTTCAAGAATGAAATTGGCTGGGAGTGGTGGCTCTGGCCTATAATTCCAGCACTTTGGGAATTTGGGAGGCCAAGGTGAGAGGATTGCTTGAGGTCTGATCAACTAGTGAGACCATGCCTCTCGAAAAAAAAAAAAAAAAAAAAAAAGGCCAGGTGTGGTGGCACACACTTGTAGTCCCAGCTACTTGAGAGGCTGAGGTGTGGGAATCACTTGAGCCCAGAAGTGAGAGGCTGTGGTGAGCCATGATTGCACCACTGCACTCCAGCCTGGTGACAGAGTAATACCCTGTCTCCACCCCCTACCCCCAACCAAAAAAAAAAAAAAAAAAAAAGAATAAAATTTCCTCTTCTGGGGTTGCTTTAGAAGGTCAGTAGTGGACTTCTCATATCTTGGCCAGAATTATGTCACGTCCTCATTCCTACACTGATTTTAGTTAAGCAGGTTTGACTTTGACCAAAGAAGATTCACCATTTACAACTAAAGATGGAGTCAGCTGCCCTTGAAGCTTATGACCACAAGGAGCTAGGAAGAGGCCAGAATACAATTTCTTATTCTGTTAGAAGGAAAGAGAGGAGAATAGAAGTTGAACAAACAATCATTAGTCTCTGCCAAAATAATAACAATTTTTAAAAAATGACTACAATTTGGTTCATTTCTTTACAGCTTAGTTTTGAGTAATGACTTCCTTGAAGATGAATTTATGACAGATAAATTTCTAAAAATGTTAAAACTGTGAGATCAGTAGGAATCTGTGGCTTGAATTAATTTTAATTTATATATTTGAGTACATTTCTGCAGCAATTCTGTATTTTCCTAGCATATTCCGTTGGGGTTTGGGAATAACTGTGGAGGAGTGAAAGAAATCTGGGGACCCTTCCCAACAGAAGCCAGACAATTTCTTCATGCCTTCCTGTCCTGGAATTCAGGATTGTTTCTGTATTAGTCCTTCTGTAATGCTCTCTTTATGTGAATGATATAAAACAATTCATCATTGCAGTCATCAGATTCTCCAAGACAACTCCATGTAACCTGAAATATTTTTGCAGGAAAATTGATTTCCCAATTTAAATGTCATGGTTGACTGGTTGTGCTGTTTATAAACAAATAGCACGAATAATTTAGTTGAAGATTTATTGTGAATTGCAGATATCATTCCTTTTTCTTTTTTCTAAAGTCATCTAAATATGCTGTTATCAAGGAAATAGGATATTCAAAATCAGAGAAGTCACTATTGGAGTTTTGTGCAGACTTTGTGAAGGAGTTTGCTACATTTGGTAGAAATGTATATATTGCCTAGATCAGTTTAATGAAATGAATGAAATGAAACTAGCATTAACAAGTATGTTCTGTAAGCTGGATATTGTCCTAGGCTCTTTGACATACAATATATTATAATCCAGGATGGCTCATTTTTTTAATAGATGAAGAAACTATGGTTCAGAGAAGTTTTGACCCAGGATAAAGGTAACAAAACTGAGATTCAATAGCTTTTGACATACCTATTTTAATTGCCATACTGTATCCAGGCTCACTGTTGCTGTTGCTGTTGCTTTTATAGTTTTCTCTTTATAGTGGGTCTTTTTGATTCTGCTGACTATGATTGCATAAGCTTGCTCTCCCTCCCCTGCTGGTCATTTTAAACAAATCACCAAATACTCATGAGGTGCCTATTGAGTGCAAGCTTGGGTCATAGAAGCTAGCATGTGGGTAATGGTGCCATTCAGAAAATATTTCCATATCTTCTCCTTCTGGATGCAACGAGGGTTGCACTTCCTGACCCCTCTGTGGTTGAGCGAGGCCATATGATTAGTCCTGGTCATTGAGTGGGAAGCTCTAGTGTCATATGTCACTTCCAGGCCTGTTACTGAGTTGTTGATTGGAGACCTGCCAGAGAGCTCTTTCCCTTTGCTATCATGGGTGGCAACATTTGAGTTGGCGTTTGTTCCATCAGCCTGTGTGGCTGAGTGACAATGGTAAGCACAGCTCTCCTGCTGACCTGATACAGGCATGTAGTATGAGAAAGAAATAAGTCATATTTGTATCCAGCCTCTGCAGTTTTGGGATTGATTTCTATGGTATCCAGATACAACTAGTCACTAGGCTTGACTGATATTGATATCGAATGATTATCATATATCAAGCTCAGTAAGCAAATGAATTAGGTGCATTATCTTTAAAACAACCACCTGAAGTGGCATAATTATCCCCATTTTATATTCCAGGAAATGGGGCCTTATAGGACTTAAGTAGCTTGCACAAGGTAATCCAGATCATCCAAACCTGGCTCTGAGACCAGCTCCTGAACTTGGCCTCACTATACCTGGCTCAGATGCCCCCCTTTTTTTTTTTTAATTAGTTCAGACTACTTTAATTCGCTAAAGGCATTTCACCTTTTATCTCCTCTAACCTTTATCTGAATCTGTATTAGTAGGCTCTTCTGACTAAGACTTGCATTAATACTGGGAAGTAGGGCTAGGCTCATACCTGTAATCCCAGCACTTAGAAGGCTGAGGAGGGAGGATCCTGTGAACCCAGGAGGTCAAGGCTCCAGGGAACTATGATTATGCCATGCACTCCAGCCTGGGTGACAGAGAGACACCCTGTTACTAAAAAAACAAAACACTGGGAAACAGGAACATAGTGCTAATTGCAGGATTACCATTGTTTGCTAAATTAAAGTTTGCATCAGTCCTAGGTCAACAACATAGATGAACCTGGACATCATACTAAGTAAAATGAGCCAGGTACAGACATGATCTCACTCATATGTGGAATTTAAAAAAATTTAACTCATAGAAGTAGAGAGTAGAATGATGGGTACCAGAGGTTAGGAGCATGGGTAGATGGGGAAATGGGAGATGTTAGCCAAAGTGTCCAGAGTTTCATGAGGACAAATAGGTTTTAGTGATCTATTATGTCACATGGTGATCACAGTTAATAATATATATTTCAAGATTGCTAAAAGACTAGAGTTTAAGTGTTCTCACCACAAAGAGTAGGTGAGATGTTGAATACGTTAATTAGCAGGATTTAATCATTCTACAATGTATACATATATCAAAACATCAGATGCCATAAATATATGCAATTATTAATTAAAATAAAAATTTAAGAAATGAAACTAGAAAAAAATGACTAGGTATCGTCCTAGACTCTTTTGCCAAGTTATCTTTAACATATAATTTTATATATATAAAGAAACTGAGTTTCAGAGAGGTTTAAGTAATTTGATCTAGGATAAAGGTAATAAAGTGAGATTTAAACACAGCACTGATGTGAAAATCTATGCTGTTTTCATACCACCAAGCAGCAGGTTTTAAATGCCCAGAAAAAAACTGATTACTTCCATCTCATTGTGGGTCAGAGGATTATGTCTCTCATAGAACCCCAGGCCTACAAGATTCTCTGTGAACTAAAGTGTTCCATGGTCAAATTAATTCAGGACCTAAAGCATACTTTAGTCACCACATTTGGATATTCATGATGCACATTAGCATAATTCAGTCTGTACAAAGTTCTTCAGTTAAGAAATCTATCTAGTTGGTGTAACCCAAAGTTCCTCAAATGTATCTGACTACTGAACACCACCACCAAACTCTGCCACTGATTTTAAGCATCCTAAAAATAAGCATCTTTGAGAGATTATAGGGTAGAATTAAAAGTAGAACTTGATACTATGTTGGAATCAAATGTAACCATTACATACTGAGCAAACAAAAATAATCTGTATTTCCTTCTTGCTGATTTAATACAGCAAAAATTTTGACTTAAGCCAAATTGCTCCTGGTTCAGATCCATTTCCTATGGGTAGTCAGAAAGACAATGCCATTTTTCTTTGATAGCTTTTGGTTTATTCCAAACAAGGCACATCTCCTGTTTTTGCTTCTCTCTTTTCTATTATGTTAACAGAATCCTTCTTTTCTATGACTCTTGGTTCATGGATGGTTTACTTGACCAACCTGGATCAATAAGAATCTTCCCTGGGCTTTTCCACCAGTGCTATTGGAGATATTCTTTTTTCCCCTGATGTTGCTTAGTGCTAGGGTGTGAGTCTTGCACTGCTAGTGATCTTAATATTTGTATACATGGCTAAAGCCTAAGAATTGATCCCTGATGATGTACTGTACTTGAGTCTATGAGTCCTGCTGTGCTTGAAACCACAAGTTCTAGCCCCACATCTTTTGGTTATATGAACAAACATTTTCTTTGATTCCCTCCCTCCCTTCCTCCCTTTTCTTCCTTCCTTTCTTTCTTTCTTCTTTCTTTCTCTTTCTTTCTTTTCTTTCTCTCTCTCTCTTTCTTTCTCTTTCTCTCTTTCTTTCTCTCTCTCCTTCCCTCCTTCCTTCCCTCTCTCTTCCTTTCCTTTCTTTTCCTTTCCCCTTCCCTTCCCTTCCTTCCTTTTCTTTTCTTTCTTTCTTCTCTTCTTTTTCTCTCCTTCTCCTCCTCCTCTCTCTCTTACTTCCTTCTTAGTAGTTTGAGTATTCTGCTGCTGCTATGAACTGAGAGTGCTGATTAATATATGTATCTTTAACAAACACAGGTAAACCAGTAATTTTTTTCCCAAAGCTGTGAATACTGAAAAACTGCTAAATAATAGAAGATGTACAAGTAAGTGCTGTACAGGCTAGAAAACCTCTCCCAGCCTTAAAAGATCTGGGGAATTTCAGAATGTATCATCATTTTTTACAGTCACAGTCCTAAGCAGCTAGCACAATTTCTGGCTATGATGAAAAGTATTCAAGAAATATTTGTTGACTGGTTTAATGAACACAGATAGCTTCCTCTTTCAGGGAAGATTATCTTTTTTTTTCTCTTTAAATTCTCTTCACCAACTATGTACCAGAAACTTGAAATTAAAAAAAAAATAACTCTATTTTCAAGGAGATTATATCTAACAGGAGAGACATATAGAAATACATATACAAATATTCAAAAAAATCCATAGGAAAACATGTTGCCTGGGAAGAGCAAGAAAGTCTCACTTTTGGAAGGTATGAAAGCTCAGAATCCATACACCAGAGTCAAAAGTTGGTAACCTACAAGCCAGATTTAGCCTGACAATATGTTTGAAAATTTGGAAAAATTTTACATAAAATTACATGTTTACATGGTTTCTTTAAATACTGGAAAATTCAGCAACATAGGCTGTGTGTCCCCATGGGAATAGTGGGCAAGAACTGAATAACAGTTTATCTCTTTACATGATATGAAACACACAACTGGATAACAGCTTATCTCTTTATGGGATATGAAACACACACACTCCAAAATGGCAAAGCTCTCACCATATTTTACTGCCTTGCACCCAGTCCACATCACTCATTTGTGTCACCTGCCTGTCTCATAAAAGCATTTGCGTTTGTTACCCTGGTGTCCGCTACTGTGGCTGGCAAGGAAGAGCACAGGGCATCAGGGATCCTATAACCCATCTTTCCATCAAATGCCTTTTGAAGGGTACTAAGTGTAGAAACAGCACATGAATAAATGAGTACTGTAAGATAATGAGGGCTGACATGATGATCTATTCTGAGAAGGCATATCAGCCCTGCCTTTTCTTTCTTTCATTCACTTCATCTGGGGCATGGAAGTGCGATTGTTCAGTTCCATGCAAAGCTTGTGTTTTGGTAATACAGAGAATCTCTTGTGAGTGGAAACTTGAGTTGAATATCTGTTCTCATCCTACAGGCCTATTTACCATGCTTCCTTAGACTTGATTAAGGACTGGGACCCAATGGTGGCATAACAAAAGAGCCCTGACTGGAAATCAGGGAGGCCAGGTTTGAATACTCGTCCTGGGATTGAATAGTTGGGTGATACTGGGCATGTCACTTTGCATTTCTTGGTCTGTTTACTCCTATATCATGAGGAGTTTGGATTAGATAATATCTAACTTCCTGCCAGCTCCAAAATTATAAATATCCTACAGTATCTTACTGTATAAAGAAGGGAGCATGCCTCTGGAATCAGGGGTTTAAATCCCTGTTCTATCTCTGGAATCAGAGGTTTAAATCCTTGTTCCACCAGGTATTTCCTATATGTCTTTGGGCATATTCTCAAATGCCAAAAGTCTCAATTGTCCTACTTTTCTCAGAAACATGGATCATGCAATACCCACGTTACAGGGTGAAAAGGAAGATTCAGTGCAAAGTTGATGCCTGGCATACAGTAAGCACTCAGTCAGTGATAACTTGAGAGTTACAAATTCTTGCTTTCTTAAAATAATTGTGCCCCCTTTATTTTTGATTGCTTTCTGCTTTTCTCATTTTCAAACTTATGCTTTCTTCACTAGCAAATTGGTACTGTGGAGTCTGGAACAGAAAACAAAAGTCTTTTCTTTTAAGCACATTGATTTCTTACTAGTGAGAATTTAGAATTTAATAGAGTTACTGGTTGGTGTTAGTAGCAGTAATGCAAAGAGCTAAGAAACTTAAAGATAGGATCTGTGGTGTGCCCACCTTTGTATTTTCAGTGCCTAGCACTGTGCGTGGTGTGCAGTAAATTATCAATAGGTGAGATATTCGGCTGATTCCTCTAAGGTCTACTTGCAGGTTAATTTTAGTAATAACTAATATTTACTAGGTACTTAACTGTGTCTAACAATCTGTGCTAAATGTTTGTATGTATGCTCTAAGCAATCCTATTGTTTCTCCCACTTTTCACATAAAGGAATCAAGGGTTAGAGAAGATAAAATTTGCCCAAGATCACACCATAAGTAAAGTGGCAAAGTTAGAATTCAACTCTAGGTTTGTCTTTCGTTAAAGTGGTATTATTTACCCCTGTGCCACACCATGCTGACACACTGCTCTTTGCCTTGGTCTCATGGATAGAACAGATGATGGTGATCAGAAATCAAGTCTTGCACCAGTTACTGGAATAATAGATATTATAGGTATTTGGGTTTTAGTTTCTAGAAATCCAGCGTCATTCTCGCAATTGTCAATATTAACACCTGTTCAGAATTTTCATGCAGGGAGTCCATCAGATGTAGGTGTATCTCTTGTGTATTTGAGCAGTTCTTATGAAACAGTTGTTGTCACATTGATATTCCCAGTGGTGAGTTGTAGGTGGTAACAGCAATAGTAGGGTTCTTCACTTTGAGAGTAGGCTGTCACACATACATTTTAAAATAGACAAATTCCCTCAAAATTCCCTCTCCCTTTCTCTCTCTCTCTCCCTTCTACATTAAGTCGTCTTTGGCTTTTAATACAGCTTGTGGCTCATCTAGAGATGATCAAACATGTGATGTTTGGAAAATTGAGAGGAAGCAAAGACTCCTCTTATGCCATGATCTAACCTTTTTTTTTCATATCTGACTGGGACATGACACAAATTTACTCCCATTTGCATTATCCAATGCCACAAAGATGCTCAATATGTCTGGCCTAATTAAGGACACTCATTTAGCTTCAGAGATCACTACCCTTTCCTTCTCTTCAGCTATATTTAATGAACAAGTATATCTTGTTTGTGTGACATTTAATTTTATACAATGTTAATTTAAGAAATGGATTAGTACAGTGGATATATTAATGGCTATGTCTTTTCAATCTATTACTGAGCTGTCGGTTTATCCCTGAGAAAATATTGCTGGGCCAGGATCATTGCTCAATAAGAGTAATTTTGCATTGCCGATGGCTGTGCCTTTGTTTTATCAAGGCTACATTACTGACTTCCTTTATTTTCTAGAAGTCTAGATTGTATTGTTTTGGGAATGCAGCTGATTCAGACTAGATCTGTCCCTACCTTTTTTGCATGGGTCCCTTCATCATCATCATTTTATTGTTTGGTCATCCTTTGGACAGAGAGTATTTCTTCTTCTTTTTTCCTATTTTCTTTCTTGGACCTTAGTTTCACTGGATTGGATTATGACACTTCTCAGTTCTCGGTACATGATTCTCATCATTCCTGGCAAGGCCTCTGCTGTTTTATTTATTTATTTATTTGTGTTTGTCTCTATTCCCTCCTCCCATTCCCCTCCCTTCACTATAGCAGTCATTCTTGTTTAATTCCTTCTTTGTATTATGTGTATGTCTTACAAAATGTGCATTGCTGTTTTATGTGCATGTACTTTTAAATTATGCAAACAGTATGATGTCAAATATTTCAGCCTTCTTGTTTTTTTTTTAAATTAACATGCTGCTTTTAAGATCTACTCACCTTGCCATGTGTGCATCTAATCCTTTGCCTCTGACTGCTTTCTTTCTTGTTCCCATGGCCTTGAAAGAAAATGTTAGTGTTTAGCATGCTGACCCACTCTGATCATTCAGCTTTCTCATACTTGGTTGACATCAGAATTAGAGGTGATTTGATGTTCACAGAGGAAGCCCTATGTGGTTTATGTACAGCCCTCATCTTAGAATCCAAGGCATGGAAATTTTAAAAATTGTTTGTTGGTTCCTGAAGGTATAATAATTTTTCTTGTGGAGAGGTGACAACAAAACTCTGCACTGTCACAGAAGCAACAGAGAAAAAAAACTTATTCTTAAGGCAAGCCTCAGTTTCTTCATAAGCAATATGGAGATAAGAATAGCACTTATATCATGAGGTTGCTGATGTTAATAAGAGATAATTAACACAATCTGCTTAGTACTGTGCCCGACACATTGATATAGTTTGCAATTAATATTCTAACTCCAAGTCTAGTGTTCCACTCATAATACAATGTGTTGCCTTATAGCCAGAAGATTTGCTATTTTATTAATGTAGATATTATATGGATTATCTAAAATACACAAGAAAAAGCTAGAGATGGCAACTGATGCTCTGTATCATGATACTTAATTGTGAGCAGACACACTCATGTTTCATGTGCAACAAACTGTGAAAGCTGAGAGCCTGAAAACAGCTCATTGTTGTAATCAAATACAACTTATGACAAAGTTCTTATCTCCTAATCAATATTCATAATTGTTATTGTGCTTCATGGTCATTATGCATAAGTGGTAAATGGTATATATACACATTTACTAAATATTATTACTTTTACCAGTAGACCATGTTTTAATGTTTCAGTTGTTCTTCCTGTCTTGTTTTATATTGATAGTGTCACTAGCCTTCCTCCAAGTGATACAGAGAGGAGGGATACAGGGAGGAGAAGGGTAGCCTGGCTTGGGTTCACAAGGTGAAAAGCACAGAGAGCATTGCACAAGAAGAGTAATGAATGGCAGTGTGTGGGGCACTGTGTTATGACACAGAGGCCTGAAAGTGAGAGAAACTGATGCATCTGTATTCCCTCTTTTTCTCAATGATAGATGCACAGAAACTTCAGGAGGCTCATTTCAGTCATGCCCTGCTCAGGAGAGTAGGAGAGGGGTTGGGTAGACAGTGGCTAGAGAAGAGTTGCAGACACGGTCTCCTCTAGGGGTTTTCCCACAGAAACAACTGAGGCAAGTTCACCTCTATGCTGAGTCTGATAGGCTTTATTTCTTTGGCTTGACATTCCTGTAACTCAATGACTGGCAACTATAATCCACAGGCTAAATTTATCCCACTGCCTCTTTTTGTAAATAAAGTTTTATTGGAACACAGTCATACCCACTTGTTTACCTATCGCCTGTGGCTGCTTTCACTCCACAACAGCAGAGCTGGGTAGTCAGCGCATAGACCTTATGGTGAGCAAAGTCTAAAATATTTACTATCTGAATCTTTACAGAAAATGTTTGCGAACAGCTGCTCTGCCTCAATGTAACATTTTCCTTTTCACAGATACATATGAGCAGGTAGTATAGTAGAGTGGTGACGAGCATGTGCTCTGAAGTCCAACAGAGCAAAGGCTGCAGTTTTCTTTCTTTCTGTGCATGTTAGGTTTCCATCTCTATCTACCTCATAATATTCTGGTGAAGAGTTAATAGGATAATGCATGCAAGGTGCTCAACAGTTCCCTGGAATTTAGTATTCAATGTATATTGTATATTCATGAAACTGAAAAGATTGATAAGTAACTCAACAGAAAATGTAGAACTCTGTGAGTCAGGAATAAGATCATGCTGGGTATTTGTGTGCTGGGGAAACATATTGCAATTGATTGTATGAGAATGAGCATAGGGATGTCTGGGTTGTCAGAGATGAATTATGCTCAACTATTTCCCAAGGTCCAGTCTGGTCACTTTAAATGTATGAAGGTACAGAGTGAAGCTCTCTGCCATCTCCCTTGTGTCTGCTCACACATGCAGGGAGATGTGAAGGTGTCTTCTGTCCTCCTGCATCTATGGAGCTCAGGTGAGATCAGACGCCTGTTACCAAGTACAACAACCATTCACCCTGGGGACCAGAAGGGCTGTAAACAGCTGCTGTGTTTCATGCTGGGAAGTTAATGGGTATCCAGGGTTTTACCACACAGGTGCTAGAAGTCTGACCTGGGAAGCATTTCACAAGATTGAAAATGAAAAATGAAAACTCCAAATCAGAAAGTCTCCCTACCATTGAGTGGCAGTGAGATCACTTTCTGCCACTCTTGCTCCAAGGACTGTGTTCCCTGCACAGCTTCTGCTGAGCAGGTAGGTCAGCTCAAATGTAAGGATTTAACTACTTCTTTCCCATCATTCACTTCCGCTCCTTTGCTAGTGCTGCCACTATTATTGTATGAAGTATTACTTTTAACCTGCTCTTGTTTGCCCTTTACGATTTGCTAATATACCTGCCATTTACAAGCAAGACACTTATCTTAGCTGTTGCTGCTGCTGAACAAAATGTTGTGGGCATTGACTCTTCTAAATGTTAAGTTAAGCACATTTGTCCTTGTTTAGATCTAGTGTAGAGACAGCCTGTCATGTATTGGGTGCTCAATAATTATGTGTTGAACACAGGGTGAGTGATGAGAAAACAATGAATATATCAGATATAGTTCCTGCCTTTATGGACTTCAGGGTGTTAATTGGAAAGGTAGACATTAATACCATTATGTCTGTGAGGATCAGCTCTCTGAGGGAGGCATTTACAGATAAGTAATTTGAAGCTCAGATGGGTGAAGCGATCTGCTTAATGTCATGTATCAGTAAATGGCAGAGCCAGGACTTGGCCCTGGGTCCAATCCTGTCCTCTTCCTCTTTAAACTCTAGTGCACCTCATAGATAAGTGATTTCCCAGAGATTTTCTGTTTCTGGTGAGTGAGCATTTTTTTTTTTTTTTTGAGACAGAGTTTCGCTCTTGTTGCCCAAGTTGGAGTACAGTAGTATGATCTCGGCTGACTGCAACCTCCGTCTCCTGGGTTCAGGAGATTCTCCTGCCTCAACCTCCTGAGTAGCTGGGATTATAGGCGCCTGCCAGCACGGCCGTCTAATTTTTGTATTTTTATAGAGATGGGGTTTTGCTATGTTGGCCAGGCTGGTCTCAAACTCCTGACCTCAAGTGATCCACCCGCCTTGGCCTCCCAAAGTCCTGGGATTACAGGCATGAGCCACCGCGCCCAGCTGAGTCAGCAATTTTAAGACTATAATGAATGCACTTCCATATAGGAATAAATTTGGTTTGTTTGATGCCCAGATCAATCATTCCAGGCAAGCAGCACCCTTCCTATGTGGAATAAACTAGGTAGCAAAGGGTGCTGCTTGGCTGGAATGATTGATCTGGTCATCAAATATTCTTCAATAAGAGTGGTTGAGTCCATGGGGCTCAGGGGTCCTCACCTGTATATTAAAGCAGTGTCTCTCAAGGTAGACACAGGCCCCTGGAATTCTTGATGAAAACACAGCTTTCTGGGCTTATTCCAGGACTACTGAATCTGAATTTTTTGTAGCCCTCCAAGTTACTTTTATGTACACTGAAGTTTAAAAACCACTATTTGAAAGGATGTGACAGTCAGAATCCAGTCAGGACAACAGAAGCCACATTAAGTATTTTGAATAGAAAACTATTTACTAAAGGGAATTAGAAGGTTACACTACCACTAAAAAGACTAGAGAGCTGGGTGCAGTGGTGCACACCTGTAGCCCAAGTTGTATCCCAGCAACTTGGGTGCACAAGTTGTATCCCAGCAACTTGGAAGGCTGAGGGAGTAGGATCATTGGACCCAGGAATTGGAGTCCAGCCTGGGCAACATAGTGAGACCCTATTTCTTTAAAAAAAAAAAAAATGCTAGAGGCCGGGCACGGTGGCTCATGCCTGTAATCCCAGCACTTTGGGAGGCCGAGGCGGGGGGATCACGAGGTCAGGAGATCGAGACCATCCTGGCTAACACGGTGAAACCCCATCTCTACTAAAAATACAAAAAATTAGCCGGCTTGGTGGTGGGCGCCTATAGTCCCAGCTACTCCAGAGGCTGAGGCGGGAGAATGGTGTGAACCCGGGAGGCGGAGCTTGCAGTGAGCCGAGATCGCCGCCACCGGACTCCAGCCTGGGTGGCAGAGCGAGACTCAGTCAAAAAAAAAAAAAAAAAAAAAAAAAAAAAAAAAAAATGCCAGGGAGCAAAAGTCAGCGAGGCCATTCCAGGCTTTCAGGAATCCTAAAGTACAAAAATTGCAGGTAAGTGGGTGATCCTCAGGAGGACCCCTGGAAGCCTCCAGCAAAATACACATCTGACACCCTCAGGATTGTCTGCATCTACTGTCGGAAGGGACTGACTCCATCTTCTCTTCCTCGTTCCGATTTTCACAGGAGGATCCCTTATTGGCAGAAACTTCCTACAACTCTACTTGCAAGCAATTCTGAGTAATGTAGTTTCCAAATTTTCAGCCTCTATGGCGTAGAGGAAGGAATGTTTATGGAGAAACAACAGATTACATCTGGCAGAGTGATTATTTAAACTCATGGCTCTATTAAATAAAACCAAAAATGGCCAGATGTGGTGGCTCATGCCTGTAATCCCAGCTCTTTGGGAGGCTGAGGTGGGCAGCTGAGCGGATCACTTGAGGTCAGGAGTTCAAGACCAGCCTGGCCAACATGGTGAAACCCTGTCTTTACCAAAAATACAAAAATCAGCCTGACATGGTGGTATGCGACTGTAATCCCAGCTACGTGGGAGGCTGAGGCACAAGAATAGCTTGAGTCCAGGAGACGGAGGTTGCAGTGAACCAAAGTCGTGCCACTGCACTCCAGCCTGGGCAACAGAGTGAGACTTTGTCTCAAAAAAAAAGCAAATCCAAAAAGTAAGTTGAGAACTGAGTCTGCGAAACAACCTACAGATGGTCTGTTAAAAGATAACTTATAAAAAAAGACACTAGCAATTTACCTAATAATAAAAAAAATTATAATAATATTAATAATAACACCAGTAAAAGAAGAGCCTGGTTCTGGTATGTAAATTCTCCATCACATAGGTCATTGTGGTATGCCATATTTGCTTCTGGTCCAGATTCCAGATTCAGTTCTTTCCTCTTCTTTTGGCCTACCGACTGTGTCTCTACTTTGTCTTCCTAAGTTTTCCTGTTTTTTTTTTTGAGACAGAGTTTCACTCTTGTTGCCCAGGCTGGAGTGCAGTGGCTTGATCTATGCTCACTGCAACCTCTGCCTCCCAGGTTCAAGCGATTCTCCTGCCTCAGCCTCCCAAGTAGCTGGGATTACAGGCATGCACCACCATGCTCAGCTAATTTTGTATTTTTAGTAGAGACAGGGTTTCTCCATGTTGGTCAGGCTGGTCTTGAATTCCTGACCTCAGGTGATCTGCCCACCTCGGCCTCCCAAAGTGCTGGGAATACAGGCATGGGCCACCACGCCCAGCCAAGTTTTCCTCTTCTAATCTATGCTGCTGACTTCAGTGTCAGAACAAATGAACTACTTACCCAGAAGCTTCAGTCTCTGTGTGCAATCACTTAAAGTTTGGTTTGAATGCCACAGAGACTTCTTACCTTGCCAAAATAAATTATATTTGTATGCATACATCTTAACTCATTGGTTACTAAACAGGAGAGCACATCAGAAATAGCTAAGGAGCTTTAAAAATAGTTTCTCTGACCCCACTTTCAGTGATTAATTCACTTGGGGATTGGCTCTCTGCAACTATTTTTAACAAGCTCCACAGATGATTTTGATATATTCTTATTTGCTGAGAATCCATAAAGCCACTAGATAGGTGTGTATAACATAGGAAATGCTAAGGGAATTTTTTCTTCAAACGTTGAACGTCTTCTGTGATTGTAGTAGACATGGTTATAACTCCCTGCCTTTAGTTATGAAAACAATATACTTTAAGCTGAGAGCAGACTCTTCTGTACTCCTCAAAAGCCACCCCTACTTTGCAATTGTTTGTACTCTTACTTTTAGATACCAGCTTGACACTCCACGTGCTGCAGAGCTTATTGCAATAAAATTCATTTGACAAGTACTGAGTTCTATATGGAATTGCGCTGTGGAGATGGATACTAGAAAGAGTCATGATCTTAACTTTTTATACCAAAGCCCCTACACCATGTTGGAACCCTATTCACCTTCTATCTAGATTATTCAGTTGCTGTAGACATCTGACTGAAGTGGAAACACATATGCTCTCTTTCCTGAGAATGTGAAACTAAAACATAGTGATTGACACACTCAGACAGAATTGAGCCTGCACTTCAATGTCATTTAGAGATGTAGCTTGAAGACCTGGCAACCCAAAGTCTTCTGTAACCTGGAATTATAGGGAAGCAGCAAATATGATACTTCATTCAATAAAAGACACTGTCACTTGTAAGTCCATCACTCAGAAATATAAAATCTGCCACTTCCACTATAACGTGATACCTTTCCGTCTTTTGGAATTTTTATTCTATGCTTACTGAAAGACCTCTTTTAGGCTATTTTGGTTGTTACTTTTCTCTCATATATCATGCTTTTGCATTTTCCTATTTCTTATCAGTAGGACAATATAAGTAAAATGAATTATTAAGGTCTTTTTAAGATTTCATGTTCAAAGTCCAGCTGTTTGGAATCACTTTTTCTCTACTGCATAATCCTCTGTACCATTGATAGCACTGGTGATAGAGCATCGCTTAAAAAAAGTCCCACTATGACTTACCAGATTTTCCTCTAATACAGAGACACATTCTCAAGTCTGAGTGCTATGCTTTTCTACCTGAGTCAACTCATAGTCGCAACTCATTTTTCTCAAATGCATCATATGTCACTAGAAGTTAAGCAACTTATAAGACATAGGGAGGTTGAATTTGAGAAAATGTGAATTGTAGGACCCAGAACTATGGCATTGCTTGGGAAGGAAGCTGAGTTTCAGAGGGATGGGAGAGGAGAGGTACAGAGCTTGGCAGATATGAAAATGCAGAAAGCTCCAGGAAGAGAGACCGAAGATTTCTCAGTCTGGTGAGTATGGGCTGTATTCCACCCCGGTGTGGTCTATAGGGTACTGCTGCAACCTAAAAAGAGTTTCTCTTCACTTAAGCTAACTCGAATGGACTTTTTTCTCTTACAATTAAACAATCCATGACTAGGGTACCCTGGAGAAGTTCATGCCTAGCGGGGAATGTGAACATGTAAACAGAGACAATTACAGCAGTGCTTGATTTGTGCTATGGAGAAGATTATGTAAAAAGTCCTGTGGGAGACCACAGGGCGAGTGTGTTTGTATTCACCTTCCTATGTATTTCTGAGCTGGGGACCAGCCTCATTCAAATATTTTACAAATGGCATTCATTAAGACATAGGGTGTTGCAGAAGCCAACTGATAATATTCCGCCATAGAATTCTAAACAGGCTTGTCAACTAAGGCATATGCTGATCGGTCATTGCTGTTTTGGGAACTCAGCCCAGGTTCCATTTTAGTGATTATATTGTTGTTTGTCAAGGTCCTACATTTTTGTGGCCATACTCAGTCTTTCTGCACTGTTTCCCTCGCTTACCTGAGCTCACCCTCTATTCTGTTGAGATTATTCTTCACCGTGTTAGACAAAGCTGCACACTTTTTTCTCCCCTGTCTTTATCACTGCCTTCCACCTATTCGTTCTCTGCACACATCAAAATCCCCCATTAACGGCTTTGCATTCCCTACTCTTTCAAGAAGCCTTTCCTGATTGTACCAGTCCAATCCACAGCTTCCTTCTCTTAGCAATTCTTGAATGGAAGCCATACTTAATTTTTAAAATGGGGGTGGGTGCTATTTCTCTGGACTAGGCTGTACATTCTTTGACGGTGGGAACCATATGTTAATATATATTAAAATATCTTATCTTTTTTCAGCAAATATATGCTGAGTTATGTGTCCCAGTGCTAGACACTGAGTTCAGTGATGTGCAATAAAGGCAGCCTAAAAGGTGAGAAAAGCTATATGAATACAAATTCATATAGCTACACAAATTCATATATTTTAAAAATGTAAGAAAATGGAGAAAGCGTTAAGGAGAATAGGGATGGAGATCTGTGGGAGTTTAGAAGAGGAAGAGTTGGCTTCCATTTGGGAATGTAAAGGGAAGCTTCCTTGACACAATGATGATTGTATCGGGCCTTGAAAGGTGGTTAGGATTTAGGCACATAGGGAATGGGGTGAAGGTGGGAATCCTGCACCTGCAGTCAGTATGTTCAGTTGCCATTTGCTTAGGGCAGGGGTTGGAAAACTTTTTCTGTAAAGGGCTTGATGGTAACTCTTTTAGGCTTTGTGAACCACACAGTCTCTTACATGGATCTCCAAGTCAGTTACTCAGCTCTGCCACTGCCGTGTGAAAGCGACCATAGACAATACGTAATTGAATGAGCACAACTGTTTCCCAATACATTTTGATTTATCAGAAGAGGCAGTGTTCCAGATTTGGCTTGCAGGCCATAGTTTGCCAACCTCTGGTTGAGGGTATTACAGGATTGAATATATAATGTGATATATATTGCCAGCCTCTGGTTGAGGATATTACAGGATTGAATATATAATGTGATATATAATCAGGGTTTCGCCAATGCTCAAATTAGTAGATTAAAGACTAGAAAAAATATTAAGATGTTGACAACAGTCATTTTATATTCCTGAGGCTAAAAATAATGTTTATTTCTTCTGTCAACTTGTGATTTTTCTGGCCATTTATAAGAAGCATGAATTAATTTTACAGTGAAAAAGAGAAAATAAACTTTATTTACAGAATTAAAGTATAGACAGCAGGCAGGATATATAACCCAGAGCTTGGCACATAGGAGCTCAGAGCATATCTCAGTTTTTCCAATTGCCAAAACTTCTCTGCAAGTGTTGCTTCTAGTGCAAAGGATGTTATCCTTTGGATGCCAGCTTAGCTGTGACAGAAAAATTTGCACCAAAACTGGGCTGTTTCTTCCGTTACCCTCTGTCATCAGCTCCACAGAGCCATTATGTTGTTCAAGAAACATTATAGCAAAGCGCCTGCCTGGATGGAAACTAAATTGATTTTCTGATTCTACCCTTAACCTTCTTTTATTTTGGTCTCTAAAGGGAGCTCAGGGTTTTTTTGTTTGTTTGCTTGTTTGTTTGTTTTTTAAAGTACTCTATGTGACGTGCTGCCAAGTCAGATGTAAGATGGAATAATAGGGGACTTAGCCTTCACCCCATATCACAACAATGTCAATGAAATATGGTGAAACAACAACAGTCTGATTATAAGTGAGCTTAGTAAATAGATGTAAAGCTTTAAATTTTAAGTGGGTAGTGCTGCTAATGATAAAAGCTCTGACTTCTTGAGTATCTTCTGTGTGCTTTTATTTTGTAGGTTCCTTGACTTCAAGCATCAAGTATCTTGATACTTCAAGATAGGCACAGTTATCTCCATTTTACACGTAGGAAAAGTGAGGTTCAGAGATTTACAGCAGTTTGTTCAGGGTTATAAAGTGAGTCTGTGGTAGAGTTAGAATGTGAACACCAATCTTTCTAATTTCAAAGTTTACTCTTTCCACTTTGCTACCCTACTTCCTACTAGACCTGCTCATTTGCTCAGCACAAGAGGTATATGTCCACAATTAAATTCTAAAGTAGCCTTGAAATGCTAGGGCAGTATTCTTAATTGTCTACATAGGGAAGAGGGTATGGAAAGCTACAAAGCTTTCATAGCTACAGATAGTAAAATTTAATAGTGAATGATGACAAAGCACATAGGGTTGGGGGCCAGGAAAATATATATATATTATATATATATATATATAAAATATATGTCACATATATATTATATATATCACATATAATCACATATATATGTGATATGTATATATATCACATATATAAAATGTGATATAATATATATCACATTTCCTTATATATGCACATATATATGCACACACACATATGGTACCACATTTTCTTTATCCATTCATCCATCGATGGACACTTAGGTTGATTCTATATCTTGCCTATTGTGAATACTGCTATAATGAACGTGGGAGTGCAGATATCTCTTCCACGTACAGATTTAACTTCCTCTGGATATATACCCAATAGTGAGATTACTGGATTGTATGGTAGTTCTATTTTCAATTTTTTGAGGAACTTCCATGCTGTTTTTCATAATCGCTCTACTAATTTACTAATACACTAATGATGTACTAATGTTGTGAATACCAACAGTCGTCAAGTGTTCCCTTTTCTCCACAACCTCGCCAACACTTGATCTCTCTCCTCTTTCTGATCATAGTCTTTCTAACAGGTGTGAGGTGATAGCTTATTGCAGTTTTAAGTTGCATTTTTCTGATAATTAGTGATTTTGATCACTATCTTTTATTCATAGACCTGTTGGTCAATTGTGTGTCTTCTCTTCAGAAATTTCTATTCAGATCTACTGTCCAAATTTTAAACAGGTTATTTGTTTTCCATTATTGAGTTGAGTTCCATATATATATATATATATGTATATTTCATATGTATTACATATGTTTCATATATATGATATAAATCCATTATCAGATATATGGTTCACAAATATTTTCTTCCATTTCATAATTTGTTTCTTCACTTTACTGATTGTTTCCTTGACTGTGTGGAAACTTTTTAGCATGTTGCAATCCCATTTGCCTATTTTTGCTTTTGTTGCCTGTGCTTTTAGTGCCTTACACAAAAAAACCTTGCCCTGACCAATGTCATAAAGCATTTTTTGAGTTGATTTTTGTACATGGTGAGAAATAGGAGTCTAGCTTCATTTTTCTTCAGCTTTCTTCTTTATGCTCAAGATGGGCTTGGCTATTTGGGGTATTTTGTGGTTCCATATAAATTTCAGGATTTTTTTCATTTATGTAAAAAACGTCTTTGGAATTTTGATAGAGGAGTTACATTGAAGCTATAGATTGCCTTGGGTATTTTGAACATTTTAACAATATTAATTATTCTAATCCATGCACGTGGGATAGCTTTCCATTTTTTGTGTGTCCTCTTCAATTTCTTTCATCAATCTTTTATAGTGTTCGGTGCACGGCAGATCTTTTATCTCCTTGGTTAAATTTATTTATAAGTAATTTTTGTAGCTATTGTAAATGGGATTGCTTTCTTGATTTCTGTTTTGGGTAGTTTATTGTTACTGTTCAGAAACTCTACTGACTTTTGTATGTTGATTTTATATCTTACACCTTTACTGAATTCATTTATTGAGTTCTAACAGTTTTTTGATGGAGTCTTTAGGGTTATTTATATATAAGATTATGTCATCTGGAAATAGGGGCAATTTAACTCTTCATTTCCAATTTGGAGGATGGCTTTTATTTTTTTTCTCTTGCTTTTGCTCTGGCTAGGACTTCCAACGCTATACTAAATAGAAGTGGTAAAAGTGGACATCTTTGTGTAGTTCCTGAGCTCGGAGAAAAAAACTTTCAATTTTTTACTGTCGAGTGTAACATTAGCTGTGGCTATGTCATCCATGGCCTTTAGTGTGTTGAGGTACATTCCTTCTATACTTAATTTGCTGAGAATTTTTATCATAAAAGGATGTTGAATTTTTGTCAAATTATTTTTCTACATTAACTGAGCCATTCATATGGCTTTTGTCCTTTATTCTGTTAATGTGGTGTATCAAATTTATAGATTTGTGTATGATGATGCATCCTTTTAACTCTGGGATTAATTCCACTTGATCATGTTGAATGATTCTTTTAATGTGTTGTTGAATTCAGTTGGCTAGTATTTTGTTGAGGATTTTTACATGTGTTTTTGTTAGGAATATTGCCTGTATTTTTATTTCTTTGTGCTGTCCTCGTCTGACTTTGTTATTAAGGTAGTATTGGCCTTAAAAATGAGTTTGGAAGCATTGCCTTTTTCTTTGATTTCTTTCTAAAGACATTTGATTGGGCTTAATTAAATCTAGACTGCAGCAAGATAAATAGGTTCCTAGAAGAAAATGACAGAATGCCTCTCATTTTTTTCATTTTGGTCTAATGGTACTGCTGGTTTTCAGAGATATCAGAGTTACGCCTCTGTAAAAAAAAATGGGAATGGCTAAAGAACATTTTATGAGTTAAAAAAAGCTTGGGGTGAGTTTGGAATAAGTTTGTCTCATTTCAGATGCAAACTTTACCAGTTAATATGTGTACTAGTCAGAGTTCTTTAGAGAAACAGAATTAATAGGATGTATATGTACATAAACATCTCTCTGTCTCTCTCGTTTGAGGAATTGGTTTGTGTGATTGTGGGGATTGGCAAGTCTGAATTCTGCAAGGCAGACCAGAAGGCCATAGGCCCAGGAAAAAGATGATATTGTAGCTCAAGTTTGAAGACAATTTGGAAACATAATTGCTTCTTCCTCAGGTAGTCTCAGTCTTTTTTTCTCTTGAAGCTTTCAACTGATTGGGTGAGGCCCACCCACATTATGGAAGGTCATCTGCTTTACTCATAGCTTACTGATATAAACGTTAAAACCCTCTAAAAAATACCTTCATATCAAGATCTATTCTGGTGTTTAAGCAAATGTCTCAGCACCATAGCCTAGCCAAATTGACCCATAAAATTAACCATCATACTATGTAAATGTCTGCAGGTAATTTAATTACCCAAATATTGTTCATTGTCTGTTGAAGGAAAATAATACTAGCATTTGCAATATAAGGTTGCTGTGAGCCTTAAGCTGATGCATACAGTTTTCAGAGTGCTGACATGTGGAAAGCACTCAATAGATTTGAGGTATTATTATTGTAGTGAGATTACAACCTCTTAAACTTCTATAGTTAATATCATCTAAGAAACATGAAGCATTTTATACATTGCTTTAAGAATGCTCTCCACCTATTGTGAGAGAACATTGAAAATTACCATGTATTAAATCAGAAAGAAACCGAGCCCAGAGAGGTCAAGGGTGGTGTGATTTTCTTTAGGTCAAACCACAAGTCAAGCAGAAATAGTTCAGGGTTTTCAGCCTCTGTAAGGCACTTCCCATTAGACTGTCATCATTCATCATGTTCCATTTACTTACAGATGGAGCTGTTTCCCCAGGGTATTTTCCAAGAAACTCACATGTAAATCCTGGTTGTGAAGTGGGGCTCTTTTCACTAGGATGTGAAATGTGAAAGCAACTGGAATGTTCAGAAGGTCAAACATTCTCAAAGTTGAGAGCAATTTTTGTTTCTGTGCTTTGATTTAGAGGATCAAGCTAAATGACTTGTCATGATGAGGAAGAATGTCGTGGTAGTTTAGAGTGTGGGCTCTGAAGTGAGTACTTAGGTTCAAATCCTGGTTGTGTGACTAGCCACACCATCTTGGGCAAGTTGTCCATGTGCCTCAGTTTACTTAACTATATAATGGAGATACTATTACAGCACCTATGTCATGGTACCATGATGATGCCAAAGCAGTGGCTGGAATGTAGTAAGAATGAAATAGAATTTACTTATTATCATCTTCATCATTGCCACTACCACCACCACTATTCAGATGGTATATTTCATATATAATGTCTTTTCAAGCCTGGTTTTTACCCTTCCAGAGTTTACAAGTTAGAATAGAATTGGTATTAGGAAGACTCTCTTGTTGGAAATAGCAAAATCCAACAAAATCCAATTCAAAACTACTTTAAGGCAAAGGGAGATTTCTTAGGTTTGCCTGTCATTAGAGACCTAAATACCTTTAGGATTCTCTCTTTTCCCCCTTAATCTCCATTTTTTCTCGGTGGATGAGCTTTATTTTCTTAGCTTGACTTACCCCTCGAGTGATGGGCATGTTTTCTCTGGATGCTTTGCTCTTATGTACTTATAGTTTTGTGACCAAATTGGAAAAGGCACTTTCATACTTGCCTCATTTTGAAAAATGCCAGGGAAACACTCTGATTGGCTGGGTCCTATACATGTGCTCTGGACCGGAGCAATGATTGGCCCCACCTGGGTCATGTGCCAATTTTTGTAGAAGAGAACAGGCACTATTTCCACTAAAGAATTACAGTATAAAATAGAAATTATCAAATGGAAAAGGACCTTAGAAGTCATCTCCTCAGTGCTGTCTGAAACTCAGATTTGCTAGAATTGTTCAATTTGGTCCGATGTCTATATTGTATAGTGACATAGTTCTTACCCTATTTTCTCCTCCACCCTAGTTAACATGCCCACTACCTCCATGTAAGTATGTGTGGTGATTCTCTAGGAGGAGATTGTAGAAGGGTTTTGTGTTTTTGGAGGCAGGGCTGCATATGTATAATTTTAAAATACCTATTTGGATTCCTGATTCACACCTTGACTGGGAACTGGGAAGAGGGTTGGGGTAGAGGACGAGTACATCCTCCCTCACTATTCCCAGAATGAGAACCACTAAGGGAGATTCTCCTAATATAATGACCTTAATGCAAACTAACTGGGAAAAGACAAATGAGGTTAAATGAAAAGTGTGAATTATACTTTGAATTCTAAAAATCACTATTTTGCAGCTTAAATGTATAATTAAAAATTAATATCAAGTATGGTATTTTCAGGTAGACTTTCTGAAGAATCAGCACCAACAAAGCTATAGGCCTTGACAAAGTTTATGAAAGTTGTTTGTAAAGAGTTTTGTTAAGTGATTGTAATATGTATTTTCTTTAGTAGGTCCCTTGGAGATCTTATTTAACTTGAAATTTTCCTAGCAAAAGAATTTTAAAGAAAGTAATGCTGAGTAAAGCCAAAGATCAGGATGGAAAGGACTTGAGACTTTATCTAGCATTTTTGGAGGTGAGTGAGGAAGGGGAGTCAGGAACCTTATGTTTCAGTGATTAAAATTGCACTTAATCTAGTTTTTAGTATGGTACTCTAACTTTATGTATGTGTTCCTGATAACTCCAAGTCCAGGGTATTTGAATCAGCCTCTCCAAAGGATAAACCCCTAGGCTTCTACATGATTGGTCAAAGTCTATCACCTTGCTGGTAGGGTTCAGGAGTGACCTTTTAAAAATAAGCACATTTAGTCAATCTTGCTTTCTAAACTGTATGTACTCTCTTTCAGAGTTAGGCGGTGTTTCTACTCCTTGAGCATTTCTGAGGATTTGTAACATGCATCTTCTACTTCTAGGGCTTCTCTAGGGCCAGGTTAAATTTTAGATTCATTTGGGTTACAAGATAGTTTTCACACATCCATTTACTTACTATCTGCCACGATTTCGTATCATTTCCTGTTATCTTTGCCTCAATAGGTATTTGATTTAAAATGAACTTGATTGTCATTTTTGTGGTGATTAACTAGAAGTCATTACTAGCTTTTCATTTAACAATATATTTTGAAAATATTTTCATATTGTTTAATATGTTTTTAATATATAATAATATTATGTTTAATATCGTGTTAAAATAGTTTCTAATGGCCTCACAGAATTTTATAATTAGGATAAACTATAATTTATGTAGGTACTATATTTTTATATTCACTTAGATTGTTCTCATTTTTCATGATTATGAAAAACAATGTGATGAGTAGCCTTGCGACTGTATCTTTGTGCATCTGATTTTGTCCTTGGGATAAAACATGACACTTCAAAGGCATTTGGTACATGTGGGAGGGAATAATTCATCTATGAGCTTTGATCCCTCAGGGAAAGTCAATCATTCTCCTCTGCCAATTGAAGAATTTGGATGAGAGTTGAGAACCATGGCTTTATAAGGCCATGATAAAATCATTTTAGAATTGTTTGTGCTTGTATTTGAAAATAAACCCTTTTATTGGGTGTGAGAATTCAAAAATTTTTGGGAAATAAATAATGTTGTTGAAATTTAGAAAGGCAGCCTCAAAATCTTTTTATGCCAAACTCTAATGTACTTTAAAAAATTAGAAAGCCTTACTTAAGGAGGCAGAGGTTGTGGTCATGTTAATCAGGTGGGTACGATTAAGAAACAGATGTCTTGTAACTTATCTGAATTTTATTGGCATGAAATTAAGAAGGTATTCATTCATTTATCATTTGAACAACTTTTTTATTGAGCATTTACTATGTGACATGTACTGTTTGTTCTAGGATAAGGATTTTCAAAATTGAATAAAACAGGTCTGGTCCACATTTGCATGAAGCGTACTAGTTAATCAGAGAGAAATTGGGAAGTGGAAAGAATTTTAGCAGACACATAAGGGTTTATTACTTATGGGTGAGATTTTAGCGCATTATGTTATCACGATGTAGCAATTGTTTGCTGAAAGCTACTGTGAGCCAATGACTATGCTAAGTGCTCCAAGTCTTGGGTAACCCTTAAAAAAATCTCCTAAAAGAAAACTATGAACTAGGTGCTATTGTAATTTATTCTTTTAAAAGGGAAAACAAACTTGGTGCATTTAAGACAATTTCCTGAGGCCCGTAATTAACAAGTGGCTTAGACAGCTTCACTCTGATTGACTCCAAGACATGCCTGAACTACTGGCTGACACCGCCCTAACCCCCAACCCCAGGGTGTAAGAAATCAGAAAGGATCCACACATATGAAATCTAGTGGAATAGATTGTTATACTTCACTTCTCACACACATTGATTATACAGGCACCTGAAGCGCTAGTTAATTGCAGTGAGATTTTATGATGTAGAGACAACCTTTTAAGTGAGGAAAAAAAGGGAAGAGGGCCAGCTTTTTACTGAATTTCTACTCAGGTAAAGGCATGTTGCTAATTCTTGAAACAATGCTAAAAGCTAAGAAGGATTATAACTATTTTTCAGATGAGGACATTGAGGCTTAGGGAGAAAATAAAGAGAAAAGTTTTTCTTTTATTTTCTTTTACTTTCCCCAAATTCCCACATAGTGGCAGAGGTAGGATTTAGCCCCAGACGCGTTTGGCTCCAAATTCATACTGCTTCCAACATATTAGAATTGGTGATTCAGGAAACACCTGAAGATTCAAGGACCTTGGAAATAACAGAAAAAAAATCTGAAAGATTAGGTATACTATATGATAGCCTTGCTATTCTTTATTTTGTCAGATAAGGGCAAATGGATGTGTTTCAACCCTTCATTATGCCTTCAGAAGCTTTTAAAATTCAGTCCCAGTTGTCATATTCATCAAGAAACTGCGAAAATAGGATTTAGCTCATTTTACTGTTAAGTACACAGCTGGCTCAATTGAGAGTATTTGTCAATGGGTCATTGTGACTTGAAAGTAGGGAGAGAAGACACTTTGAGAGAAGTTCTATTGTGGTACTTAGAAATTTCATTAATGCCTCAGATAGTGGAATGAGCTTGCTTATTAAATATCCCATTGACAGCAAGTTGGATGTGTTGGGTAATGCCTTAGAAACAGGCTTGAAATTGAAAATGACCTTAACAATTGGAAGAAGCGGGAAGATAGAAAAAGGGTGAAATTCAATAGCTAGAAAAATTGATGGTGGAAAGAAACATCAATATGTTCCATTGTTTCATTAAATGTATCAAATGGAAGAATATCAGGGCTGCTGGCCCATGGTGGTATCGCCGATGATGATGATGATGATGATGATGATGAAAAGTCACATCCTGAGTTTTCTAGGCAATAACAATAGAAATCAATGGAGGAATAACTGATTTTCATGCCTGTGTGAATGACTAGGTGATCTAAAAAATTATAGATTTGCCTTGAATGGCAACATGTGACTGAGTCACATTTAACCAAGTCCTTCCAGCTATGATATTTAAGTTAAATTCTCTATTTTTTCTCTTCCAGAGAGAGCTGTGTTTTTAAAACCCAGCAGTGGGAGAATCTACTTTAAGACTGGACTTTACGGCAAACTTAAGTTTGGGGGACCAAAGTTGTGAGCAAGTTTCTTTTCCATTGTTGGGTGATAAACAATGTTAGTATGTGATAATCAAACAACAAATGATAACTCATACAGCACAATAGTACACAATGATGTGAACCAGGGCATTTATGATAAGCTGAGTGATAATCTTCATCCATGACTCTCTTTCCCCTATATCTTACATCCATTTCCGCCATTGAGATGGGTAGGAGGTTTCTTTTTCTGGCTCTCTTTCTCAAAACTCTGGGCACATTCCTAAATTGCATGCATAATCAGCCTCCCCCCATTTATAAAAAGATTTACTTGCTTGGATACCTGCATATTTCAGAATTCTAGATGGGACGTGTGAAGGCTTATTCTTATATAAAATTGGAGTGACATATTAATGTAGCATGAAATGGGATCATCTTGTTCAACTCTTGCCTTTTGAACTCTTGATGTATTTTGCTATTTTTCATTTGAGGTAGTACATGTTTTTCATTGTAACTCATTTTGGGGAGCATTTCAGGTTTGAAGACTAATGGGTACTTAGAGCTGCCTGTCTATGTGTGTTCCAAACACAGATGACTTTGGGAAATTGCTTGTGGAAAAAAGGGTCATTGTACTTAAAGGCTTTAAAATAGCGCAGTATGACAAGTTGAATGGGAACTTTAACCTCCTCAAAGTGTCAAAGTTTCCTGTAAGGCATGAACTGAAGTCCTTTGATGACTTCCTGGTCATCTAATGTCCAAAGGTACATCCCCTCAGTTTCGGAAGTACACAAAACCTGTGTTTGTGTTTGAGAGCCTAGGAGGCCCTATGAGGAAAGTGAAAGAATGAACTAGGATTTTTTGTGTTTAAAAGCATAAGTGGTATGCTGATAAAAGCCGAGCTGTGAGCACAGAAAATTTGCAAGATTAGTACACCACATACTCTTAACCTAGATTCACCAATTGTTACCATTTTCTATATTTTCTTCCTCCCTTCCTCCCTCCCTTTCTTCCTCTTTCATTCTGCCTGTCTCGCTCCTTTTCTTCACCTGCAACACACATACACTGCACAATTACTTGTGTGTGTGCTAAACCATTTTAGAGTAAGTTACAGACATCTTGACACTTTGTCTATAAATGCTTCAGCAACTATATCCTAAGAAAAAAGACATTCTCCTACATAACCGTAATATAATAATCATACTCAGGAAATCTGCCAGTGATAGATAACTATTTCTAACACACAATCTGTATTAAAATTTCTCAAATTGTCTCAATATTATCTTTTATATTTTCCCTCTGACCCAGGATCCAATCAAGGGTCATACATGATATTTATTCTTCATGCCTCTTTCGTTTCCTTCAATTAAAAGCAGTTCCCTAGTGTGTTATTATCTTTCATGTTTATGACATTTTTGGAGAGGCAAGGCTGGCTGTGGGCAGAATGGCTTTCTATTTGAGTGTGTCTAATTGCTTCCTTATGAGTTAATTGTGGCTGAGCAATTTTGACTGTAGTACTCCGTGGATGACATTATCTCCTCTGTGACTGACATCAGAAGGCTTACAAGGTCCATTTTCCCTGTTTTTGGTGATATTAATTTTGGCACTTGCTAAGGTGGCATCTGTCAGATTTCTCCACTGCAAAAGCAGGAGCTCCGGCTTTGAAGTCTGGCATACCTGATTTTGCATCTTAGCTCTGCCACTTACTACTCATATAGGATTTGTCAAATTATTCCGTAACTTTTTATTTAGTTCTTTATCTGTAAAATGGGGCTACTCACACAGCTGTCATAAAGATTAGGCATTATGACACAGGTATGTACGTGTTATAATGGAAGATGTCTTTCTGGGAGAGCAGTATGAATTTTAGAGCCATGCAGATCTGAGTTCAAATTCTGGTTCTGGTCTCTTAACACTTAAGCAAGTTACTTGTTTTTTTTCTTCTTTTTTTCTCTTTTTTTGGTTAACTGTTGCAATGTTAATGACTTCAGTGAAAATTTAAAAATTGCTTTAGATTATTTTTCTTTCATTTTTTAATTGTGGTAAAATACACATAACATAAAGTTAACATTTTAACCATTTTAAGCTATACAGTTCAGGGCATCCCTATGTTGTGCTACCATCACCACCATCACTACCATCCATCACCAAAACTCTTTTCAACTTACAAAACCCATCAGACAATAACTCCCCATTCTTTCCTCCCTCCAGTCCCTGGCAACCACCATTCTACTTCTGTCTCTATGATTATGGGTACTTCAAGTACCTCATATAGTGGAATCATATAATGTTTGTCTTTTTGTGACTTGCTTATTTCACTTAGCATAATGTCCTCAAGGCTCATTCATATCGTAGAATGTTTCAGAATTTTGTTCCTTTTCAAGGCTGAATAATATTTCATTGTATGTATATACTGCATTTTGGTTATCAGTTAATCTGTTGATGGACACTTAGGTTGCCTCTGCCTTTTAGCTGTTAATACTGCTATGAACATACTGCATACTTACTTACATTTTAAAAGCCTTAGTTTCCTAATTAATATCAGGAAGATAATAATGGCATCTATTCCAGAGGTCAGAAAACTTTCTGTAAAGGACCAGACGATAAATATATTAGGCTTTTCAGGCCATATGGTCTGTGTTGCAACTACTAAATTCTGCTGTTCTAGTTTGAAAGCAGATATAGATAATATGTAAACAATTGAGCATGACTGTGTTCCAATTATACTTTATGTATGGACACTGGAACTTGAATTTCATATAATTTTTATGTGTCATGAAATCTTATTCTTTTTAAATTTTTTCTCCCAACCATTTAAAAGTATAAAAACCATTATTAGCTCATGGGCTGTACAAAGGCAGGTGCAGGCCGCAGGCTGGATTTGGTCAACAAGCTGTAATTTGCCAACTCCTTATCTCTTTCATTGGGTGAGAATGCAATACTATGTGTTATGTAAAATGTTAAATGCCTGGCACTGGCATTTAAGAAATTATCACAATTATTTGGTAAAATTTTTTATTATTTTTATTGTCCTTAAAACGTGTGGGTGTTTTTTGAAAATTAAAGTGTATAATATTTTGATTTTAGTATAAACTGAAAAACTGGCCACCAACTATTTGCATCTGATTCCATCAAGAGGTTGTCCACTTTTTTCAACCTTTGAATCTGGGCTGTCCTGCTGACTTCTTTTAACTAATAAAATGTGACAGAAAGGATGTTGTACAATTTCCAACCCCAAATAAATGAGGTTTTGCAGCACCCATTCTTGTGCAGAACATCTTTCTGTGATCATGTGTATAAGCTTGAGCTATCCAGATGGACAAAGAGACAGTATGTAGAGATGGTGCCCAGATGTCCCAGCCATCCCAGCTTTCCAGTTGAGGTGCTTAGATGTTTCAGTGAGCCCAGCTGATATATGGAGCAGAGATGAGTTGTCACAGTTTAGTCCAGTCCAAATTGCCAACCCAGATAATCATAAGAAATTAAATAATGATTGTTTAAACAACTATGTTTTGGGATGGTTTGGTATGCAACAAAAACTGACTGATACAAGATGCTAGAATGTATCATAAAGAAAGGTATTGAAGTTTGCAATAAAGTCAGACTCTTGAGTTGAGTCTACTTGGTCTGCTTTAGGGAAGGTGTCCTGACAACCAGAATAGCAATAAGAGGAAGATGTGAAGTGGGGAAAAAAGCCATAAGGACATTAGAAGTGAACAGAGGTGCTTGTTGAGGCTGAAGCGAGCAACAGAAATAGACTTTATTACAAGTGTTTGCAAACTCCAAGGGCTGATTTTGTGGGCAACTAGTAAGAAAAATATGGGAGAGTAAGATGAATAGCTTTAAATTTGAGTTAGCATTTGTCATATATCTCAACCTGTGAAAGGCATTGATAATATTGATAGCCATATTTGACTAGATTTTAAAAGTATGAGTACCCTTTGCATATGGGTCTTTTTGCCATTGCATTATAAATTTAAGAAACAACACTGAGGACATACGGAGACTGTGGTGAGGAGATTGTGGTAGCATGAAAGCAGCAGCATCAGATGGGCAGAATGGGACAGAGTAAACCTTTGGAAGATAAGCACTCATTGTGGCTTCCATTAGAGGGAATATAGTTTAAAGATGGTCCAACATCACTAACTTCTGTTTACATGATATGGCTTCAGGCTGTAAGTTGGAAGGATATTGTACAATTTCAAAGTTCTTGGCTTTTCCCCTGCAGCTGAAGTAAGGCCAGCTCCACATGGCCATCTCACTCTCAAATATGCCTGCCACCAGCCTGTTTATTCCCATTGTTGAATTTCAGACATCTGTTTCTCCCTAGTTTAATGATTTATTATTTAGATTTATCCAGATCAACTCCCTTATTTTTACCTTGAGCTCTTTCCTTGTGAAACAGCAATGAAATATTGAGTCTGTCATCTTTCAGGATCAGATGTAGGGTTGGATTATAGTCTATACAGTACCAGTGAGTAGTAAGTGACATTGTTATTTATATAATCTGTTCATAAAATAAATAATTATTGCACACTTGTTATCTACTGGGCACCCTTATGGATGCAAGAGATAGAGCAGTGAGCATAGACAAATTCTCTGACTTCCAGGGGTTTACAGTTGAGTTGTTATTCATTCATGTAATAAATATTAAATGACTTAATACTAGGTTTCAGTTTACTAACTGGAAGTTCAAGGTGTTAGAGACTTGGAAAAGGGTGTAATACACTAAGTTTCACCAGAGACTGTTCTCTTCATCAAGACAAGAAAGGAATTTTACAGCCAAAGCCTCATTCAGAATCAGTCACATTGGCAAAACTGCAGAAATTGTTCTCAAAAGCTTTCCTTTTCGCTGTTTTTGCCCTCTCTCGTCCTCTACAAGTGCCCCTGAACATCTCTCCTCCTGCCATTTCTGAAATGTAGAGAGATAGCCGGTCTAATTCTATCTATAGAGCCATTTTCCTGTGTTCCCCTCAGACTTTATGCAGCAATATAAATCTCAGATACTGTGTCCAGGTTAGCAGAGTTACTTAAAAGAGCGGACAGTCAGCATGGCACATTTATTAACATCATATATAACAGGGCTGTAACTGTACAGTAACTTTCTATTTAGTCAAAAGGTGGGGAAAAGCGCTGCTAAGGTTTATGGAGCTGGCTCTGGACTGGAGAGCTGAGTTATGTACCCAAATAGTTCCCGTGTATCAGAAGCTGGAAGCTAATAAACCATCTTTAAACTGTACACTGTCTCTCCATTAGAAGAAATGGATCTATTATTTTCTGTCTTTGGAGTGGCATATTAATGACTCTTTCTACAGTAAAAATAAAACAAAGCGAAACAAAAAACCCACAACAAACCAAAACAAATCATCAACTTCCTGACTTCTCTCAACAAAAGCCTTTTTGCCCACATGTGACATGAGACGTGTCATTTAGAAAAGAGAAAATGCCTTTCTGGCTGATCAGGAATGGGTGGGAAGTCAGCACTGAGGAAGTTGTAGATCATGTATTGTCATTTCCATTCCACAACAGTAAGAGTCCTTGGCCCGTTAGCTCAAGTAATTAAAGTTGTAGGTTTCAATGAGGCAGTTAAGTACTTTTACAACACAGTGTTGTATGATAATTACCTGTTTACAAATCTGCCTCCCTCCCTGGAGTGAGAACCCTTTGAGGGTATGCACTGTGTCATATTCATCTTTGTGCCCCCAGTGAACCCAAGACCTTTATGTGTTTTAAAAAAAAAGTCTCCGTAACTTAACTTAGATATATTTTTGTTTTCTCTTTCTCACTCTGGTGATGACAGCTACTATGTCTGCCTAATGCACTGAAGAATCCTAATTCCACTGGGGAATATCTTACCTGTAGTAGGGGAAACATAAATATGTATTGACTCAAAGTAAATGTATTTAATTTAAAATATATTTAATTTAATTTATTGCCCCAGGGAAATAGCTGTGTTTGTCTAGGTAGTTTTCACCTGGAAACCCTTTACAAAGAGAAGGACCAGGGCTATTTTCTTTGAAGCACCAAGCAAGTGGGGAGCTGATCTTTGTTTTTGTAAACAGTAAGGAGCATCCCAAATCTGAAAATGCCCCAAAGTCCAAAACTTTTTGAGTGCTGACATGACATTCAAAGAAAATACTCACTTGAGCATTTCAAATTTTGGATATTCAAATTTCATGTGTTCAACTGGCAAATAGTCCAGAATCTGAAAACATCTGAAATCTGAAACACTTCTGGTCTCAAGCATTTTGGATGAGGGATATTCAACCTGTAGTAATGAAAGCATCCCTCATCAGGTAGGTGAGTTCTAAATGCCACTTGTAGATGACATTCGCCACCCCTGTGAGCTCTAAGCTCTCGGAAAAACAAACCTATTCTCAAGTCCTCCCCTCTCTGCTGGTTACGGGTTTTAGAAAACTTGTTTCCCACACTGCACTCAGTTGCCCCAGTGAGAAGCATGTCATCAAATTCTGATCTGTGAAGCAGCAAAACATACGATGTACTAAAATAGGGAGAATTTACTCGTATCAAAGATGAATTCTTGGTAATTTGAAAGTATTTACAAGAAATGTAATAATATTTCTAAGACATTCCCTTAAATAATCTCCATAGCATATTTGCAATATTGCTTAATTTAACACAAAGTTTACATATAATTATCTTCACCTTATCAAATATATTTTAATATTTTTTACAGTATAATCCTAAAATAATGGCTGATATAGTTTGGCTGTGTCCCCTCCCAAATCTCATTTCGAGTTGTAGTAATCCCCACATGTCAAGGGCAGGGCCTGGTGGAGATAATTGAGCCACAGGGGTGATTTCCCCTATACTGTTCCTGTGGTAGTGAATAAGTCTCATGAGATCTGATGGTCTCATAAAGGGGAGTTCCCCTACATGCTCTCTTGCCTGCCACCTTGTAAGATGTGCCTTTGCTTCTCCTTTGCCTTCTTCCATGATTGTGAGGTCTCCCCAGCTCTGTGGAACTGTGATTCCATTAAACCTCTTTCCTTTTTAAATTACTCAGCCTCAGGTATGTCTTTATTAGCAGCATGAGAACAAACTAATACAAGGGCCCTTTTCCCAAATGGTGAAAAAGTAAAACCATAACTCAGAATCTACCCACTGATCCAGTTACATGGCCTGGGACCTCCAGTTGAAAAATCAACATCATGTTGGAGCTTAGCATCACTCAGCAAATGCTTTCTTCTTTACTTTTTTGCTAGAGCTTGAACACATTTCTAAGATAATCCATAATGTGTGATGTTATACATTCTCTAATGTGCCCCAAAAGTGATGAAAATGTGACCAGTGCGCCCGTTAAAATATACTAAAGTGGGGTAACAGTTTTGGACATGATTCTTAAAGTACTGGAAGAAAGATAGAGAGTGAGTATGCAAATGTAAGACAGCAACAGCTAGGGAGAGCATCTGTTTTCATCGTCATCTTAGGGAGTTACTGAGAATGGGTTTCAAGGTTAGACTTTGCTAGAGAAAAAAACATTTAGTAATTTTATTCAGAATGCTTTTGTGCTGAAATTGTCTTTTCACTTGATACTCCTTTGCCTTATGCCATGTTTTCTCCTTTTCCTTTTTTAGATTTGTGAGCAGGTGGTAAGCGGGTGATAGGTAGGCGTGCAACTTTCCAGGAACATGGCAAAGGCACACAGTGAGGTTTTCATGTTCAAGAATAACCGTGGAGTTCTCTATACTCAGTACAAAAAGGAGGCTCCCATGATACTAACTGATTCATTAGAACCCTTATTTGAAAATCCTCTTATAGGGAAGGCTGAGGATTTTTTTTTAATTGGCATTATTATAAAGTGGTTCATGCTTTGAGGAGCAGGTTATGCTTTATAAAGTCTCAAGTCCTTTCTAGCTTGGACTTAGAGTTTAACTCAGTATTGGATACTGGAGGACAGTTCAGTCTGCAAACAAATATCTGGGTGGTTCCCCCTTGTTGACCACCAAATATAGCCAGAGCTGATGCTTTAGGAGATTAGAAGAACCTTTTTATTTTTTAGTTAGAGAAGTCAAGAGTCAAGAGAAACAGCATACATGAAAGGCAGAGATACTGACCAGAGCTGGTTTAAGGAGCTTCTTCTGAAACCAGGGAAAGGTTACAAATTGGCAGGTTCTTTGAGAAGGGGAGGGGTGAGAAATTATTCCTGCATTCCTGCAGTGCCCCAGGGCAATAGCTGTGTTCACCAAGTGAGCTCTGTGGCACAGCTAGAGAGGATGGCATCATGACTGTCAGCTCCTTGGCTTTGACAATGACTTCTGTGTTGAAGTTTGAAGCAAGAGCACAGATATTACCCACCATCAAGGAACTGTGCAAGCATGGGCACATAAGTACACAGTTAGTGGCTGCTGTCAGTTGAAGACCACAGGGATTTCTCCAGAGTCTGTACAATATAAGCACCTCCAGATTCTCATATATGATGAGAAAAGTGAAGGATTCCGTCATTCCTCCTTTCTCTTCCAACTGAAATGGAATGTTCTTCTAGTAAAGCAAATTTAATTCATTTAAAAGAAATAAAGACATAGAACAATTTTCACTGTAGTATTGTGAAGTGAAATTCATGCCTACTGTAAATACCTTTGTGAAGTGTTCAATATAAAGCCTAAAAGATGAGTAATCATCAGATTATTTTTGATTAATAAATAGGTCCTAGTGAGCTCAATTTCTTTGTCAAATTAAGACAAAGATACTATTTTATAAAGTTGTTGTAAGAATTCGGAGATTAGAAATGCCTGTACATGTGATTATTACAATGTTGGCATATGCAAGATTCTCAATAAACTGGAGCTACTCGACATATTTATGCATATTTATTTTATTATATTTTTAGTTTAGGAGTTGATACCTAAAGTTCTAGAAGAAAACCGGACAAACAAACTGGACAAACTGTGTCCTACAACTCATTTTGTGTAATATAGTAATTGTCAATATGAAACTTCAATGAACAAGGTGATGTAAATTTTCTTCTTTAGTGGAAAGATTCAGATGTGTTCTCTTTTCCATTTGTCTGCGTTTTCTCTTAGTTAGGGCTTTTTGTTTTATTTGTGGAGAAATAGGATGTTGTCCCTTTGCTTTTTTCCTAATGACCCTCATGAATATGCCCTAAGTGTTTTTTGTTTTGTTTTGTTTTGTTTTTTATTTTATTATAATTATACTTTAAGTTTTAGGGTACATGTGCACAATGTGCAGGTTAGTTACATATGTATACATGTGCCATGCTGGTGTGCTGCACCCATTAACTCGTCATTTAGCATTAGGTATATCTCCTAATGCGATCCCTCCCCCCTCCCCCCACCCCACAACAGTCCCCAGAGTGTGATGTTCCCCTTCCTGTGTCCATGTGTTCTCATTGTTCAATTCCCACCTATGAGTAAGAACATGCGGTGTTTGGTTTTTTGACCTTGTGATAGTTTACTGAGAATGATGATTTCTAGTTTCATCCATGACCCTACAAAGGACATGAACTCATCATTTTTTATGGCTGCATAGTATTCCATGGTGTATATGTGCCACATTTTCTTAATCCAGTCTATCATTGTTGGACATTTGGGTTGGTTCCAAGTCTTTGCTATTGTGAATAGTGCCGCAATAAACATACATGTGCATGTGTCTTTATAGCAGCATGATTTATAATCCTTTGGGTATATACCCAGTAATGGGATGGCTGGGTCAAATGGTATTTCTAGTTCTAGATCCCTGAGGAATCGCCACACTGACTTCCACAATGGTTGAACTAGTTTACAGTCCCACCAACAGTGTAAAAGTGTTCCTATTTCTCCACATCCTCTCCAGCACCTGTTGTTTCCTGACTTTTTAATGATTGCCATTCTAACTGGTGTGAGATGGTATCTCATTGTGGTTTTGATTTGCATTTCTCTGATGGCCAGTGATGGTGAGCATTTTTTCATGTGTCTCTTTGGCTGCATAAATGTCTTCTTTTGAGAAGTGTCTGTTCATATCCTTTGCCCACTTTTTGATGGGGTTGTTTGATTTTTTCTTGTAAATTTGTTTGAGTTCATTGTAGATTCTGGATACTAGCCCTTTGTCAGATGAGTAGATTGCAAAAATTTTCTCCCATTTTGTGGGTTGCGTGTTCACTCTGATGGTAGTTTCTTTTGCTGTGCAGAAGCTCTTTAGTTTAATGAGATCCCATTTGTCAATTTTGGCTTTTGTTGCCATTGCTTTTGGTGTTTCAGATATGAAGTCCTTGCCCATGCCTATGTCCTGAATGGTATTGCCTAGGTTTTCTAATAGGGATTTTGATGGTTTCAGGTCTAACGTTTAAGCCTTTAATCCATCTTGAATTAATTTTTGTATAAGGTGTAAGGAAGGGATCCAGTTTCAGCTTTCTACATATGGCTAGCCAGTTTTCCCAGCATCATTTATTAAATAGGGAATCCTTTCCCCATTGCTTGCTTTTTTCAGGCTTGTCAAAGATCAGATAGTTGTAGATATGCGGCGTTATTTCTGAGGGCTCTGTTCTGTTCCATTGATCTATATCTCTGTTTTGGTACCAGTACCATGCTGTTTTGGTTACTGTAGCCTTGTAGTATAGTTTGAAGTCAGGTAGCATGATGCCTCCTGCTATGTTCTTTTGGCTTAGGATTGACTTGGCGATGCGGGCTCCTTTTTGGTTCCACATGAACTTTAAAGTAGTTTTTTCCAATTCTGTGAAGAAAGTCATTGGTAGCTTGATGGGGATGGCATTGAATCTATAAATTACCTTGGGCAGTATGGCCATTTTCACGATACTGATTCTTCCTACCCATGAGCATGGAGTGTTCTTCCATTTTTTTGTATCCTCTTTTATTTCATTGAGCAGTGGTTTGTAGTTCTCCTTGAAGAGGTCCTTCACATCCCTTGTAAGTTGGATTCCTAGGTAGTATAACAATTCTTCCCCAAAACACTAAGTCTTTTTTTTTTAGTTTGAATCCCTGGGCCTCTGTTTTTGTAGGTGGGGTTGACCAAATTTGGATTTGGGTTCTGCCAAGATAAGAAGCCAAAATTTTGATCCCGTGTGTTTCTGCAAAGAATGATTGGACCTGTACCATCCAGAGTTGATACTGGATACAGTATTAACTCTTCCCAGGAAACACCCTTAGCCTGGCATGTGGCACTCCTGGATTATCAATGCTGCTGGCTCCTTGTCCCTGTAACATGTTTTTGGTGCTGGAGTTGTTTAGAATATATGTAAGAGACTATGTATTATAAGTGATATAGTGAAGTGAAGGTTTTTTTTAAAGTACAAATTGCAGTCAATAATTTCATTAAAGATCAGTATGGGAAATCCTGAAACCTGTTCAGATAACTCATCCAAATTGATAATGTCTTTAAGCACGTTTTAAATAAACTTGGAATTTGTGAACACATTTTGTTAAAAAGAGATTCAAGCAATATAGATAAATGAGTTATTTTTGAACATCATCAGAAAGCTCTGTCTTTTTTCCCAAGACAGCTACTGTTATCATTTTTTTACATACCTTTAGGACATTCTGCTCCTGCATGTGTATGTATGTATATGTGTGTATGTCTGTAAAAATATATAATTTAATTCTGTAAAATTTCTACCTATAAATATGTCATACTTTATCATTTTATTTTACAAACCATAATTTCACTTAATACATTTAAAATTTCCATACTCCACAGTATATGTGTTCTATAATTTAAGTACACCTCTATTGGTGGATATTTAGACTCTCTCTAGTATTTTCCTATTATGGACATTCAGAGGCAGCTCTGTGTAGCTATTAAGAATAGAGCCAGCACAAGTCACAGTGGTTCAAATGCATAATCCCAGCACTTTGGGAGGCCGAGGCAGAAGGATCACTTGACTGCAGGAGTTCAAGACCAGTCTGGGCAATTTAGTGAGACCTCGTGTCTACAAAAAATTGAAAAAGTAGCTGAGCATGGTGTAGCATGCCTGTAGTCCCAACTACTTGGGAGGATGGTTTGAGCCTTGGAGTTCAAGGCTGCAGTAAGCCATGATAGTGCCACTGCACTCTAATCTGGGCAACAGAGCGAGACCTTATCTCTAAAATAAAATAAAATAAAATAAAATAAAATAAAATAAAATAAGATAAAATAAAATAAGATAAGATAAAATAAAATAAAATAAAATAAAGTAAAATAAAATAAAATAAAATAAAGTAAAATAAAATAAAATAAAATAAAATAAAATAAAATAAAATAAAATAAAATAAAGTAAAATAAAAAAATAAAATGGAATCGAGCCAGTTCCATTACTTACTGGCTGAGTTACTTTGGGCAAATTACTTACCACAGTTAGTTTCTTGATGTAAAAAATAGCCATTTTTGTATTGAGGTTAATAACATAAAGTGTTTAGAATTATACTAGTCACACAGATTTTATACTAATAATTGCTATTTTCAATGCTGCAATGACTGTCTTAGCATGTATTTCCTTTTATACATATCTGGTTTTCTTTGTTTCTTTTCTTCCTCCGTCATTCTCTCTGTTCTTCCCTACTTCCCTCCTTTCTTTTGTAGATACCAGAATTGGAATAACTGGTATGTTTATTTAATTGTTAAATAAATATTGCCAAAATATACTCCAACAAATGCTGAGTCAAGTTTACATTTCAACAGCAAAGTATGAAGGTAAACACTTCCTTATCCATTCTCTGACACTTGTTATTATCAACTTGTATAATTTTTGCCAATCTTTTTTGATTAAAAATTCTCCCCATTATAGCTTTAATTTACATTTCCCTGAGTACTAATGAGATTCTTTGTCTTTTCAATATATTTATTTGCTATTTTCAGTTCTTCTTGAGTTATTTGTAGAATTTGCACATCTTTTCCTCCTATGTTTGTCTTTTGCTTATTGACTTTTGAAGCTATTTATATATTCCGGATGTTAATCCTTGGCTTGCTATAAATACTGTAAATATTTCCTCATTTATCACTTGCCATTTAATTCTGTTTATAATCTTTTGTGTTTAGAGATTTTAAATGTTTAGGTTCAAGTTTATTAATATTCTTTTTCTAAAAAAATAATAATTCTTTTTCTGACATTCTGTTTTGTCTACTGTTTAAAATAGCCCAACCTACCTCAAGGTTTTATGAGTGGGCGAGTGTGTATATGTGTGTGTTTGTGGTGTGTGTATATACCCATATAAATATAAATAAAGAGCTGCATAAATACATGTATATGCATTTTCTATATTTTATTCTAATGCTTTCATACTTCATTTCAGGGTTCACTAAACAGATTTTGCTATGGTGTATTATGATACAAAATACTTGAAATGGCAATGCAACCATGCAACTAACTACTTATTATGCTCAAGTATAATATAAGCATCTGAGTGCCTACTTGTTTTTATGCCAGGCTGATGTCACAGGCCTATAATTAATGTTCTACCCCTTACAAGCATTTGAGTTTGAACCTTTATTTTTAAGTTTAGCTTTTAATCTGCCTTTAATGTATTTGTTTTCTGAGATAAACTATTTTCCCCAATACTATGTTATTGAATATACATATCTTTTAATATTTGGAAATTCAAGCTTAAGAATCTCTCACTGTATCTGCACTTTTTTTTTTTTTTTTTTTTTTTTTTGCTTTGGTGTCACCACATATTGAAATAATTGAAATAGTTGACATTTCTCTTTAAAACTCTTCATAGTTGCAGAAATATGGAGTGATAGTAGATTAGTTATATTGGAACTATCTAGAGAAGAATATCTTCAAGCTATAAAATGTTAGATTTAGGCGTATCTTGGAGATAATTTTTGGAAAGTTCAAACCCAGCAATTTCGGGTTTTACTCAGAAAATCAGACCTAGTCAGAGACAAGATTAGATCTCTACTCTTCTGCTTTCCAGTCTCCTGCATTTCTCTCCATGCTGCTCAGTCAGAGCCAGTTGATGTTGTTAAGCAGTAGTCTTATGATCCCTGACCACTTATAGAAACTTGTCTATTCCAGCTCTAGAGGAACAAGGAAATATGAGAAAAGACATCATGGAAATATGAGACTGACTTATGGAAATATGAGAAAAGACAGTGAAAGTTATGTCTTCTTAAATAATTAAAACTTTTGTGATGTCTAAAGGAATCTTGCAATCTAGATACTTTAATATTCCCAAATCAATTTGCCATGCATCTTTTAAAGGAACATAGTATAATGATTAAGAGGATAGAACTTGGGTTTGAATTCTCACAGTTATGGATTATGCGAAATCAACAAATTGACATACCTTCTTTGCCTTGGTTTTCTCCTATCTAAATTGGGGACAATAATAATTATTATGTCATTCATGAAGATTGAATAAGTTACTCTCTGTGAAACATTTACAATTCTGCCTATGTAATACATGGTAAGCCATGATGTATCAGTATCAACTATTATTTTTGTATACTACTTGACATATAGTGTATTAGTCCATTCTCATGCTGCTAATAAAGACATATCCAAGAATGGATAATTTATAAAGGAAAGAGGTTTAACAGACTCACAGTTCAGCATGGCTAGGGGGGCCTCAGGAAACTTACAGTCATGGTGCAAGGGAAGAAAACACATCCTTCTTCACATAGTGGTAGGAAGGAGAAGTGCAGAGCAAAGGGGGGAAAAGCCCTTTATAAAACCATCAGATCTCATGAGCACTCACTCACTATCATGAGAAGAGCAGCATGGGGTAACCGCCCCTGTGATTCAATTACCTTTCACCTGGTCCTTCCTATGATACATGGGGATTATGGGAACTACGATTCAAGCTGAGATTTGGGTGGGGACATAGCCAAACCAGATTATATAGTAGTACAAAAAAGATTAATTATAGGAAGTCAGAATAAATGAATGAGATAGGCTTGAACCTGACTGCTTATACTTGAAAATTATAAAGAAAGGCAAAACAAACTTCATTTTACTCCAAATAAGTAAAATCTTTCATATCTACAGCCCTGCTAATTCCTACATTGAAAGTATGTAATATAGAAAGGCAAAAAACATACAAAAACTCTCCTATCTTCAATTTTATTGAAATAAAATGTTCATATGGTAAAAAGTAGAATCTTAAGTGCATATGCAAAATACCTTGTGTCCATAACAAATGTATACATCCATACAGTTACATACATTTTAATACTTACATCCCAGTAACTCCCATCCAAAGATAACAAATATTTCCAACAAGAGAGTTCTCTGGTATTCTCTTATAGTTAATCTACCTCCCCTAAAGGTAATCATTGTTCTGATTTTTCTCATTGTTCTGATTTTTCTCATCATTAAGAAAAGGTTGATTTTATCTGTTCTTAACTTTCTTTTATTTTATTTTATTATTACTATACTTTAAGTTTTAGGGTACATGTGCACAACGTGCAGGTTTGTTACATATGTATACATGTGCCATGTTAGTGTGCTGCACCCATTAACTCGTCATTTAGCATTAGGTATATCTCCTAATGCTATCCCTCCCCCCTCCCCCCACCCCACAACAGGCCCCGGTGTGTGATGTTCCCCTTCCTGTGTCCATGTGTTCTCATTGTTCAATTCCCACCTATGAGTAAGAACATGCGGTGTTTGGTTTTTTGACCTTGTGATAGTTTACTGAGAATGATGATTTCTAGTTTCATCCATGACCCTACAAAGGACATGAACTCATCATTTTTTATGGCTGCATAGTATTCCATGGTGTATATGTGCCACATTTTCTTAATCCAGTCTATCATTGTTGGACATTTGGGTTGGTTCCAAGTCTTTGCTATTGTGAATAGTGCCGCAATAAACATACATGTGCATGTGTCTTTATAGCAGCATGATTTATAATCCTTTGGGTATATACCCAGTAATGGGATGGCTGGGTCAAATGGTATTTCTAGTTCTAGATCCCTGAGGAATCGCCACACTGACTTCCACAATGGTTGAACTAGTTTACAGTCCCACCAACAGTGTAAAAGTGTTCCTATTTCTCCACATCCTCTCCAGCACCTGTTGTTTCCTGACTTTTTAATGATTGCCATTCTAACTGGTGTGAGATGGTATCTCATTGTGGTTTTGATTTGCATTTCTCTGATGGCCAGTGATGGTGAGCATTTTTTCATGTGTCTTTTGGCTGCATAAATGTCTTCTTTTGAGAAGTGTCTGTTCATATCCTTTGCCCACTTTTTGATGGGGTTGTTTGATTTTTTCTTGTAAATTTGTTTGAGTTCATTGTAGATTCTGGATATTAGCCCTTTGTCAGATAAGCAGGCTGCAAAAATTTTCTCCCATTTTGTGGGTTGCGTGTTCACTCTGATGGTAGTTTCTTTTGTTGTGCAGAAGCTCTTTAGTTTAATGAGATCCCATTTGTCAATTTTGTCTTTTGTTGCCATTGCTTTTGGTGTTTCAGATATGAAGTCCTTGCCCATGCCTATGTCCTGAATGGTATTGCCTAGGTTTTCTTCTAGGGCTTTTATGGTTTTAGATCTAACATGTAAGTCTTTAATCCATCTTGAATTAATTTTTGTATAAGGTGTAAGGAAGGGATCCAGTTTCAGCTTTCTACATATGACTAGCCAGTTTTCCCAGCATTATTTATTAAATAGGGAATCCTTTCCCCATTTCTTGTTTTTCTCAGGTTTGTCAAAGATTGGATGGTTGTAGATGTGTGGTATTATTTCTGAGGGCTCTGTTCTGTTCCATTGGTCTATATCTCTGTGTTGGTACCAGTACTATGCTGTTTTGGTTACTGTAGCGTTGTAGTATAGTTTGAAGTCAGGTAGCATGATGCCTCCAGCTTTGTTCTTTTGGCTTAGGATTGACTTGGCAATGCAGGCTCTTTTTTGGTTCCATATGAACTTTAAGGTAGTTTTTTCCAATTCTGTGAAGAAAGTCATTGGTAGCTTGATGGGGATGGCATTGAATCTATAACTTACCTTGGGCAGTATGGCCATTTTCACGATATTGATTCTTCCTACCCATGAGTATGGAATGTTCTTCCATTTGTTTGTATCCTCTTTTATTTCATTGAGCAGTGGTTTGTAGTTCTCCTTGAAGAGGTCCTTCACATCCCTTGTAAGCTGGATCCCTAGGTATTTTATTCTCTTTGAAGCAATTGTGAATGGGAGTTCACTCATGATTTGGCTCTCTGTTTGTCTGTTATTGGTGTATAAGAATGCTTGTGATGTTTGCACATTGATTTTGTATCCTGAGACTTTGCTGAAGTTGCTTATCAGCTTAAGGAGATTTTGGGCTGAGACGATGGGGTTTTCTAGATACACAATTGTGTCATCTGATCTGTTCTTAACTTTCATAAAAATTAAATAATATTATATGTTAACTTTTGCCTGTGGTTTTCACTCCGTATTTTTTTGATCAGTTTTTATCTTGTAGCATATCAGTAGTTAATTTTTATTGTTGGGTAGTATTTAATTTTATAAATAAATGACAATTTGTTTATTTTCTTCTTGATGGCTATTTGGGCTGATGCCAGTTTTAACTACTATGAATAAAGCTGCTGTTTTCTTGTACAAGATATTTTGTGGGTGTACTTTGAAGTGGAATTGCTGGGTAACAGGTAGCTGTGTTTTCATAAAAAAAATCTGTGAAACTGTTTTCCAATGTTGTTGTATAACTATATACTTCTACCAACAATGTATGGGAGTTCCAGTTGCTCTAAATCCTTATCAACATTAGGTATTGTCAGTTTTCCCAATTTTAGCTTTTCAGTGTTGTGACATGGTATCTGTCTCATTATAGTTTAAATTTTAAGTTCCCTGATGACTAATAATGTTCAATATCTTTTCATGTATTATTAGTGTTTGTGTAATTTTCATTTGTTAGTGATCAAATCTCTTTCCTTTTTAAAAAGTTGGGTTATCTGTCTCATTATTATTAAGTTGTTAGAGTCACATATGTTTTGGCTACAGGAGTTACCCCCACCTACTTTCATGTTGGTAACTAGAGATATATCACAGCATCACATGGATGGAGATGTGTTGCGGCTGGTAAGGGAAGAAAAATAACCATGCTTTGAAAGAATTGTAAGAATTAGCTTGTGTGTACTGGCAGAAGCCAGGAGGATACCTTTAGTGTTAGATATTTAGGATGTTTGACTAAAGAAGCCAGGTTGTGAGACTGGATACATTTAAATTTATTGACTCAGGGCATGCTCTCAGGACACAGACTTCAACACTTAAACAAGGACCTCAGGGAATGAATGGGTAAGCCCACTGCTAGGGTGGCAGTCTGGAGCCTGGAAAAAGAAATTGCTAATGACCAGTAAAGTGAAAATATCTGAATTGTCCTAGAAAAAGGTAGAGGAAGGAATAAAGGGGTTGAGGAAAGTAGTAATGCTGCAATTGATACATAAAGTAAGGCCAGAAGATGAGAAAAGAATTATGATTTGAGGAAGGGCCTGAGGATCCACCATTCAAGAAGACCATTAGGAGTGCATTAGTGTGAAGTGCCCAAGACTAAGTTCAGTGATGGTTCTCCTCTGAAGAGGTTAGGGGATAAATGCTGTGAAGATTCAAGGACCTGCCAATGCAATGAAGTTTTTTAGTTTCAGGAGGTGCTAGAATATCTCTTTCAATGTAAAAGGATCATTGTTATGCTTTGTATCCCATGCCACAAAGAGGCCTTTTTGACTTCTGAAGGCAATGGATTCCACACCTATGAATGCAGCTCCAGCCCTTACGGTGGGTAATATGGAAGGTTTCAAGCTCTGTTTGTTTGTTTTTGAGATGGAATCTCACTCTTTCACCCAGGCTGGAGTGCAGTGACGTGATCTCAGCTCACTGCAACCTCCACCTCCCAGGTTCAAGCAATTTTCCTGCCTCAGCTTCCCGAGTAGCTGGGATTACAGGTGCTCATCACCACACCCAGCTAATTTTTGTATCTTTAGTAGAGAGGGAGGTATGGCCATGTTGGGCAAGCTGGTCTCAAACTCCTGACCTTGGATGATCCATCTGCCTCAGCCTCCTAAAGTGCTGGGATTACAGGCATGAACCACCGTGCCCTGCCGGTCTCAAGCTTTGAGTAGTGCCCAGAGCAAGAAAGAACTCCACCACAGACCCAGGCTGCAGTACAAGCAGCCATACTACTTGGGCCATTTGATCCAGCATACCCCATGGTCTTGGAGGTGTTGGTGGTAATCAAAGATTCATTGTAGAATTTATGGCAAGACCCTGAAAGAGAGACACAATGCAGGCTTCTGGCAGAGTTGGGGAAAGGTGATGTCATTCTCAACAAAGAATTATATGCCTTTTGAAGAACAGCTTCCTGATAGACAAGTAACACTAGGCTTTGGGGCACTGAGTGACCCATGTGTGGAATTAAGTTTGGTTCCATTGGACATGCCAGGCCATAATTCAGAAAGGCCTAGCCACATTCACTCCTAAGATGGAAATGGTAAATCCAGTATTGAGCTTGAGCAGGACCAAAGGGACATGTGTAATTTGTACTAATGCACCACTGTTTCCTCACATGTATGATTATATGGAAGGGTCTCATGATTCCAGTTGAAGAAAGAAGAAATACCTTGAGTTTGTTATATGGATGGGGTGGTTCAGTATTTGGGTACAAGCTGAAAACAGATGGTAATTGCGTTATAGCCACATTCAGGGATAAGAATTTGACGAGAACCCCCACACAGACCTGTGGGCCTCTTTTGTTCAGCTTCATGCTGTCTGGATTTATTTCCTCACAAATTACAGGTGTTTAATCTTACCCAAACTTCCTCATATTGGTGAAAAGCCCATGTTCTACTTTGATTTTACCCCCGTACCCTGGTTCTGAAACTATTCCCAAAACAACAAGGAGAAATATGGTTTACTTCTTGCTTTTCCCTTCTCTGAATGATTACAATACTTGTCTGCCTGTTGTTCAACTCCTGAAAGCAGTTGTCTCCTATAGTTTTTTCAGTTTGATAGTTATTATCGTGGAAAGGCAAGTCCCCAAATGGTCACTCCATTATCTCAGGAACAGAAGTTCCTCTCCCCTGTCCTTTAAACTGAGTTAATATAGAGACACAGGTGAAGGGTTCAAAACAGTTAATGGCAGTAGGGTCTTGAATTTAGTTCCAATTCACAATGCATTGTTATATCCGTACATCCAGAATGGCAAATTATTACATCTTTAATTTGTTGCAATAATTCTGTTTGATTACAAACACTTTTCAGCCTTGTGGGGCAGGTCTGGACCCAGTGAAAAAGTATGACATAATTAGGTTTTGATGGCTGCAGGGTCATAGGAGGGGAATATCATGGCCCACATGGTTTATACTCTGGACCCTTTTTTAAACCAATGTTTTTAAGTAACCAGTAGAAAAGTGATTTGATAGAGCTGAAAAGTCCTGACTTCAGCAAATGGGTTGGGATTCCCCTTGTGGGTTTCATCTCCTTTTTTTTTTTTTTTTTTTTAGTTTTGAGCAGGCAAATGGATGCCTCCCAGATGGAGATGGTTTGAGTTGAGGAGGCATAGTGTGGGCAGGTGTGGGTTTCTTTACTATTCCTGGCAGGGTTTTGCTTCTTCCCTTTTGTATGCCACATCTCCCAAGTCCTCCTCCTTGGCATTTAATACTGGTTCTGAAGCAAGACAAAAT